>NC_000002.12:151125981-151429011 GCF_000001405.40 Homo sapiens
CATTACAGCCCTATTCACAATAGCAAAGATGTGAAATCAACCAAGATGTCCACCAATGGTGCACCAGATAAAGAAAATGTGGTGCAGATACACCTTGGAATACTATATAGTCAATAAAAAGAACGAAATCATGTCCTTTGCAGCAACATGGATGAAGCTGGAGTGGATTATCCTAAGCAAACTAAGGCAGCACAGAAAACTAAATACCGCATGTTCTCACATATAAGTGGGAGCTAAACACTGAATACACATGGACACAAAGATGAGAAGAATAGACACTTGGGACTGCTTGAGGGAGGAGGATGGGAAGGGGCCGTGGGATGAAAGGCTACCTATCAATAGGGTACTATGCTCACTACCCTGGTGACGGGATCATTCACACACCAAGTCTCAGCGACATGCAATTTACTCATGTAACAAACCTGTACATGTACCCCCGAACCAGAAATAAAAGAAGGGGGAAAAAAAAACATCTTTTTGGCTTGCTCTTTGGCAAATTCATTTATTAAGATATCAACTTCGTTTTAAATCAATGTAATTGAAAGCAGTGTCAATTGCTCTTGACAAATGCAAGATTGCAAATATATTTTGGTAATTTTAATTTTGAGAAAGATCTTTTTGCTGATGTAACTGTTACAGGAGCTAAAAAGTTTTTTTATAGGCTTCATTCTTAACATATGTAAAATAGATGATGATACTGTTAGTGTATCGGTTTTTTTTTTTCCTACAAATGTATCATCTGTGTCATTTCTAGGAATCCTTCCATTGATTATGTTTCCTATTATAGGCTGCATTTTCCTGCTTCTTTGCATGCCTAGTAATTTTTAACTAGATGTCAAATATTGTAAAGTTTACTTTCTTTTTCTTTTTATTATTGAGACATTTCTGTCACACAGGCTGGAGTGCAATGGTACAATCTCCACTCACAGCAACCGCTGCATGCAGGGCTCAAATGATCCTCCTGCCTTAGCCTCCCAAGTAGCTGGGACTACAGGCAGCTACACATGTCACCACACCTGGCTAATTTTTGTATTTTTTGTAGAGGGGAGGTTTTGCCATGTTGCCCAGGCTGGTCTCAAACTCCTGGGCTCAAGCAATCTGCCTGCCTTGGCCTCCCAAAATGTTGGGATTACAGGTGTGAGCCACCACACCTGGCCTGAAGTTTACTTTAATTAGGTACTGGATATTTCTGCATTCCTAAAAATATCTCTGGGTTTTGTTCTTGGATGCAGCTAAGTCACTTGGCAACAGTGCGATCCTTGTGGGTCTTGCTTTTCAGCTTTCTAAAGATAAGACCACAGTAGCATTTAATCTATGGATAATTGTGTCACACCACTGAGGTAGTAAACGTTTGAGTACACTACCTAATGCTCCAAGAATCATGAGGTGTTCCACTCTGGCTGATGGGAACATGTCCTGTCCCGTTCCTGGCCCTCTGTCACTTGTCAAGACTGTCTTGCTTGTTCTCTCCCTGGAGACTATCCTGTGGCATATACACAAATATTAACTCTTCAGCCTGAGCTCCAGGACAGAAACTGCTAGTACTCAGAGAAGATATGTTAAAAGCCCCCAAACTGAACATTGAAGAATGAACAATACAATGTCTGAGATGAAAAATTGAGTAAGAATAAAAGCAGATTTGATATCTCAGGAGAAAAGATAATGAAATTGAAGCCATTGAAATAGAAACCAACAAAAAATTAATCACAGAGGGGTAAAAAAGATTTTAAAAGAAATAAAGTACCAGTAAGCTGTGGAACAGATTCAAGCAGCTTAATATACATATGCCCTGGGAGTTCTCAAAAGAATGGAAAGAGGGGGGAAGATGGAAAAAAAATTTTGAATAAGCAATATGCAAAAACTTTTTGGAATTTGATGAAAACTATAAGCCCACAGACACAATAAGATTAGAAACCAAGCACCAGAAAATAATAAATGTAAAACAATGCACATTTATAATTAAATTACTTAAAACTGGTGATTAAGAGAAAATCTTAAAATAAGCCAGAGGAAGAAAAGACACATTGCATACCACTGGGGCTCAGGCCACATCACCCCAAAATATGCCAGGAGACCAGAATATGCCACCGAGGCATGTTGATTACTTTGAGTTAAATGAAACTGAGAACCAGCCAATACAGGAAAAGTTCTTCACCTCTCCCCTCAACTTTCTAAAATAAAGCATACAACTCCCCTTTTGTAAAGGAAATTTACATTTATAAAGGACATTTCCATTAGTAAAGTTATCTGTACCAATGACAGAGCTGTTCGGAGAAAACTTTTAACACCTGAGTTTTATCTGCATAATGAGGCAACCTTTATTTACCATGCAATTTCTCCCTTCACGCTGTCATAACTCATCTCCATCCCAGCACTCCACTAGACGTCTCAAGCCTCTATTCCTTTCTGGAGCTCAGGATGCTATATAAGCTTCAATCATCTGGCCCTTTTTTGAGTCTCACATTTTTGCTGGACTCCCATGCATACGTACATAATTAAAATGGTTTATCTCATCTTCATCTGTTTTATGCCAATTTAATTCATAACCCAGCCAAAGAACCTGGGCAGGTTAGACAGAAGCCATTTTTCCTCCTCTGCAATATAGATAACAAAAAATATGGACAGCAAATTTCTCATTTTTTAAAAAAGGTACAAAACCAAAGTCAATAAAATATCTTTAAAGTAATTAAAAGAAATTAACTGTCATTGTAAAATCATACATGCACTGAAAATATGTTTTAAAAATTAGTCAAAATAAGGCTTTTTCAGTCAAAAAGCAAAACAACACAACACAACCTGGAAGAATTCAGCACCAGCAGACCTGTACTGCAAGAAATATTAAAGAAAGTCCTTTATATGAAATGAAAATTATACCAGACATATCTTGAGCTAAATAAGGAATGAAGAATAGCACAGATGGTAAATATGTGGGTAAATAGAGACAATTTTTTAATGTTTTAAACATATCATTGGAAGTTTAAGAAATGTAAAAGAGGCCAGGCGCTGTGGCACACACCTGTAATCCCAGCACTTTGGGAGGCCGAGGCAGGTGGATCACGCGGTCAGATCGAGACCATCCTGGTCAACATGGTGAAACCCCGGCTCTACTAAAAATACAAAAATTAGCTGGACGTGGTGGCTTATGCCTGTAATCCTAGCTACTTGGGAGGCCGAGGCAGGAGAATCACTTGTACCGGGGAGTCAGAGGTTGCAGTGAGCCAGGATCGCGCCACTGCACTCCAGCCTGGCAACAGAGAGAGACTCCGTCTCAAAAAAAAAAAAAAAGAAATGTAAAAGAAAAAATTTCAGGACCTTCTAAATTTATTATGCCAAGAGGCAAGTTAAGCCCTGGAGACTGAGTCTTGTAGCATGTCTGCAACTTCGGTCTCTTAGTTTATGGATTAACTCTCTTCTTCATTGTTCTTGTTCAATATATGACTAGGATAAACCAGAAACCAGACCTTCTCCCCTTCCAATCACTGATCTTTGTTCAAGATTAACTGCCTCCTTTATTATCCTGCACCCAACTAACCAAATGGCACCCAAGACTCCATGACTGTTACATCTTCAGTGTGGAAGGTAAATATGCCTTTCCCCAAAGAAAAAGACCACCCTGACTAATCATATCATTGTAACTATGCATTCAGCCTTACACAGAAAGATAATGAAGTTCTGTTAGGCTTCCCTAAGTTTTGTCTATATAAATGATCCCAAACTTCTACATTTCATAACACTGACTTCTTTGGAATCTGTGCTTCCCAGGTGGCTCATCCTCAAATTCCGCACTTGAATAAACTCTCTTTAAATTAAACTTGGACCCTTTTGATTATTTAGGTTGACAGAAAAAATTACTAATAATGTAATAGGGCTTATATACAAACATATTTCAGAGACCTTGCAGATTCAGTTCCAGACCACTGCAAAAAGTGAGTATCACAATAAATGGCCACAAAAATTTTTTGGTTTTCCAGTCTATTAGTCTGTTCTCAGGCTGCTAATAAAGACATACCTGAGACTGGATAAAGAAAACAAGGTTTAATGGACTCACAGTTCTACATGGCTGGGCAGGCCTCACAATCATGGCAGAAGACGAATGAAGAGCAAAGGGACATCTTAGATTGCAGCAGGCAAAAGAGCTTGTGTAGGGGAACTCCCCTTTATAAAACCATCAGATCGCATGAGACTCATTCACCATGCCAAGAACAGCATGGGAAAGACCCGGCCTCATGATTCAATTACCTCCCACCAAGTCCTTCCCACAACATATGGGAATTACAGAAGCTACAATTCAAGGTGAGATTTGGGTGAGAACGCAGAGCCAAACCATATAACCCAGTGCATGTAAAAGTTGTTTATAATATACTATAGTCTACTAAGTGTGCAATAGCATTATGTCTGAAAAACTATGAATATACTTTAATTTTAAAATTTATTGGCCAGGTACAGTGGCTCACACCTGTAATCCCAACACTTTGGGAGGCCAAGGCAGGAGCATTGTTTGAGGCCAAGAGTTTGAAACCAGCCTGGGAAACATAGTGGGATCCCATCTCTATAAAAAATTTAAAAATTAGGTATGGTGGTGGGTACCTGTAGTGCTAGTTACTTGGGGGGCTGAGGCAGAAGGATTGCTTGAGCCCAGAAGGTTGAGGTTGCAGTGAGCCATGATCACTCCACTGCACTCCAGCCTGGGTGACAGAGTGAAATCTTGTCTCAAAAAAATTATTGTTAAAAAATGCTAATGATCATCTGAACCTTCAGTGAGCCATAATCTTATTGATGGAAGATCTTGCCTCGATGTTGATGGCTGCAGACTGATCAGGATGGTGGTTGCTGAAGGCTGAGGTGGTTGTGGCAATTTCTTAAAATAAGATATCAATGAAGTTTGCCACATCTGTTGACTATTCCTTTCACAAAGGATTTCTCTTTAGCATGCAATGCTGTTTGATAGCATTTTTCCCACAATATAATTTCTTTCAAAAGAAACTCTGCCACTGCTTTATCAACAAAGTGTTGGTAATATTCTAAATCCTTTGTTGCCATTTCAACAATGTTCTCAGCAACTTCACCAGGAATAGATTCCAACTGAAGAAACCACTTTCGTTGCTCATAAATAAGAAGAAACTCCTCATTAGTTGAAGTTTTATCATGAGATTGCAGCAATTCAATTCCATCTTCAGGCTCTACTTCTAATTCTATTTCTCTTGTTCCTTCCACCACATCTGCAGTTACTTCTACTGAGGTCTTAAACCTCTCAAAGTCATCCATGAAAGTTGAAATCAACTTCTTCCAAACTCCTGTGAATGTTATTTGACCTCCTTCCACTAATCACAAATGTTCTTAATGTCATCTAGAATGAGGACTCCTGTCCAGAAGGTTTTCAATTGACTTTGTCCAGACCCATTGGAGGATCTCCATTTTGCCGATATGGAGAAAATTTTAATGGTTGGTCTTGTCCCTTTAGCCTTACAAAATGTGTATCTTAAATAATAGCCTTACAAAATGTACATCTTGGATAATGAGACAAAGTTAAAATTACTCCTTGACCCATAGGCTAAAGAATGAATGTTGTGTTAGCCAGCATGAAAATGACATTAATATTTTTGTACATTTATTGTACATATATTGTTGGAGCTCTTGGGTAAGCAGATACATTGTCAATGAGCAGTAATATTTTGAAAGAAATTTTTTTCTAAGAAATAGGTCTAAACAGTAGGATTAAAATGTCCATGCTATAAAGAGATGTATAATAATCCAGGCTTTGTTGTTCCATTGATAGAGCACAGGCAAAGTAGAGTTAGCGTAATTTTTAAGAGCCCTAGAATTTTCAGAATGAGTGGAAACAAGGCAGAGCAGGGTGGCTCACACCTGTAATCCCAGGACTTTGGGAGGCCAAGGTGGGTGGATCGCTTGAGCCCAGGAGTTTGAGACCAGGCTGGGCAACACAGCAAAAACCCATCTCTACAAAAAAATACAAAAATTAGCCGGGAGTGGTGGTACGCGCCTGTGGTCCCAGCTACTTGGGAGGCTGAAGTGGGAGAATTGCTGGAGCCTTGGAGGTTGAGAGTGCAGTGAGTTGTGATTGTGCCACTGCACTCTAACCTTGGTGACAGAGCAAGACCCTGTCTCTACATAAATAAAATTTAAAAAGATAGAGAAAAAAAGAGAGAGAGAGGCTGGGCATGGTGGCTCATGCCTGTAATCCCAGCACTTTGGGAGGCCGAGGCGGGCAGATCACGAGGTCAGGAGATCAAGACCATCCTGGCTAACACAGCAAAACCCCACCTCTACTAAAATACAAAAAAAAGTTAGCCGGGCATGGTGGTGGGCGCCTGTAGTCCCAGCTACTCGGGAGACTGGGACAGGAGAATGGCGTGAACCCAGGAGGAGCTTGCAGTGAGCCGCATTTGCAGATCGCGCCACTGCACTCCAGCCTGGGTGACAGAGCAAGACTCCATCTCAAAAAAAAAAGAGAGAAAGAGAGAGAGAGAGAAAGAAAGAAAGAGAGAGCGAAAGAGAGAGAAAGAGAGAGAGAGAAAAAAGAGAGAGAGAGAAAGAAACAGAAAGAAAGAAAGAGAAAGAAAAGAAAGGAAGGAAAAGAAAGAGAAAGAAAGCATTGGATAGAAGGCTGTTTCATCTATATTGAAAAATCTGTTTTGTGTAGCTACCTTCATCAATGATCTTAGCTAGATCTTCTGGATAACTTGCTGCAGCTTCTATAACAGCACTTGCTCCCCCGCCTTGCACTTCCATGTTATGGGAGTCAGCTTCTTTCCTTATGAATCAACTTCTGCTAGCTTCCAACTTTTCTTCGCAGCTTCCTCACCACTCATCCTTCACAGAATTGAGGAGAGTTAGGGCCTTTCTCTGGATCAGGAGAGGGTTTGGAGAGGGTACTCCACCACGGGAATCCTCACCACTTGCTGCATGTAGAAAGACAGGTCAACTCACCCTTTCTGAAACTAAAATCTCTCCGATGTTTTCAACTCAAAATAATCAATATAACTATTAGGCATATTTTGGGATGGCACATTCTTCACTTCTTTGCCACCTTGCATGTGTGTATACACACATACATATACCCAATAAGCAGACAAAAGAGAAAAAAACAGAATCATTAAAAAGAAAATATTCAGCCAGGCGCGGAGGCTCACACCTGTAATCCCAGCACTTTGGGAGGCCAAGGCGGGTGGATCACCTGAGGTTGGGAATTCGAGACCAGCCTGATCAACATGGTGAAAACCTGTCTCTACTAATACAAAATTACCCGGGCATGGTCGCGCATGCCTGTAATCCCAGCTACTCGAGAGGCTGAGGTAGGAGACTGGCTTGAACCTGGGAGGCGGAGGTTGCGGTGAGCCAAGATCGCACCATTGCACTCCAGCCGGGGCAACAAGAGTGAAACTCCATCTCAAGAACGAGACAGACAGACAGACAGACAGACAGACAGACAGACAGAAAGAGAGAGAGAGAGAGAGAGAGAGAAAGAAGGAAAGAAGGAAAGAAGGAAAGAAGGAAAGAAGGAAGGAAGGAAAGAAAGAAAGAGAGAGAAAGAAAAAAAAAGAAAAAGAAAATATTCAATCAAAAAGGAGGCAGAAAAGGACAAAAAAGAGAAAACTGAGGGACAAGTACAAAATAAATAGCAAGGTAATCGGTTTAAAACCAACCAATTTACTAATCATATTATAGGAAACAGTCTAAGCACTGTAGTTGAAAGGCAGAGATTATTCAATTGGATAAAAAACAAACGAGACCAACTGTATGCTATATACAAGAAATGTACTTTAACTATAAAGACACTGATAGGTTAGCAGTTAAAAAGATGAGTAAAGATAGACCATGCTAACACTAATCAAAAAAAAAAAAGCCAAAGCAGCTATATTAATATTGGCCTAAGTAGATTTCAAAGCAAAGAATATTACAAAGATAAAAGAAGGTCATTTTATAATAATAAGTTCAATTTCTCACAAAGAGTAAGAATTCCAAAGGTTTAAGTACCAAGTAACAGATCTTCAAAATCCATGAGACAAAAACTGATAAAAATACAAAAAGAAATAGGCAAATCCACAATTTTGGTTAGAGATTTTATCATCTCTCACATTCTTTTGGAGGGCACATAGAGCATGTATAAAGATCAACCATTTTCAGGGCCATAAAACAAGTCTCAATAAATGTAAAGGTTTTAAATCTTATGATGTATGTTCTCTGATAATAGTAAAACTTAATTAGAAATCAATAATGAAATATGCCTGGAAAATCCCCGCATATTTGGAAACTTAATAACACACTTCTGGAGACACAACTGGTCAAAGAAGAAATCAAAAGCAAATTTAGAAAGTTATTTGGAGCTAAATGAAAATGAAAGCAAAACATATTAACATTTGTGAAATACAGCAAAAGCAATACTTGGAGGGATATATAGTTCATAATGTATATATTAGGAAAGAAATATTCTGAAATCAACAACCCCTTCTATCTTTGGAACAAAATTAACCCACAGTAAGCAGAAAAAAAGGAAATAATAAAAATAAAGACAAAAATCAAAACAAAAAATAATGAAGAAAATTTATGAAACCAAAAACTTTTTAGAGATTAGTAAACCTATATCCAGACTGATCAGAAAAAAAGCATGAAAACACAAATTACCAATATCAAAATGAGGGAACATCACTACGAATTCTGCATGTATTAAAAGGAAAAATAGGCTGGGCGCAGTGGCTCCTACCTGTAATCCCAGCACTTTGTGAGGCCGAGGCGGGCGGATCACTGGGATCAGGAGTTTGAGACCAGCCTGGCTAAAGAAAATACAAAATTTAGTCAAGCAAGGTGGCGAGTTCCTGTAATCCCAGCTGCTCTCGAAGCTGAGGCACGAGAATCACTTGAACCCAGGAGGCAGAGGTTGCAGTGAGCTGAGATCGCACCACTGCACTCCCGCCTGGGTGACAGAGCAAGACTGTCTCGGAGGGGAGGGGAGAGGAGAGAGATAACTTTAAGGCAGTAATTTTGACACCTTAGATGAAATAGACAAATTTATTGAAGTCAGACCACCAAAGCTGATGTAAGTATAAGAAGATAAAGAACTATTTAAATTATCTATTAAAGAAATTAAATTTGTAATTTTAAAACTTTTCATAAAATATAGTAACTCCAGGTCAGATAGCTTCATTGGGGAATTCTATCAAACATATAAGGAAGAGATAATACCAATGTGATATGGTTTAGATGTTTGTCCCCTCCAAATCTCATGTTGAAATCTAATCGCCAGTGTTGATGCTGGGGCCTGATGGGAGGTGTTTGGATCATGGGGGCAGATCCTTCATGAATAGCTTGGTGCTGTCCTAGTGATCATGAGTAAGTTCTTGCTCAGTTAGTTCACATTGGATCTAATTGGTTTAAAAGACTGTGGCACCTCCCCACTTTCCCTCTGCTCCCGCTCTCACCACGAGGCACGCCTACTCCCCCTTTGCCTTCTGCCATGATCGTAAGCTTCCTGAGGCCTCACCAGGAGCAGATGTCAGCACCACACTTCCTGCATAGCCTGCAGAACTGTGTGTCAATGAAATCTCTTTTCTTTATAAATTACCCCGTCTCAGGTATTCCTTTAGAGTAATGCAAAAACAGACTAACACACAATTCTACACAAACTCAGAAAATTTAAAGAGAAATACTTCCCAATTCATTCTATGAGGCCAGCTTTACTCTGATTCCAAAACCAGACAGAAACTTTACAATAAAAGAAAGCTACAGACCAACATTCCTCATAAATACAGATGTATAAATTCTTAAGAAGTATGGAATATAAGATTGGTTTAACGTTCAAAAAATCAATATAATTAACTACATTAACCAGTTTAAAAAGGAAAACCATATGATCATCCCAAAAGAGGCATAAAAAAGCATTTGACAAAATCCAACATCCATTAAAAAAAAAAAACCTTAAAAAAAAAAAACCTCTCAGCAAACTGAAAATAGAAGGGAATTTCTTCAGCCCAATAATGGATTTCTATGAAAAAATCTGTAGCTAACATCCTAATAAAGATTAGGAACAAGAATTTCCACCATGAAAATCCTTCTTTCAGCACTGTAGTGACAGTTTCATCCAGGACTATAAGCAAATATGTATACAACATACATACATACATAAATGGCATTCAGATTGGAAAGAAGGCAGTGAGCATTTGTTTGCAGATAATATACTTACCTATGAAGAAAAGCCTACAAAATTTACCAAAAGCCACTGGAACTAGTAAATGAGTTTGGCAAGGCTGCAGCATACAAGATCAGTGTATAAAGAGCAATCGCATGCCTATATACTAGCAGCAAACAATCACATTAATATTTTAAAATATCTTTTACAATAGCACAAAAATAGATCTGTACGCCAAAAAAAAAAAAACTGCAAAATGATTCTGGTTCCTGTGTTTTTGCTAGATTTCTATACTGCCCACAATTTCTTTCCCATACTTCTTGGCTGTATCTGTTATCTCATGGGAAACTGGAAAGATTGTCATCCAGGCCTCCAAAGAGCCATTCTCACCTGACCAGCACCCTCATGATGGACTGAATTAAACTGCTCTGGAAATAGTTTCAATTAACACGAGGTATAAATATTTTGGGGCATCACAGGCAGGAATATCATCCCCTTGGTTTCCTATTTCTAAGGAAAAATATATTTACCAGCCATAAAGTGAATTGGGACATTATTCTAGTTCCACAACAAGAAAAGGAATATTTTTTATTTTTAAATGACACCTAATAATTGCACATATTTTTGTGGTACTGAGTGATATTTTCATACATGTATACAATATATAATGATCAAATCAGGGTAATCAGCATATTCATCGCCTCAAGTATTTATCATTTCTTTATGTTGGGCCAAGATACAGAATCAACCTAAGTGTCCATCAACAGGTGAATGGGGCTGGGCATGATAGCTCACAATTTCAGCCCTTATGGGAAGCCAAGGAGGGAGGATCACTTGAGTCCAGGAGTTCAAGACCAATCTGGGCAACATAGTGAGACCACATCTCTACAAAAAAAAAAAAAAATTTTTTTAATTAGCCAAGCAAGGTAGCACACACCTGTAGTCCTAGCCACTTGGGAGGCTGAAACGGGAAGATCACTTGGGCCCAAGAGTTTGAGGCTACAGTGAGCTATAATCATGCCACTGTACTCCAGCTTGGGTGACAGAGCAAGACCCTGTCTCAAAAAAAAAAAAAAAAAAAAAGATGAATAAAGAAAAGATAATGTATGTATACACAAAGGGATGGAATATTGATTTAATTTTCCAAACCTGGGATCAAAGAAGGAATATTTGAAATACTGTACACAGCTCTTTTCAAATTCTGTTTTATTTAAAAGAAGATGTATTGCGGCCAGGTGTGGTGGCACACGCCTGTAATCCTAGCACTTTGGGAGATTGAGGCAGGCCGATCACTTGAGGTCAGGAGTTTGAGACCAGTCTGGCCAACATGGTGAAATACAAAAACACTAAAAATACAAAAACTACCCAGAAATCCCTTGAACCCAGGAGGCAGAGGTTGCAGTAAGCCGAGATCATGCCACTGCATTCCAGCCTGGGCAACAGAGCGAGACTCCGTATCAAAAAAAAAAAAAAAAAAAAAAAAAGATGTTTTGGGAAGAAAACATTTATACAATTTTGGAATTCCACACTTGCAGAGCTTTTCGTGTAACTAGGACACAGTTCCAATGTCTGGAGGCTCCAGACCTGGATGGAATTGTTGTTAATGCTCCTTTGAGATTGGCCTCCTGCAAGTTTTCTCTCAGATGTATTGTCATCAGCTGCATTTACTTTAACAGACATAAAGCAGGAAAATATTTCAGAAAAATATTGTAAATGCATTATTAATCAATAGTGACCAGAGGTTTTTCTCCTAGCAAATTATCATAAAGCTTTCCGAGGCAGATTGAAAAGCCACTGGTGAGCAGCCTTATTTATTTCTGCCTATAGATATTTTGTGATCAATTATAATAACATTACATCCCTCATTTCTGCTACAATATATTCAATTACATAGTTAACATTTCCTGCTAACCTTTTCAAATACAGGAAAGCGAATTCCACCTACCTGATTGGTATGTTTCTCTAATGCATATGTTATTCTCATTATCCTTAATTCAAGTGGACATTTGCTTTCTTTGGTTACATAGCTGGGTAACCAGTTATTTACCTGATCTGTAGAATGCATTTAAACTCCTATGTTTCAGGGGATTGATTCATACATATTGTTGTCATTATACTTTCTCTTAACAATTTATCTCTCCCAACAGTCTCATAAAACAGGTTGGTATAACTTTACCCCCTTTTATAGGAACCCAGAGACATTACTACTATATTTTGGGGCGAATTTGTGCCAGCCAGCCAGAAATGTTGTCTTAGAGCCCATGCGGTTCCAATCTATCACATATCCCAGACATACCCCACCTCCCAGGAGAGGCACAATTTGGGGGACTGTTATAGCAAAGAGTTAAGAAAGAAGAAACCATTTTGAAAAACATTTATAATACAGGTCATTAATAATTAGCAGTACTAAGTAATTGTAATACCATGGGGCACACAGGACCTTCTCCAAATATATTTTTCTGTCATAATTAAGATGTATGAATCACAGAGGTAGGAAAAATGTAAAGAACATAAACTATTCCATATAAGGTTCGTATTTCTAGGAATGTTCTGCTTTGTTTGGCATAAGCAATGGACTTGAAGGCAGAAGCATAGCTGGAAATGCAAAATGTGCATCTGTGCTTAATTAAGAACATTTTGAGGACTGCATATTAAGCAATGTGATTTTAAGGCTCAATCATTATAAAATGACCAAAAGCTAAGTGAAGAGTAAGTCAGTCAGCCGGTTGTTTTGTCTATAGACTCTAATTTTTGTTCTCACTTAATTGATTTTTTTTGTCTAAACAGGCCAATAGTATTAATTCTATTTAATACATACTTATCCTAAGAAATAAGTTTTCAAAACCACAGGTGTCATGAAATCCACTTTAATTTGGTTTATGAAAATTAGAAAAGTAGACCAACTCTATGTAAAATTATCTTAAGTGTTTTCAGGCCTAGTCAATTCTCTCCATCCAATTAATTTCTGCCTCCATTCATTTTTCTGAGAAAAATGAAGTATTTGATGGTCTTTTTATAAGGTTCCTGCTATAGGTTGGTGCAAAAGTCATTGCCGTTTGGGACTTTTTTTAAAAAAATACCTCAAATCAGTTCCTAAAGATAGTAAAAGGACTGTGCAAAGGCCTGAAGGCACCAGGGATTTGCTGTTCATAGGGCCCCCAAGCAACCATCTGAGCACAATCACACCAGGAGCCCAAGCCAAATTCTCTACTGCCCAAAGCAGAGATTTTGGCCCAAACCACTGTTACGACAGACTTCCACAAAGCCCATCAAGATCTTTAATATTCATCTACAACAGGCGTAGCTGCGGCCAAGGCTAGAGTTTAAGGCTGGGTCTAGAACATAGTTACATGAAACAACTCTGTACAACTGAAGTTTACCCAAAGAAGTTTCAGTTAGTTCAAAGTGCAGTCAGCCATTTTTGGACAACTAGGTTGAACTATATCTATAAATTTAAATATATTTATACATAAATACCTTATAAAATATAAAAATAAAAATAACTTGAGGTTTAGCATTTGTTTACCTATTAGAGAACAACAAATTCTACTGATAGAGACACAGAGACAGAGAGAAAACAGAGATCTTATAGCAGAAATTCTCTGTCCCTAAGAATGGTATATATATTTTTTTATTTTTAATGAAATATATAGTCAGAAAAAATGCATCCAGGGTACAGTTTGATGAATTTTTGCAAGCTAGACACACCTGTTTAGCTGATAGATCCAGAAAGAGAAAATGTTAGCTCCCCAACAGCCCCGCAGGCTCACGGCCCTCACTTCCCTGCCCTGCACCTGCCTCCCTGAATTCCAGCCCCAGGGGCCTGTCCCAGCCCTGCATTGGAACAAAATGCTCCCAAGGCCTGCCTCACTCACTCCTGCAGTGCCAAGACTCTGTACAAATACCTCAGAATGCATTTATATCACCAGAGCCAGGGTGTGAGGGGAACAGAGAGAAAAATCCTGAATTGATTGAGTTTGAACCTTAAATTACTTTGTTGACCAAAATGGGCCATTGTATACTATCAGTTGAAAAGGGGGCATGAAATAGCACTTAGGTTGATTTGGAGAAGAATCAAGTTCATTTTTTTCAACCTACATCCAACAAAACCTAAAGACAAGATTTAAAAAGCTATCGGCCAGGCACGGTGGCTCACGCCTGTAATCCCAGCACTTTGGTAGACCGAGGCAGGCGGATCACAAGGTCAGGAGATCGAGACCATCCTGTGAATGGTGAAACCGTCTGTACTAAAAATACAAAAAATTAGCCGGGTGTGGTGGCGGGCGCCTGTAGTCCCAGCTACTCGGGAGGCTGAGGCGGGAGAATGGCGTGGACCCAGGAGGCGGAGCTTGCAGTGAGTCGAGATTGCGCCACTGCACTCCAGCCTGGGTGACAGAGCGAGATTCTGTCTCAAAAACATAAAAAATAAAAAAATAAAAAATAAAAAGCTATCTATTCATAAACTGTAGCAAGGGAATTATTCTGCAGCCACTTTCCTTTCAGCAGGGGTTCAGAGTGTCTGAGAGGAGAGTACGTTTTAGAGTAGAAAGAGGAAATGCCAAGGAGACAGCATTTGGTGGGCAAGCGTTGTGTGAAGGTGGGACTTTGGGAAGTGGAGTAGACCCTAATTGGCCTTCAGGTACATTTGGCAGATTTTGATAGGCAAGGGAACAAGTGAGTAATTTAGGAACATTTCAAAGGAGGAAAGATCGTTCAGTGTTAGGGGCAGAGCGTTTTCTGTGACCAGCCATTTCCTGAAACATGTCCGGGTCAAAGGGGTGCTATTTTGCAGTGAAACTGTCGTCATGGTCCTTATGGGGGCTGCTGCCACAGCAGACAGTTTCTCAACTGAACACATGCCCTGAAAATTGAGCTAACAACACATCTTGAAGTGTTGCGTTTCCATATGAGTGATACATATGAACATAATGAAAAACTGATTGCAGTGAGTATAAGTACCGCTCAACAATTAACAAGCTCTATGTAATACATACCATTAATCAATTACTCATGCATTACCTAATTTCAGGACTAACCTCCTTCCCCTAAGATGCTATTTGGAAATGGTTCCTTATTATACTTTCTCTCTCCACAACCCAGAATTTCCAGTTCGTGAATAGATTTAAAAGTGGTAAACACTGCCAAAGTAGCATTCCAAATTGGAAACTGTGGTATTCAAACTTTGTTAATATATGTCCCTATAAATAATAAAAATTGTATTACATTTAATAAGCAGTTTTCAGTCTTTATCTTGCTTGATCTCCTGTCAGTCCCAAACCCAGGTGGTCACACCTGCCTTAAAACTCTCCCTGACCCCCATGACACCACTCTTTTTTGGCTTCCCTCCTATTCCCATAGCCCCTCCCTCCTAATCATCTACAAAAGCTGCCTTCTTCCACCCTGTCTCCCTCAGGCTTAGTCCTAGACTCTCTGCTCTTCTCATTCTGTATATTCTTACAAGGTGATATCAGCTACTTCCATGACTTAATTTACAATCCATATGTTATTATCTCCCATATC
This sequence comes from Homo sapiens, assembly GCF_000001405.40. Classification (NCBI taxonomy): domain Eukaryota; kingdom Metazoa; phylum Chordata; class Mammalia; order Primates; family Hominidae; genus Homo; species Homo sapiens. The sequence goes on from NC_000002.12 coordinate 151,141,646, forward strand.
AATATCTCCAGCCCAGATTTCTCTCCCAAGCTCCAGACATTTTTATTCAACTGCTTCCGGGTCACCTTCATGTGAACCATTCAGAGTACCTCAAACTTAATATGTTTGGTCTGAAACTGAACTTATCAACCTGCCACCATTCAATAAATGCAGTCCAACTATCTGGTATTCCAAGCTAAAGATCTGAGAGTCATCCTTGATTCCTCCCTCTTTATTACCCCCACAACCAATCAATCCCTAAGTTTACACATTTTACCTACTTGATATCTTTTAAATTTATTCACTCTTCCCTATCTCCACTGCCACCTATAGTTCAGACTACACTCATTATTCCCACACACAACTGTGACAGCACCCTTTCGCCATTCTTACTCATCTTTGCCATTCTCCACACTGCAAACACAGTGATCTTCAAAAAGCACTAAGATGGCTATTTTATTCCCCTGCTTCAATTCTTTTAACCAACTCCTATTGCTCTGAGGATGGAGTACTAACCCTCTCTCTTGGCACCAAAGCCCTTCACAAATTAGTCCCTGTTTACTCCTCTGGCCTTTGACCTTGTCACACTACGTTCATATGACAATAAAAAAGTTTCCCATGAGGCCAAGCAGGATAGCTCCCATCTATAATCCCAGGTCTTTGGGAGGCTGAGACGGGAGGATCACTTGAGCCCAGGAGTTTGAGACAAGCCTGGGCAACGTGGTGAGACCTTGTCTCTACAAAAATATTTATAAATTAGCTGGGTGTGATGGTGTGTGCCTATAGTCCTAGCTACTCTGGAGGCTGGGGAGTGAGGATCACTTTAGCCCAGGAGTTTGAGGTGACAGTGAACAATGATCACCACTGAACGCCAGCCTGGGTGACCAGAATAAGATGCTATCAAATAAATAAAGTTCCTCATAGAAACAGCTTATGTATTTCTGCCTTTAGATTATCTCTCCATAGAGGGTAGACCAGGTAGAGAAATTAATGTCATAATGCCTTCAACACCATTTGTTTCTGTCCTTATATTCACACAAGTCTACTTTATGAAAATTCCTGGCCCCCAGTACAAAAACTCAAAATATTTGTCTTCAGGTTTCCACCAATAAACTCACTAGGCCCATGTAAATTCTGAATTGTGACCTCAGCTCAGCTGAGACCTCCACTACAACAAAATGGATACTTTTCTACAATTGAAGCAGCAAGGCTGATATAGAGGAAAGACCCTTGACACACGGGGTTTCAAATCTAGTCTCTGTCACTTACCACTTGTGTAACCTTAGGCAGGCTACTTAACGCCTCCAAGTCTTTGGTTACTTATCCATAAAATGGATCAGAATGTCTATTTTATTTGATGGAGGACTATAAAACAGCTCAGTGCTTGAAATAACTGTATGTATTCAACAAGTATTGGCTCGTTTGTTCTTTTGCAAGCCTCCAAGAATTATGTAGAGGTGTAGACTTTAACATTGCACCCTGCATCTGAATTGCCATGGGTGCCACAGAAACTGACATCCTCCTCTGTCTGACACTTGGCTTTCTTTCAAGTCTGTTCAAGTCAAGCAAAGAAGATTTACATTAGGCTATATTTTCATTAAAATATCACTCCAGATACTACCACCTTTGAAAACCCCAAACAAGTAAAAATGGCTCTTCTTTTTAATATAAAATTAATTTCAGTTGAGTATTATGGGTTTTGCCACTTTCAACATAAATAGAAAATCTGAATTTCTTTGGTTGAAATTCTAATAAGGTCTACCTTGTTGGGTCCTTTTTAATTTTTCCTACTTTTTCCTTTTCAATATTATCTATCAATATTAATATAAGCCCAACTTTTTTCTTTCTAGAAAATTAGAGTGAATATCAAGATACTCATAAAGCACATTAGGAAGCATTTCTGTTGGATTTATTACTATACTCTTAGAACCTTAAAGTCAAGAAAAGACTTACACACAGGGAGAACACATATCCCAGTTTCCCCAGGACATCTGCCCAGCTTATCCTTGTGTTCATCTATTGTCCTGAGTAAATTGTTAATAGTACCTTTCACTCGCAAAAGTGATTAGCTTAAATGATAAATTGTATGGTCATGGACATATCATGTAGTCAGATTGTTCAGACACCTGGTGCATTTTAAAAGTATATACTCATGGCCAAATTCAGTGGCTCACACCTGTATTCCCAATACTGTGGAAGGCCGAGACGAGAGGATTACTTAAGCCCAGTAGTTCAAGAGAAGCCTGGGCAACATAAGGAGGCCTCATCTCTACAAAAAAAAAATTTTTTTAATTAGTCGAGTGCGGTGGCACACGTCTGTGGTCCCAGCTACTTGGGAGGCTATTGTGGGAGGACTGCTTTAGCCTAAGGGGTCAAAGCTGCAGTGAGCTGTGATTGCACCACTGCACTCCAGCCTGGGCAACAGAGCAAGACCCTGTCTTTAAAAAATAAAGGCCAGGCCTGGTGGCTCATGCCTGTAATCCCAGCACTTTGAGAGGCCAAGACAGGTGGATCATGAGGTCAGGAGATCGAGACCATCCTGGTTAACACGGTGAAACCCCGTCTCTACTAAAAATACAAAAAATTAGCCAGGTGTGGTGGTGGGCGCCTGTAGTCCCAGCTACTCGGGAGGCTGAGGCAGCAGAACCACGTGAACCCGGGAGGCTAAGCTTGCAGTGAGCTGAGATCGCGCCACTGCACTCCAGCCTGGGCGACAGAGCGAGACTTCATCTCAAAAAAGACAATAATAATAAATAAAATAAAATAAAAATCTTTACTCTTTAGCCCTATCATGTACATCAAAATCAGTATGGGACTCAAATTTATCTTATGAAGGTTCCCAAACAGTTCAAGTAATCCGCCAGTTTTTAAAATGCCCTTGTCTAATTTGCCCCCTTGTCTACTCTTTTCTAGCATGGGAGGAACTTCCCCCAGAGAAGGCTGAGAGATACCAGAGTGTGTTGGTTTTTCCTCAATTAGAGATTTTTTAGAAAAAGACTGATATCATTTCCTAAGAATGCAGATGAGGTGTCCTGCCAGCTTCTTCAGGTGGATTTCCCAGGATGATTTCAGCATTCTAATAATGAGAAAAGGTAATATTTATGGAGAATTTACTGTATGTTGGGTGCTATACTCAGTAATTGATTTGTATTGTTTTATGTAATTCACTTAAAAACTCTTTAAAGTCTCACCAAAGGAGATATATGGATGGGAAATAAGTACATCAAAAAAAAGTGCTCACCATCATATATCATTAGGGAATTGCAAATTCAAACAATGAGATACCACTACACACCTATTAGAATAATTAAAATCTAAAGCACTGACACACCAAATGCTGGTCAGGATGCAGAAAGGCAGAGTCTCTCATTCATTGCTAGTGGAAAATGCAAAATGTTATAGCCACATTGGGTAACAGTTTGGCAGTTTCTTACAAAGCTAAACATATTCATCCCCTACAATCAAGCAATTGCACTCCTTGGAATTTAACCAAATGAATGAAAAACACAAAAACCTGCAGCATTATTCTTAATCGCCAAAAGTTGGAAGCAATCAAGATGTTTTTCAGTTAGTGAATGGATAAATACACTGTGGTAGATTCAAGAAATGGAATATTATTCAGCAATAAAAAGAAATGAGCTATCAAGCCATAAAAAGGCATGAAGGAATCTCAAACGCATATTGCTAAATGAAAGAAAGCAATCTGAAAAGACTACATACTGTATGATTCCAACCATATGACATCCTGTAAGAGACAAAACTATGGAGATAGCAAAAAGATTAGTGGTTTCCAGGGGCTGGGGTCGGGAGAGGGATGAATAGGCAGAGCACAGAGGATTTTGAAGGCAGTGAAACTATTCTGCATGATACTGTAATGGCAAGTACATGTCATCACACAATTTGTCAAAACCCAGAGGATGTACAATCCAAAGAGCGAACCCTAATGTAAATTATGGACATTAATAAAATGTGTCAATATTGGCTTATTAATTGTAACAAATGTACCATAGTAAAGCAAATGTTCCTAGTACCAGGAAACCTAAAATGGCTCAAAAAATAAAGTCTATTAATTTCAAAAAAATCCTATGAGATAAAGACTATTGTCATACCCATTTTATCGATAAGAAAACTGAGGTATAGAAAAAATGTCACTTGCTCAAGATCACATTATCAGCAAATCGAAATTTGAATCCAGGCAGCCTAACCCCAGAGCCCATGATTTTTACCTCTACACCTCAATTTTCTAACATGTGTATCTATTGAAAGCCTATACAAAACCTAAATCCTTTTTTTTTTAACTACTACAGAAGTGTCTGTTAAAATGAATCAATTTCTCCCCAGTGCGTAATTTACTGCCTCCTCATAATAAGTGCCCTCGGGATCACCAAGAAAATAACCAAACGTTAACTCCTTCAACACTCTGGGGCGCCTTTGTGACTGCGATAGTAATTCACTTCATTAATCTAGCTGTATCTCTAGCAGTCTCCGTAACTTTAATGAAGAATTGTTTCCCTAGTGCCAATGTCATCCAAGATATTTTTTTAAAAGAACCACACAGGAAGTCACCTGTTGGAGTCGGTTACTGTGGAACTTCAGATACCCAGTACATTTGCTTGATTTTTTTTTCCCCCACTAGAAAGTCAACTAGATGCTGGGAGAAATTAGACTCATTAGCTATTACTGTGTCCACCAATGACTGCCGCCTTAGGGTAGGAATCAGAGGAACAGAAGGGGCACTGCAGGTTTCAGAGTCTATGTCATCCAGTCACAGCTGCTGGTACCTGGTAACACTTGTGATATAAACACACCAGCCCTTCAGAGGGATACCTGCTGGGGAAGAAGCAGGGTTCATAAAGTACTCTGAGCAATGACAACCTCACTGAACTTCCTAGGGTGAGGAATCTAAAGGTCAAATCTCCTTTGGATGTGTTGATATGATTGTTTAAAAAGCCAGCCTCACTATTTCACAGACATATCCTATAATGTTAAGGGTCCATATAGAAGGAAACGAAAGTGACAAAATACTAAGATTAGTATCAAAAGGCTGAGTGTCCCCGGAGGCCTTGTCTGAGTCCCAATGTATCTGTCATTCTTTCTCTCAGCAAATGCATACTGAGTGCTTGCTGTGTGCCAAATATTGTCCTGGATGCTGCAGATGGATTGGTAAATAAATGGATGAGGCACACTCCATCAAACTATTACCCCATTAGCTCCATGAACAAACTGTCAGCACATCTCTCAAAACCAAGAATTAGCTTGTTTACATGAGGTTTCTAAATCTTTGTTGACAAATATTTCTACTTCTTATGTAAAACATTATTGAGTCATATGCAGAGATTGGGTAGGAGAAAGAGGTTGACAATGTATAAGTGGTAGGAATGTGTGAGAAATATTCGTAAGGCAAGTTTGAAGAGGGCTCCATAATGGGAAGCCCCATCATAATTCCATGTCCAGAGTTCACCTGCTTAAAATGCTAACAAGCCTTTAGGGAGGGAGAGAGTAATAACAGTCAAGGCCAAGATCCATAAGGCCAGAACCCTGAGGCTGGATACACCAGTCCTGGGAACTTAGCTTCTTGGTATGAAATATACAACTTAGTTCAAATTCATATACGAAATGAAACAACACTTTCACTTACTAATGATCACATGACCATACATATTACAGACTATACTAAAGCTCTCTCAAGCAAATAAACTATTCATTGAGGGTTAAACACATAGAGAAAAACACAATTAAGGAATGTTTTCCTTTTTTTGTTTTGAGACAAGGTCTTGCTCTGTCACCCAGGCTGGAGTGCAGTGGTGCAATCACAGCTCACTGCAGCCTTAAACTCCTGGGCCCAAGCAGTCATCCCACTTCAACCTCATGAATAGCTAGAACCACAGGTACACGCCACCACACCTGGATACTTTATTTTTTGTACACACAGGGTCTCATCATTTGATACCAGCCCAGGCTGGTCTCAATTCCTGGGCTCAAGTGATCTCCCTGCCTCAGCCTCCCAAAGTGCTTTGACTACAAGTGTGAGCCACTGTGCCCTGCCTTAGTTGTTTTTGCTTTGTTTTTTTTACTAAAGACATTGCCATTGCTCCTAGACAGATAAGATAAATTGGATATAAATAGCTTCATTTGGGGGCCACTTTTTCCTGCCATAATCACCTCACTTAACATTTTGCATATGTATGATTAGAAATGCTAAAATAAAATGTCAAGTATATTTTGGAAATTAGAATATAAAATAGGCAGCTGGTGACATTATGGTCTTAATGTGGCAGAATGACCTTTCCTTTTCCTATCAATGCCTTCTAGCTTTGCCTCCTCACTCCTTCTTGAGTGGGGTAGAGATGACTTAGGTGAAAAAGGAAATTAGATGGAAATGCCTTTAGTATAATGATTGTATCAGTCAGGATAGACAAAAGTATGCTGTGGTGATAAATGCCCCCAAGAGCTTGGTAGCTCACAGTTACAGTGAATAAAACAGCTGATTGAAAATAGAAAATTTCTGCATTTTCCCCACTTTAAAGCCATACATTTCCAATAATTTCACATACATCAAACTGTAAATTTGTGTAAAATTTGTGTTTTATCAGGATATGAGCTCAGTATCTACAATTTTTAAAACTGGAATAAATTATTTAAAATGACCTATAGTTGACAAAGGTTATAACAAAATGATATCTAATGCCAAGTTCTATGGCAGGAAAAGTGGTACAAATTGAAAATGCATTGATTTCTTATTAAATTTTACATAGGAAGCATTTATGTAGCCCTTTAATGTCCGTTTCTTGTCTAAGATGATACGTTTTCATAAATGGGAATAGCTCTTTCATCAGGTTTACATCGTGTTCATACTTGGGGTTCATATTTTTCTCTATACAAATCTATGAAAGTACAAGTTTTTGTTCAAACTCATTTGAACCATGTCATTTGAAAATCTCATTAGAAGACGTGTAAGAGGTCACGGCAACACTCTGTACTGTATTTCTTGATTTGAAACCATCAAAGAGCCCTTTCCAGTATATATATTAAAATGCCCAATTATTCTAGAAAAATACACTTCTCTTCCTTATATTATTCATCATTTCTCATTTTCCAGCTTCCCCAAAGAACTCCACTGAATAAGCTCAAATTAAAAAATCAAGATAAAAGACTCAGCTTTTGGTTTCATGCAAACACATACACATTTCTTCTTTGAGTGCTTCTCAGCGCACCCTGGTGTGCAGTAACAAATAGCTAATAGTCATGAGAACATAGATAGGACTGTTCTGGTTGCTGCACAAATCCACTTTACGAAGTTGTCCACGGCTTTGAAAAGTATTTGAAACTTTTTTCATGCTATGTAAACCAATGACAAAATATGATCAAAGTTGCCTTTGGCACAATCAGAATATTTTACAAATATTTATTTGCTTTCTCTTCGTAAGTTAAGGAGATGTAGGCATTCAGATCATTGCAACTGAAAATTCTTTATTGAGCCAAATGTTTTCTACCAGCCTACAAAATATATTCATGTCATACTTCAAAACAGGTGGAAGTTTTCTGCATGTAAAATATAAGTTTGAGATAAAAGCCAAATTCCCTGCAATCACCAAAATTTTACATACTTCTCTAAACACAACCTGGTTGACTTCTTCCATTGTTTCACTTTGTACTCTATTTGCCACTGACCCACTTTGTAATTCTCAAAATCAGCAGTTAGGAGGATGAACAGTGGAGGAGTGTCCTCACTAAAGAGACCAATCCAAACTAATTGTAAAGGCTAACAGAAATGATATGAAGTGCCTACAGCAGAGGCAAAGGATAGGTCTGCTGTGGAGAAATAAGTCCAAGATCACTGAGTATTAAATGCAAAACGGATAACAATGTGGTGGGAGTGGAGAAAGCAAAATTCGTAACAAAGTGGAGAGAGCCATTCTTCCATCTTCTTTGAAGGCTTTTTAAGCAAAAACAGAGACAGAATCCTACCTCAATGTCACACTTCCAATGACCACGCCCACAGTGCTAATGGGAGTGTAAATTAGTACAATATTTGTGGAAAATTACTGTTACCAACCTTAGAAATGTTCAAAAACTTTTGTGAGGCACAGTGGCTCACGCCTGTAATCCCAGCTCTTAGGGAGGCAGAGGCAGGAGAATAGCTTGAGCCCAGGAGTTTAAGACCTGCCTGGGCAATATAGCAAGACCCTGTTCTCCACAAAAAGAAAAAAAAAAATGACAAAAAAGAGAAATTTTTTTTTATCCCTGTTGGATCAATTCTAAAAAGTCTATCCAATTCTAGAAAATCTATCTTAAGGAAACACTTCCAAATAAGGGAAACAGCCTTATGCACAAAGATGTTGTTTAGGAATTGATGATTTACCACAAACAAATGGTAAGAATAACACATGAATAGACCCATTAAATAAATTATTTCCCAAAGGAATATAGCCATTTAAAGTGAAACACTCTTGCCACAGGTAAATAAAAATGTTTATGATGAGTGAAAATGCAGCATGATCAAAATATATCCAAAAACTAATAAGCTAAAACTATGCCTAAGCAAAAAGTGAAATGTGTGCACGTTGGTTTTCCTTTCAGTGGTGGAGTAACATTTCTCCTTTTCTGTATTTGTCTTTAAAGAACATATATTACTTTTGCAATGAAGAATAATCTGACAAATGTTATTGTTACATAAATAAACCTGAAAACCCTCTATAAAAAGTTAAATGAGGACAAAACCCAAAGGAGGAAGTAGAGCGACAAAGTGATTATTTTCTCTCTCCCACCAGCTAAATATAGTACTGAAATGTTGATCCGGTCATTGGGTTTTCCTACTTCTAATGAGGGGCCTGGCACAACTCTCTATGTAAGGATCTTTATTATTCAGTGCAGGCTAGCATTCAAAGCTCACTTGGCAGAGTGGATTAAACAAGGAGGCTGCACACATTCCTCAGTTTATCAGCAATTCCACAGTGACATGCATTTTCTCTTTTTCCTCTACTCATGAATGCTAAAACCATCAGCTGTGCAAGTCTCCCTATTACCTGTGTGCTGAGGGCTAAGAGGCCATCTTTATAACCCTCTCCTGATGGTGGGCAGGCAGCTCGGCTTCACAGCACTTTACTGTTTACTAGTAAGGCTGGTGGGTCAGCCAAGAGCCAAGAGTTACATGAGCAATTTCTTTGAATAATGATTAAGAAGGGGTGTGTGGATATGAATAGATGAAAGAAAAACTAAATTTTATCTCTTTCTAGTGAAAGAAGGCCAGCTTAGCCACAATTTAAACATCAAAGTCAGTGACTATTTTTAAAAGCTGAAAATTCCAAGCAGTGATGGGATTCACTTGGTTTTTTTTTTTTTTTTTAAAACAGAAAAGCTTAACTTTGGCAAATGGAAGCTATATCCCTCTTTATTTATTCTACCCATCCTCCTTTCCCTGTTCCTTTTGAAAAGCCCTATGGGGCCATATTATGCTGTCAAAATATAGCCTCTATCAGACCATTATCAGGCCATAATTAGTTTCCTTTGGTTTGGGGTCATTTCATTTGTTCAAAAACACTAATTTTAAAACCAGGGCAGAGATATCTGGTTGACTCTTTGTTTGTTGTTTGCTCTTGTACAGCTGACCTAGAAAGCCCTTATCTGTGTTATTAAAAGGCATTATTCTGTAATTCAGCCACTAGAATGCCAGAAGTTACAGTGCTTACTTGTCATTTGGGGTATGACCTCTCTGAGCAAGCAGACAGTTGATACAAAGGAAAAACAAATGAATATTTCCTGTAAAGGAATATTTTATACCTCTTCACTCAGAGCCTGACAACGTGGGTGCTCAAAAAATATTTGATGAGCCCATGAAAGGTGTCTCGTATTGTCTTAAGATCATTTTGTAGACAAGAACCATATCTTATAAATTCCTTTGTCTCTTCCAGCACACAGCACAGCTATGGCTTCAGAATAGGTAGTTAATCGATATTTTTAGGTAAATAAACAAAAAATTATTTTTAAAGTAAACATATAAATCCTGCTAAACAAGTTTTATGCAAGCTACCCAAGAATACATTTGTCTCTTTGTCTCTACTTTCTGATATCCAACTGATTTTCATACACTGATATCCAATCCTTCTCTGTCTTTTAAATTTCATCATACACTATGACCCCCCATTTATACCAGCTTGAATGGAATTTTATCTTGAGTGTGAATCATTAAAAATTATAACTCATAATGAGTCCCTCTCATACCCCTCTTTGTGAGACCTCACGTACTATAATAAACACACCCTGCCACCCCTGTAAAGAAATGCATTAGCCCCAAGGCAATATCAAACCACCACATACACAGCTAAAGGAATCAATAGTCACCTTACAATTGGATTTGACCAGAAGCAAAGCAACTATTTTTTCAAATCTAATTTTTTTAGAAAAGGTAGTGATAAAATAAAGCTGATTATACAGACATTTAAAGTCCATCTGAAACCTCCCAAAACAATTTTGTCTGTAAGACAGTAGTGGCACAATAAATATGGTACCATATAAATATATAGCATAATGCATTCAAGTAACTTATATAGTCATTTAGAGCCATGGATAATTTCTCAGGGCTCTGTAAGAAAACTGACATACTACATAACTTAATTATCAATGCTGTACCCAAGACTCAAGGCAAATACTACCCATCAATAAGAGGCAGAATTGGGAATTAGGTTTGTCTAGGGAAACCTAGTGGTTCATTGGAAGTTCCGTCTGGCAGACCTTATTTAAAAAAAGAAAGGAGGAAGATATTAAAAACAATCTAGTTGGACTGGAAACTTGAATAAAACATCTTGGAAAAATAAGTATGTCCAGGATATCAGCATTTCTATTAGATTCGGGGAACAAAATTTTGGTGGTTTCAGATTACTTCAGGAGATTCAGCTTGTGTGAAAACTACACTCAGTCTTGTCTTTAAGGTGCCATTTGGCTTAATCAGACCAAAGCTTTTCTCCTCAGCTTCATTCTGTTGCCCAACTACAGCTTCTGCTCATGCTCTGCTTCCCTGAGAAAACCTAAGTCCTCGAGATGTCTCCAAACAAGCTACCAGTCCTCCTCTTTCCTGTCAGACCTCCTCTCCTAATTCCCTCTCCCTCGTTCCCTCCTTTCTGCCATCGCAGCCTCCTTGCTGTTCTTAGCGTAAACTAGGCCCCATCCCACCCCTGGGCCCTTGCAGTTGCTGTTCCCTCTGACCAGAATAGTACCAGTCTTCATGCTGCTCCTACATGGCTTCCTCCCTCACCTCCTGCTCAAACAGCATCTTCCCATTACACACCCTCTGATGCCCCTATCTAATACTGAAGCTTCAAACTCACTCTCTCTTTCTCTTATCAAGATATAAGCTCCATTAAGGCAATAATTTGTTGGTTTTGTTCACTACTGTCTTCCAAGAGCCTAGAAGACTGCTTGGAACATAGGCTTTCACTAAGTATTTATTGAATAAATAAAGGACTAGATGCTAGTTTGAGGTTAATTGATTTGCTTTAAATCTCAACTGATAACACATTAAGTTTGTTTTCACATGGTTTTAGATACCAATGCCAAAATAAAATGTAGATCAAACCTTATCTCTCCAACCATAACAGTGATCATCAATGTTTCATTGAACAATGTCGTTTTAAAACCTATGCCCATTTTATGCATTTGTTGAGGTTACCGTGCTGGGGGAAGGGAATGGAAGGAGGTGTAGATGAAATAAGAATGGCAGATGTTGACAGCTGTTGACTTTGGGTGGTAGGGGCACAGATGTCCATTATGCTACACTGTCTGCATGTATACATTTGAAATGTTCCATAATGCAAAGATCTTTTAAAAACTTATATTGAAGTCCCTTTCCAAATCGAACTGGGAATAAGGAAAAAGGAGATTTACAATTTTCATGCTAGCCTGTAGGCTATTTGTTATATAATGTCTTTCTTTATGTCCACATTTTTAAAACTCTGCACTTTCTTCAAAAAATTTGCTCAAAAACACAGCCTCTAGGAGTCAGAATTCCCCTAGATAGATGTTAGTGGCTTTCCAGCCTTGAACAAGGTCTTAAAACCATCAAAGTATGAGGCCAACCACAGAACACCCTGTTTGGAAAGAAGGTTTGTAGATCATAGCCTTGGGAGGCAGTTAAGGGATGCCACTCCCAACTGGGGTGAAAGCAGGTAAAGGCATGTTGTGTACACCTGCACAACCTCCTCCTGCTGCCTGGAAGGGGAAAATAGCCCTGATTACAGACCCAGCTGTGGCAAGCCAGTCCTCCTCCTCCTGACTCATCTCTCAAAAATATAGCCAATCTACAGCTCCAGGAATAGCTAAAAATCTTTTACAGATAATGACAGATTTTTGCATTAAAAAAACTTTTTGGAACTCTAAAATAGTCCTGAAACAAATGGAACTCAGTGCTGGGTTTTTGATATTCCTTTTAAGATGTCTACAATCTTTAAAATTCAAAAGACACATGATTTTACACAAGAAATTTTGTCTGTCTTGCAACATGGTGATCATTCAACCTTGTTGATGTGCTTTTTAATTTATTCAGAATATGAAGTGTGTTTTCGGGCTGGGAGAAGTTCTAGCCTCATAGTTGCAGAAACACATATCCTCTGAAACAGTCTGGAAGTATATATTCCAGTTCTCATCTGCTTAAATATAATCAAGTGAATTTGACATAGCTTAATGATTCTACTGTGACCCCAATCCATTCACCAGCCACAATTTACCAATTCATTAAGGCTCTAACTTGAGTAAAAACAGAAACATCTTAAGCCTCAAGTCCTTGATTCCTTAGCCAGATATTACATAGCATATGAGTGATATGAAATTTTCAAAAATAAACTATTTGAACTGGAGGTTTTAAAGACTGGTAACTAGCAACAGCTCAATGAGGTTGGCTATATCTGCTGCCCACCTTACATATTTGTCATAAACAATTGCAGAAAAATAATTTTCCAATGCAGTAAGATATTAATTCAACAAAATAATATATTAACTCAATAAAAAGCTTTTTGTCACCATCTCACACCCATTAGGATGACTACTACACTCACAAAAAAAATTAATAATAATAACAAGTGTTGGCAAGGTTGTGGAGAAATTGGAACCCTTGTGCACTATTGGTGGAAATGTAAATGGTGAAGCCACTATGAAAAACAGTATGATCGTTCCACAAAAAATTAAAAATAGAATTACTATGTGATCTGGCAATTCCACTTCTGTGTGTATACCAAAAACAATTGAAAGTAAGGTCTCAAAAAGATATTCGTATACCCATATTCAGAGCAGCGTTATACACAATAGCCAAAAAGTGGAAGCAACCCAAGTGTCCAATGACAGATGAAGAGAAAAACAAATCAGCCTTAAAAAGTAAGGAAATTCTAGACATTTCTTAAAAGAAGATATACAAACATCCAAAAAAAAATGAAAAAATGCTCAATATCACTAATCATCAGGGAAATGCAAATTAAAGCCACAATGCAATACCACCTTACTGCTGCAAGAATGACCATAATCAAAAAATCAAAAAAGTAATAGATGTTGGCATGGATGTGGTGAAAAGAGAACAACACTTTTACACTGCAGTGGGAATGTAAATTAGTACAACCACTATGGAAAACAGTATGGAGAGTCCTTGAAGAACTAAAAGTAGAACTGTGATTCAATCCACCAATCCCACTACGGGGTATGTACCTAAAGGAAAAAAAGTCATTATATGAAAAAGACACATTCACACATGTTTATAGCAGCACAATTCACAATGCAAAGAAATGGAATCAACCTAAGAACCCATCAATCAATGAGTGGATAAAGAAAATGTGGTATATGTACAACACCATTGAATACTAGTCAGCCATAAAAAGGAATGAAATAATGTCTTTGACAGCAACTTGGATGGAGCTGGAGGCCATTATTCTAAGTGAAATAACTCAGGAATTGAAAACCAAGCATCGTATGTTCTCACTTATAAGTGGGAGCTAAGCTATGAAGACACAAAGGCATAAGAATGATATAATGGGCTTTGGGGACTTGCAGGGAAGTGTTGGAAGGGGGTAAGCAATAAAAGAATGCATATTGGGTACAGTTTATATTGCTCGGGTGATGGGTGCCCCAAAAATCTCAGAAATCACCACTAAAACACTTATCCATATACCCAAAAGCCACCTGTACCCAAGAACTATTGAAAGAAAATAATAATAATAATCACATTAAAAAGGAAGGAAATTCTGACACATGGCACAACATGGATGAATCTTGAGGACATTAAGTGAAGTAAGCCAGTCACGAAAAGACAAATACTGTATGATTCCACTTAGACAAGAAGCTTAGAGTAGTCAAAATCACAGAGACAGAAAAATAGAATCATGGTTGTTAGGGGCTGAAGAGAGAGGAGAATAGGGAGTTGTTATTTAACGGGTGCAGGGTTTTCATTTTGCAAGATGAATGGAGTTTTGGAAAACTGTTGCATAATAATGTAAATTACTCAACACTATTGATCTATTCACTTAAAATGGCTAATTTGGTATATATTTATGTTATGTGTAGTTTAACACAATTTTTAAGAAGTCAAGGAGGAAAAGAAAAAAAGGCTTTTGTCTATCTGTTGGATCAAAACCTTTAACTCCTATTCTCTAGTCTTTTGAAACCATTCCTGACAATAGATGCCCAGGTAGGCATACTTCTAATGCAGCACTAGATGATCTGCTCCAGGGATGCAGTGTAAACCAGTTGGGAGCACCTGTGTCTGGCTGCAGACAGCAGAGACGAATCTGTGGGTGGTGCCATTGACGAGGTGCCACTTTGAGGGAGAGAGAGATTGAATTTGGCTGTGTCCAATACCACAAAAGGCACTTGATTTTAAAAGTCCAAATCAGGGCTTTCAACTAACTTGACAAGTGACACATATTGTAGCAAGGTCTATCTTATCAGATGTACCATTCAGGGCAGAAAAATGTAATGGTATAGACACAACTTTGGGTTAAAACAAATGCGTCAAGAATGGTACTCAGACCACAGCTTCCTGCTGCCCACTCATCCTTGAGGCTCCTAACCCACCCACAGATGTACTGAACAACAACTAAAACCAACTATGGGATACAACCATAGAAGTCTGGAGCCAAAAGAGCTTTCTGAGATATCTGTCTCAAGAATAAAAAAGAAATTTTAACTTACGTGGCCACCCCAATCATTTGGTAATATCTGCCTTAAATGTGATGCTGGAGAAAGATTCTAAATCTACATCTGGACACAGTGGGAAATCATGCCTTGATGGGTTGGTTATGTCTGTCCAAGATTATTCAGAGACTGAAACGGAGCTGGAAATAAAATTACCAGCTGAGTCGGATCTGTTGAAGAGCAGAATGAATTCCCAAGTATGAAAAAGTAAGTCGGTAAGCTATAAAATAGAATTTGTTTTACATATCCTTGCCAAACTTCAGCCCACAGAATAGGAAATTACCTGGGGCAAAAGGTAATTCCAGCTGTGTTGAAGATATCCAAAACTCACTTCCTTTTTCTGGGGTAGGAGGAAAAAGGAAGTGAGTTTTGGATATCTTCTTCAACACAGCTAGAATTTTCCTAAGTGAGGTGAGCCTCCAGATATGAATGAGCTCATCAGAAAGGAGGCGGTAGAGAATCACAGAGGCATGAGGCCACCACGTCATGCCTCTATGAGGAAAACAAACAAAAAGGCAAATAAGAACAAAACATCCATAACAATATACGCTTTTTAAGAACCAGAAGGGAACTTAGAAACTTCTAGTCTAACTTTTTGTGTGTGACTCTTTTTTTTCATACAAATTGTCTCTTATCTCTGTTCTTATACTTATTAATTGCTGTTGTTTTAGAGTTTGTATCTAATAGCCCTGACATCTGGATCACATATGGATTTGTTTCTGTTTTTCCTTTAGTTTTGAATCACACGGTCCTGTCTTGCAGTATCCCAGTTAGCTCCTAATTATCATATTTGTATATGAAAAATTACAGAGGATATGCTAGCCTACTCCAGAGAGTAATTTTCTTCACAAAGGCAGTTAGACCAAAGACAGATCCAATTAGGAGCTGAGATGCTTTGAGACTGGGTTTCAGCCTTTGAGAGGGCTGGTCTATTTCTGGTTTGCTCTTTTTCCTGGGGTCTAGTCTCTTAAAAGTCTCAACTCAGGTGTTCACCATGGCTGTTCCTCCTTGGTTGGTTCTGAGCTCCAGTTTTCTTTGTGGTATTTTTGGGGGGTTGTTTGTTGGGTTTTGCCTCCCTAGCTTTTCGAGAACGCTGAAAACACTCAGATACCACTTCTTACCCAGCCTGTCATCCCTGCTTACGAATCAGCAGCAAATGTAGAGAGGAAAGTAGCAGAGAATTTCAGGATCACCTCAATGTGTTTCCCCTCTCTGTCTTGACTCTTCAAATGCTGGCTGCCTTGGTTGCTTTCTGATGACTTCAAATAGTTATAATATAAGTATATCTGTGTTCTTGGTGATAACATTCATGTGATAGAGGCTTTTGTTTTCGAGATGGAATCTCACTATCACCCAGGCTGGAGTACAGTGGGACCATCTTGGCTCACTGCAACCTCCACCTCCCGAGTTCAAGTTATTCTCCTGCCTCAGCCTCCCGAGTAGCTGGGACTACAGGCACGTGCCACGACACCCAGCTAATTTTTGTGTTTTTAGTGGAGGCAGGGTTTCACCATGTTGGCCAGGCTGGTCTCAAACTCCTGACCTCAGGTGATCCGCCCACCTCAGCCTCCCAAAGTGCTGGGATTATAGGCGTGAGCCACCGCGCCCAGCCTGATATGGGCTTTCTATGATACCCAGGAGCAGAAGTATATTTTAATTTTAATAGATTAGTTTTTCTACTACTGGATAGTTTCAAAAGTTATAATAAAATTGAAAAATACAGAAAGAAAACATTCACCCATAATTCTATCAACTTGACATACTCAATTTAGTATTTTGGTATTTTCTGAAATTCTTTTCTCCTATGCATTTGTGTTGGCCCTTTTACTTCATCATCATAATAGTGTGACTATAACCTTATATCCTAGCAAGAACTCTAAGGAAAAGTATATAATTGTTAAAGTGTACATTTCATTAGAACTCTTTATTAAACAATATGAGGATTCAAATAGTCAGGTGTAGTCTATGATACCAAAGAGCTTATGATCTAATTAAGGAGACACACATGAAAAACAACACTTTAAAGGTTTTCAACTCAATAACGAGGCAGAGTCTATTATCTAACTGTCCAATTTAGCAATAAATTATGAAATTACTTTCAACTTCTTCATAGACAAATGGCCAAAGAGAACTTTAAACCTAAATTTACATCACAGATAAAAGAAAAATTTAAAAAAACATGGATTTTCTAGGGTGCTTGCTTAAGCTTCTTTTGCTTAAAAAAAAATCTATAAAAATTATTTTCCTGTGCCTTTCATTTATTGCTTTTTCCCAATAGCAAATACCCTACATGTGTTTGTGAGCCAGTAAGCTTTTAGCTGACCCATATATCTAGTTAATTTAAGATCAAGCCACCAAGGTACTAAGCTGACCACAACCCTGACCCCTGAGAAGCTGTTATCCCGTGAAGTCCATGTTCTAAGGATAGAATTTCACAGTAGGGATTTTCTACATCTATGTTGTAGAGAAAATTATTTGTGGTATAATAGATTTTTTTTGCTAGGCCAACTGAGTCAGCACTTTGTAGTGTTAACATTTAATCCCTCTTCCCTCTTAGGTTTTTGATTCACACTCGTCCTGGAATCAAGGCAGGCCAGCATGATGCCTTGGAAGTCATTCTTTGGGCCAGAGAGGACCAGGGAAGGCTCATGACATTTCTAATTCTTTTGCTGCCAGATCTGATGAGCAGCTGCTTTCAGAGAGGTCTCCACCTCCAGGGTGCTTAAACTGCTTAGCCAACAAATCTGTGAAGTCATGCATACTGTAAACTGGCTAGTGTGCATGAATCTAAAGATTTCTCAAAAATGGAGTGTAATGTCCTGCACATGTATCCTAGAACTTAAAATAAAATAAAAAATGGAGTGTAAAATTATGAAAATATTTGAAGCCAATTCATCCTTCTGAATAAAGTGACAGCTACTCCTATTTGTATATCCAAACTAAATGTCTTTATAAAGTCTGGTGTGTTATGAAGTTTATGTTTCAAAGAAAATGATTCATAATACCTTGAGTTTTATAATATCTATTATGTCAACATAAACAAATTAACAAGCCCATCAATGCAAGTAAATGATTTAACATGAATGAAGCTAAGAGGTATTTAATGTAAGTCACAGAGGACTTTGCAAGGGATGTAACACTTTTTTATTCTTATTTTGTATAATTTCTGGATTTCTTCAAAATGTATGTAAACTAGCCCTTTGACACTTACATATTCCCAGACATTCAAAAATTCCCAGCTTTTGAGAATCTTTTTGATACCTCCTGGCTCTCTTCCAAATTATGTTTTCATCATAAGCCAACTTTCCTGGACAGATCTTCACATCACTAAAGTTTTACCCTCTCACTCAATGGCTATTTTCATACACACATACACACACACACACACACACACACACACACACACAGACACACACCCCTAATGTGATATAAAAATTAGCAGAGCACAACAAAACTTTAAAACTATATTGATGTAAAGGTGATGGACAGCTGTCTAGGCTCACCAGGAAGCAAATGTTCAGCTGCCACCTACTACCCTGTCTCCAACCTCAATTCACACCGTTCCAAAATTGCGATAACGTATATATCATGGACACCGAGATCCAAGAGAAATCACTACAAACTGCAAATGCCAAAGCCTTGAAGGATAAACATCAATTGTTATTGACTATCTGATGCTGATACAAAGCTCACAGTGCAGTATATAAATATTCTTAGGAAGGCTTTAAAAAGGCAGCAAAGGGACTCTGATGGCTTGAAATAGATTCACCATTCAGAAAAGGAGAACACTGTGGAATTATCAAAAGGTTCACTCTAGAAAATGGCTAGTACAAGTACAGAGATCAAATAAACAAGCCTTAGAGATTCTCAATCAAACCTACTCTTCCCTGTTCTGGTTGTGTCTTTGAGGGATCATTGAAGGTGGGTGTCCCACTTAATACTAGTATCATTCTAACATATTAGAACAAGCATCCCCTTTATTCTACCCACATTTATGGCAGACTTATTTCCATAAGCATTTCTGTAAATAATTATATCTTAAGTTCTTCTAAGAACTTTCTGCTGCTATAGCACCCAAAGAAAAATATTTCAATTTTTTTAAAGGTCATAAAAGGAACCCAAATAGAAAAGCACAGAAATGTAACAAGGATCATTTATTATACCAATAAATAAGCTTCCGTTTCCACAGTTGAAGTCACAGTCAAAGCCAGAAAAAAAGCTTGAGCAGTAACCAAGGAAAATGGTTTTCATTTTTTAGTGATTCTTCCTATTCCTCTAAGATTTTCAAAGAATCAGTAGAGTAATTCAAATAAACCACAGAAAGAAATGGGTGGCAAATGACAGTGATGGGATTACAGCATGGTAGTTGCTAGAACCTAGAATGTAATGAAATGAAATTTCAGTTCCATAGATTGTAACAATATAGGAACTGCTAACAGGTAGCATTAGACAGGCTTTTCTCACTAGCTCAAAGACTCAGCCAAATGCCTGAATCTGACAAATTCATTTCCCATCTAGAATTTTTTTAATCTTTAAAAATCTAAAGACATGTAAAGGGAAGAAGTCTTCTAGTGTAGATTGACAAAAACCGTGCATTTGAAATGCAAGGGAAGAAAAGCTTTCCTTTACCCAGTGTTTGCAGGACTAGAATACTTTGAGGAAGTATCCAGGTGTACCCAAGCTTTAAGAGTGCAAAAGCCTTTTGCATTCACCCTGCTGTTCTTTGCATTTAACATCTGTCAAGTATCAAGGAATGAGGACAAAATAAAAAGGAGATAAAGAAACACATCCCAGCAATTTGTTTAGGCTTTACTTCTGTCCAGCGTTGATTAGAAAATGCATGGTACCACTGTCTTTCTCTGAGTGGCTGACAATTGAGTAAATAAAATGGGGAAGAGAATCTGAACATGTGCTCAAGGAGGAGGATTTTTTAGACCTGGGAACTTTTGTGTGATGATTGGTTAATTCTTGTAAAACAAGGAGTTTAATAACGAATTCCTGATGTTTATGTCACACGATGTAGCATCCCAGGAAGCCTGTCATGGAGCAAGTCAGTTCAGCTCTCTGGGCCTCAGCTTCGTATATACATAATGAAGACAGACAGATCATAAACCCCATCTTCAGTCTTAGCTCAAAAAGCCCTTCAACCTGTAAACAGGAAAGACTCTTTTATATGTGTACACAGGGCTAGGTATTACCACTGTCATTCCTTCTAAGTCAAAACCATCCCTTGGATTCACGTCCCCAGCAGCCTAACAAAAGCAACATATGTAATTCATTTATGATTCTCATGAGTGAAGTATACTAGGTGGGAAATTATACACTAGGATTACATGGGCAATTAACCAGCTTTGTCAATTGAAGTAATGACAGCTGTTAATCATATCTTTTAATTCTTCTCTATTTTTAATGTTATTATAACCCTTATAACAATTTTTCTGATCGCTTTACTTTCTCCTAGTCTTTTTTTTTTTTTCCTTCAGAAAATCCTAACTGAACTCTTTGTGACCTTCTCTTATGCTTGATAATTTTCCCCCTGGTAACTCTTGCTTCATTTCATTTCAGCCTTCTAGTTTCCTGATTCTTCTAGCTCCCTCTGCTGATTGTAGCCAATTTGCTTTCAGGGTCTAGACAGCTATCAAATAAAAGTACTAACTCACACTCCTGCTCTGTAACCTTCACTGACAGGAGAAAAGAATGCGTTATTTGGTTGAATTTGGAGGCACCTTTCAGACTGTATAGTTCAGCCTTTTAGGAATAAGGAAACTAAGTTTCCTCAAATATGCCACTGAAAATAACTGAACCATATGATTTTTAACATCCTTCAGTAGTTAACCACTGCCACACAACATCTGGGGGACTCTAATGAGTTCTCACACTGATTTTAAGTCCATATCTCCAAACAAACAACATTTTTATTATCATCACTACCCCCTAAAAATTCTGGACAAGAGAATTTGGTTCAACAGCTGCTCTACTCATCAGGGTTTTTGGTGGAAAACAACAGACTCTCCTCTGGCTAATTTAAGCAGTAAGGAGATTTATTAGGGGATATTAGGTAACTTACAGAAATCACAGGGAGACTAGAAGTTCTGTTTCCAGGAAAATGCCCCCAAATGATGCCACAGAACTAGAGTAATAAAGACTCTGTTGCTAGTAATGCTGCTATCTTCATGAATTAAATTCCAGGACTTGACTTCACTGTACCTGCCACTACCTCCAGTACAAATGCTTCTCTTCTTACTACCTCTACTGCACCTGCAAGTCAGCTGCCTCCATAGCAATGTGTTGGGGCTCAGAAACCAATACCCCCAAAATATGGTGCTCTGACATGCTGAGCTGAGGAAGAAGCCTCAGGCTCTCTCTGACCTCCCCCTGCCTCACTCCTGTCTCTCAGTCCTGTCTCCCCCACAGTACAGGATAAAGTTGTTCTCTGAAGTGCCCTTATCTGCCTAAAGTCCGGACCCACCAAAGAAGAAACAATTATCTCTGGTCCCATCCTAGAGTGTTCACTAACTGAATTCATATCACAGGAAGAAAGCCTGAAGCCTGTCCACACACCTGGACACATGTTTGTCACAAATAACCAACTGTTCTGCGGGCCCAAGAGACTTTGTCCTAGGCCACTGTATGTGTTTCAAGCCCATTGAATTCCCTCCAAAAATCACCTACTATACCCCTAAAATCATCCATACTTCTCCATCTCCCTTTCCTTTAAGAAAAAAGGGTATACCCCTTTTCTACCCCATTGTGTGGTGGGGTAATCACTGTTATTTTCCCTGCGCATGTTAATAAATTTGTATGCCTTTTCCCCTATTAATCTGCCTTTTTTTGTGTTATTTTCAGTGAATCTTTAGAGAGCAAAGGGAAGTTTTCCCTTGGCCCTTACATAGGCAAACCAGAGAAGTCAGCATAAACCTGTTTCCTCATGCCCTTTCAAACCAAAGCATCACATAAGCATGCCTTATTGGAAGCCCAGCGTGCCACGCTTATGTCCTAACCACAAGGGACACTGAGACTCATAATATGGGAATTGCCCCACATATGTGAAGGCTATTCAAAAACGGATGGGCATCCAAAGAGCTCCCAAATGTGGATCTCAGGTGCTAAATGAAAAGCAGAATCTGAACCCCTTCCTGCTCCATTCCCCTGGTCTTGCCCATTTTATTAAGGCACAATTACATTCACAGATGATTCGGGTTCGGCAGTCAACAGAGAGCAAGAAACATTCTTTTTATCCAATACACATCCAGAGCAATACTGGGCACACAATAAGTGTTCAGCCAGACTTATCCAAAAATGGAATGCTTATACAGTGCTAAATATCAAGCATCTGCTATATCCAAGGCTTGTTTGGGATGCTGAAAGATAATACATTGATGAATTAAATATGGTCCAGTCCTCAAGGAATTTACAGCTTGGGAATAGGAAAAATATGTGGGGACTAAATTTAATATATCTTTACAAATACTATGCAATGACAGAAATATGTAAAATGTGCCAGGAAAACATAAGAGGAACAAGAAATTAATCCTCCCTTGAGTTAGAAAGCTGGGGAAGAAGTGTGACAATGTTCAACCCAAGGTGCAAAGAGTTTTATGGAGGAGGAGAAATTGCATTTCAAGCAAGGAGCTAGTGAGAGCTACAGCTTATAAGCACTTGGCCATGCCAAGCATTCTCCTAAACATTTCACATGTAGTAAGTCATTGAACTCTGTCACCAAACCCATGGGGTGGCTACTATTAATATTTGTGTTTCACACAGGATTTGGACATGGGTGTCCTGATTCCAGCATCTGGGCTCCACACTGTGACCCCCAACACTCATGCTGCAATAGCACGGGCACAGGCTCAGAGGTATGAAGAGCATAGTGCATTCAACGAAGAGCAGCAAGTTCAACAGCTTTAAGGATGGTTGCTGTATATAATGGTTTGGAGGTAAAGACAAGCCTGAAACATATAATCATCCTTAACCACTTTAAACATCACTTTTAATCAACAAGTATTTAAGACCAACGTGACTTATATTTGCCAGAACAACAGTGGAGGAGAGGAAGGTGAACTTTGTTTTCTTTTTTCAAATTTGGCAATAGAAAAATTAAACGCTGTGCTAAGAGACAGGAGTCTTTCTCTGTTCCTAAGTGCTCCTCCGATTAACTCTCGGCCTGCCTGAGCACGCCCAGCATGGGACCACCCTATCCCTCTGACAGTTTACACCTGAGGTGTCTTGGGTAGGTGCCTCTGTTCTTCATCCCTTACACCACATCCCTGGGACCACAGTTGCTTCAGATGGAGCACAGCAAATATTCTATTGAAGGCAAGTTCAGAAACCTTGTCACTTGAGGCGCATAAAGTGAAAGCAACCTACTTTTTTGAAAACCTCCTAAACAGAACCATTCCCCACTAGAAAAGAAGGATCAGCTGGTTTACTTATGTGACTCGGCCATCCCTGACGTCTGCGATCCTGTGATATGATTCCAATTTGCCTTCATGGAGGGCCATCTGCTGAATTAATTGTATGCACTCCTTTGTGCTCGCCTCTAATGTTTATTTCATTACAATATTTACAAAGGGACTTGAGAAATAAGTCACTATGCAAATGAAAGTATGAATACAAGATTCAGAGGAATATTAAAATTCATTAACCTTATTTACATTTAAACTATTATTATGTATATTTGAGCATGGTGCACCTGCCAGAATGGATGTGGGGAGCCACATCAGCAATCCATTGAATCATCTATTCACTGTCTTTATTTCCTTGTCAAGTAAAGTAAAAACTTCCTCATCTTGGACACATTTAAAATCACTACCAAGCTGATTTATTCATTAGTAGTTCTTATTTCTAGAGAAGTCTAATACAAATTTCAAGTTGTCCTTTGGCACTTAGAGGATCTACTCTTAAATAATTTTTCCGTCTTTGTGAATTTTGAAGTACAGTGTTTCTCTTATCACCCACTTAGAAATGAACTAGACCAAGCTTATCATTTTGGAGGCTGACAAACAAAGGCTCTACCTGCCTGACCACCTCCCCCACCCCAGAAACCTCAGTTCTATAAGAAAAGAAAAATTAAGAAAGAAAAACAATCAAACTGGTGGCTTTCTATTGTTTTCCAGTCCTTTATTCAGCATGGTCTTGATTCAGCTAACGTACGGGATCAAGTGGCAGGTCAAAACAGTAAGAGCCACCATGATAAGATTTGATGCCTTCTGTCCCTATGAGAACTGAATCTGCCGTAGTCCACTTGGCTTTGGGTTATGCAGCCAAAAAAGAAAAAAAGTGTAATCTATAACTGCTGTCTGACAGGGTAGATGCAATTAAAGGGCAAGCTTTTGTTCAACAAAAGTTGTTCAAAACAACTTAAATGCAAGTTGGCAAGTAGACATTGATGAGAGATCAACACAATAGAAGGATGATTTTCTGAAGATCCAAAGGAGCTCACAAGAAGGGAAGAAGCCCAGTGATGTACGTTGCAAGGTTCAGAAGAACAGACCCAAGGATATCACAGTTGAAAAGAGAGAACAGGGATTTCTAATAGACCACTGGTACCTTGTTTCTTCCGGGTTTGAGATATAAACACCTCCTCACCACTCCTCCACATATCTTCGTTAAGTCTGTATGTCCATAAAGGCTTTCTGGGTGAATGGATTCTTTGGAGGGCTGTAGAGACTTCCACCAAAGTCAACGTGCTGCCACTGAGTCAGCCACAAGGACTTGGAGCAGAGGACTTAGTGAAAAAAACAGACCCAGAGAATGTGTGGAAATCTAGATGCTTTGATCATCAGCAAGCCACGGAAATTGTGGGTTTGAGCAGTGGTTCTTGAGCTGCAACCTCCATCAGAATCACATGGAGGGCTTGTTAAAACAGATCGCTGGGCTCCACCCCCAGAGTTTCTCCTTTAGTAGGTCTGGAGCAGGCTGGCAAATCTGTATTTTTAGCAAATTCCCAGGTGATGCTGATACTGCTAGAATGGGGGAAACGCCTAGAGAATGTTCCTATCCAGCGCTGGAGACCTGGGGAGGCCTCAGCTGACATGACTTGGGGGACTATCACCTAAAAGCCCTGCCAACCAGAAGGCAATGATTCTCTGGTCTTGATGCATGTTTGAATCACCTGGGGAGATTTTACAAACTATAGAGGCCTGGGCCCACGCCTCCAGTTAAATAAGAACTCTTAGAAGTGAGAGACTAGGCCTTGGTATTTGTAAAAGCCTCTCCAGATAGTTGGCTGTATCAGCAGTATCAGGAGGCACAGATATAAAGTAACAATCAAGGACAAATTCCTGGAGAGCAGAAGCTGTGCTTTCTGGCACATAGAATTCAGATGTGAAGAATGGACAACCCCAGGCAGTGGGAAGACAGCAGAATTTTAAGGAATCACACCATAGCTGCCCACTGCAAGGGCACAAGGGCAGCAGGCAGTCAGGAGTGGAGTAGTTCTTTCTGAGAAAAGGCCTGGAGGTCAACATGCTTCAAAATAAGAGTAGGAAGGAGTAAGAGCTTTAGAAATGGCATCTACAAGGTCATCTATAGAGGAAATCGTTTACAAGTCTTTGCATTAGGCCATTTTTACATTGCTATAAAGAAATACCTAAAACCGGGTCATTTGGAAGCTTCCAATCACGACAGAAGATAAAGCGGGAACAGATGTTTCACATGGTGGGGGCAGGAGCAAAAGAGTGAGGCAGGAGGTGCCCCACACTTTTAAGCAACCAGATCTCGCGAGAACCCACTCACTATCACAAGGAGGTACTAAACCATTCATGAGAAATCAGCCCCAATGATCCAATCATCTCCCAACAGGCCCAACCTCCAACATTGGGGATTACATTTCTACATGAGATTTGGACAAAATCCAAGCTATATCAGACCTGTAGGAAAAAAGAAACTTATCAATCTCTTTAAATCTATATGTAGCAGTAATAACAACCATTGTAATGCCACGTGTATAAGTTAGAAAGTGGGAGCTGAAGAGAGATAAACTCAACAGGGAGAAAATATGTTAAAGATCCAACGGAGCTAATGTTTATTGTTTATGTGTGTGCATGTGTGTGTGTATGTCCCAGAAGGGTTGAAGCTAGGGCCTGAGGACATCTCACTTGAGAAATGAGATGCCGCTCCATCTTCTGTCTAGTTACATCTTCTGATGTGCTGGGAGCCCACAGACCCATAAAGGACATGAAGTGCATGGACCCTTGGGAATCCAAAGTCACAGACTTGTGTGCCCGCCTTGCAAAGAGGGCCCAAGTTGGCTAAATTATGTGGATCTCTATGGAGCAGAGCATTTTAGGAAAAAAATAATGGGGGTTGGTAGGGGGGGAATGGTGAGAGGAAATGCCTGGCCACCAAAGACAGAACCCACAAAAGTATCCAAGCATCTGGAGAAAGCAGTGGTTCCAGGAGTCTTTATTTGAATCACTTTGCATGCCCTAGAAATCCTTTTGTAAAGGAAATAGCCATCACATCAAGATTTTCACACTTTATTTTTAGCATAAAAACAGCCATCAACCAAAATCATATTGGGAATTGAATTATAATGCAGACAGAGACAGAGTTGCCCCAGAGAAAAAAGGGGCAAGTCCTGACTCCCACCCCAGACTCCCAAATTGAGGCTCCCCTTATTCCCTAATGCCATCCCTGAGAAGGCTTGTCGATCACTGTTTGAAACCCACAAGAAAACCTCATTAGTATTGTGAATCTGAATTTTTCACTCGGAAAGCTGATTTTGCTCTATACAAGATAAAAACAGAACTGTGGTGTTTTCATTGAACTCTGGCAAATAAGAGGTTAGGCTATTATTTGGTTTTCAAATGAGAGATGCCAGAGGAAGAACTATCAGCATAATTCAGGATAGCTCAAAGAGCAACACCAGGGTTGATATGGAGTGGAGCCTCCTTGTCCGGCAAGCCATTTCAGGCATCTTCATTTTATGCAGAAGTCTGTAGAGGCTGAGTAAATCACTGCTCCCAGGCTTGTCTTCTTGGTGTATTTATTTTCCTAAGGTCAAAGGAAGGTAGACTAGAAGTACGTTTACCCCTGAGCTCCAAAGTCAACCTGGCTGGAACCGAATCTTGTGGCATAAACACTTTTACAGCTGGGTGGTTTCATTATGAGATTTAAAACCTAGTATCACCAACAACAGAAGGTCTCTATAAAATAGGAGGCATAGCAATAAAGAAAGACAAATGAAAACGGGAATATATATAGGTGGCACATCTGGCCCAGATGGGTAAAATCTGAGCCCATCAGATGGCCCATTGGAGTTATCTTGATACCATGAACATCCCTGCTTCCCTTCACTCTGCCCTAGTATTTTCTAAATTGAATCTTTAGTCTACCTTCACGCACTTAATGCTTTTCTCTCCTCCCTACCCCAAACATCCTTTTTGTATAATCAGGGCTCCCAGCATAGAATCTAAATGCTGTGTCCTATCTGGGTATGTCCAACAGTGAAAATATTTCCAGATCCCAGGAAAGCTGGAGCAATTACTCTTACTTTTCTTAGCCATGCTTTCCCAGCTACACTATTCAAAGTTGTGCTTATTCAGGGTTGATAGTTAAAATATTTAATGATGGGACTTGAAGGGACATCCATGTTCCTACTGGCATCTGCCTACTGAACATCAATCAGTCCACCATTTAGGACATAGACTACTACAGTCTGGCATAAATATTTTGAATTCTCAATAAAACAATAGCGTTCCAGACCCCAAGAAACAGGGTAAAATGAAAGTTTTATTTTATTTTATATATTTAAGGTGTATAATATGATGTTTTGATATATACAACGTTATGTGTCACTAACAACAGGGATATGTTCTGAGAAACATGTTGGTAGGCAATTTCATCATTGTGTGAACACCACAGAGTGCGCTTACCCAAACCTAGATGGTACAGCCTATTACAGACCCAGCTATATGGCACAGCCTATTGCTCCTAAGCTACAAACCTGTACAGCATGTTACTGCACTGAATACTGTAGGCATTTGCAACACAGCAGTAAGTATGTGGTATCAAAACATATCCAAACACAGAAAAGGTACAGTAAAAAAAAAAAATGGTGTAAATAAAAAATGGTACACCTGTATATGGTACTTACCATGAATGGAGCTTGCAGACTGGAGGTTGCTATAGGTGAGTCAGTGAGTGAGTGGTGAGTGATGGGAAGGCCTAGGACATTACTGTCCACTACTATAGACTTTATGCACACTGTATACTTAGGCTACACTAAATTTATTTTTTTTAATTTTTTCTTCAATAATAAATTAATGTTAGCTTACTGTAACTTTTTTACTTTATAAATTTTTAAAGTTTTTTGAAATTTTTTACTCTTTTGTAATAACACAGCTCAAAACACACTTTATACAACTGTACAAAAATATTTTCTTTTTTATATCCTCATCCTATGAGCTTTTTTCTATTTTTAACATTTTCAATTCTTTTTTTACTTTTTAAACTTTCTTATTAAAAACAAAGACATAAGCACACATGTTAGCCTAAGCCTACCCAGGGTCAGGATCATCAATATCACTGTCTTCCACTGACACATCTTGTCCCACTGGAAGGTCTTCGGGTCAATAACACGCATGGAACTGAGGCTGTTTACAGTTAATTTTTTTTTATAACTAGGACACTCTAAAATTAACATAAAAAGTATAGTGTAGTTAATACATACATCAGTGACATAGTCATTTATTGTCATTATCAAGTATTCTGTATGTACATGATTATATGTGCTCTATGTTTATACAACTAGCAGCACAGTAGGTTTGTTTACACCAGCTTGTTTATGGCACGAGCATGTGACCAATTGTTGCACTACAACATTACCATGGCCAAGACTTCACTAGGTAATAGGAATTTTTCTGCTCTATTATAATCTTTTTTTTTTTTTTTTGAGACCGAGTTTCGCTCTGTTGCCAGGCTGGAGTGCAGTGGTGCGATCTGGGCTCACTGCAACCTCCGCCTCCCAGGTTCAAACGATTCTCCTGCCTCAGCCTCCCAAGTAGCTAGGACTACAGGTGCGTGCCGCCAAGCCCAGCTAATTTTTGTATTTTTAGTAGAGACAGGGTTTCACCATGCTGGCCAGGCTGGTCTCAATCTCTTGGCCTCATGATCTGCCCACCTTGGCTTCCCAAAGTGCTGGAATTACAGGCATGAGCCACCGCACCCGGCCTATAAACTTCTGAGACCAACTTTGTATATGTAGTCCATCGTTACCTGAAACATCGTTACGCAGCACATAACTGTACATATGGACAGTGAAAAGTTACTATAGCCAAGCAAATTAACATGTCCATTATCGCACATAGTTACCAATTTTTTCTTTGTGGCAAGAGCACCTAAAATCTATTCTTTTGACAAACATCCCGAGTACAGTATGGTATTATTCAGTACAGTCCTCATGTTGTATATTAGATCTCTAGACTTGTTCATCCTTCGCATCCTCTGACCTGTATCTCTCTCTCTCCCGCTCCTGGTAATCACTGTTTTATTCTTTATCTCTGTGTTGTGACTTTTTTAAAAAGAGTTTACTAATGTATCCATAGCTACACCACTGTTAAACAGATCCAGATGGACTTGTGCTCTTTTAAATACATTGTTATAGCAGATTATGTTACAATAAGGGTTCATTATATATTTAATTAGCATTCACTACACTCTATTTTTAGCTGAGTCCTATTATTTCCACACATCTCACCACACTAACATATATGCATCTGTTTTCTGGTAAAAACATACACCAGAAAAAAATGATAAAATCAGAAATTAATTTTACTTATGAAAGTCAAATGTCTTAAACAAAAGGTGGCCCAACCTCTACTGAACGTGTTTCCCACTCAAGCATTAGTTCTTTTCTAATGGAAGCTGTACCATCCTCAAATTCTCTTTTTTTTTTTCTTTTGAGATGGAGCCTTGCTCTGTCGCCCAGGCTGCAGTGCAGTGGTGCAATCTTGGCTCACAGCAACTTCTGCCTCCCGGGTTCAAGCGATTCTCCTGCCTCAGCTTCTCGAGTAGCTAGGATTACAGGAGCGTGCCACCATGCTTGGCTAATTTTTATATTATTAGTAGAGACGGGGTTTTGCCATGTTGGCCAGGCTGGTCTCAAACTCCTGACTTCAGGTGATCCACCCACCTCGATCTCCCAAAGTGCTGGGATTACAGGCATGAACCACCGTGCCCAGCCCTCAAATTCTTTTCTTGAATGCATCTGCTTTCATCTTCTGGGACAAAGAATTACAATGTAGTCACAAAGCAGGGAAGATTTAGGACATTCCCTGCCAGAATAAGTCAAATCAGACTTAAAGGTAAATATATTTCGTTTTCAAGATATTTTATGAGGAAAAAAATAAGTCATTAATTTTGATAGCTTTTAGTGTAAATAGGTAAACAAACAAAGCCCCCCATATATTATTAACCTTTTTATTAATGTACGTTGAGTTTAGTTGTACAGCTAAACTTTTCTAAAGTGTTTAAGCCAGCAAATCATCTTAGCTAGCCAGAAAAATATATTTGCCATATTCTCCTTCTTATCTATGTATAGTCAATAGCTAATTATCGGGTGTGGTGGCTATGCCTGTGATCCCAGCACTTTAGGGGGCTGAGGTGGGGGGATCAGTTGAGGTCAGGAGTTCAAGACCAGCCTGGCCAACATGGTGAAACCCCATCTCTACTAAAAATACAAAAATTAGGCGTGGAAGCGCGCACCTATAATCCCAGCTACTCAGGAGGCTGAGGAAGGAGAATCACTTGAACCTGGGAGGCAGAGGCTGCAGTGAGCTGAAATCGTGCCACTGCACTCCAGCCTGGGCAAGAGAGCAAGACTCTGTGTCAAAGAAAAAAAAATAGCTAATTAGCTGATGCTGGACTGTTTACATTCTGGATTATTGGTGGCAAATCTGATTTTTTATAGCTTTGCAAAGTCTTTTTAAATTAAAAAAAAAACTAAACTTTATTATGATTTGGAGTGCTCTTATTATAGGAAAGATGAACAAAGAGAGGTCCAATGCCTCAGAATGAGGCTCCCCTTGGTAAAAGGATTAACTCAAATTTAGGAACATGATATTAGTGGTTCACCTAGGGCCTTTGGGAGGAAGGGACTACATCTTACACGACGTTGATTCGAAAGGCAGAGTGCCAACTTCTTAATTTACCATCACAGGATATTCCCTCTGGAGGTGATCAGCAGGAGGCCAAGTTACAAATCAGAAAGATGTGGACCACCCTAGAATTTGGTGGGTGGGGGACAACAGTCTTGGTTAGCCTAACATATGGAAATTAATCTAAAGTATGAAAATGAATCTGAAGCAATGATTCTCAATCTTTAACTCAACATCAAAATCACCTAGAGGGCTTGTTAAAATACAACTCCTAGCATTTCCAAGTCAGTAGGTCTGTAATAAGACCCAAGAATTTGCGTTTCTACAAATTCCCAAGTGAGGCTATGCTGCTGATCCCAAGCCCACAACTGGAAGGAACTAGATAAACTGTATTTTTATCCATTTATGTGTATTTTTGTCTGCATAACTCATATTGGTGTTTAAAATTAATGTCCATCCTCCCCTGAACAATGGTGGATTCACAAATGTTTTACTCTCCAGATTAAACATTCTTCATCAGTCAACTATGGGATATCTTTACTTCATGTCATAATTCTCAAAAACTTAGTGTATACTACTTGTGCTTTAGATTAAAGCCTTCCTGGTGCAGTTATTTGGAAACATGCTATTCTCTCATTATAAATACATGTTTGCAATAGGTCTCTTAAACGTGCTACTTTGGCTGGTTATTTCCGCACATTGTATAATGATTATTGCTAGCTTCCACTTCAGTCTTCAACATTTTACTAATTTCAAGGACTAAAGATGCCATCTAGATCAGTAAGATTGTATTCATCTATAACTAACAAAAAACTTGATTTACAGAAGCTCTGACCTAAATGTTTATTTTTCCACGTAAAAAGAAATCTGAATTGAAACCCTCCAGAGCTACTGCAGCTTTTCAAATATGCGGTCAAGGACCCAGACTCTTGCATTCTGCTCTGCCTTCGGGTGAATGTTGGATTTGGTTATTTGATTGTTGCCTCATTGTAACAAAATGGTTGCAGCATCCCCAGACCCCAATCATTATTTCAGAAGGAAAGAGTAATAAAATAAGGAAGAAGAGTACTTACATCTGAAACTCAAAAGCTTGCCATGAAACCCTCAATTCAAATCTCTTTGGCTGGCACCATGATAAATGACCACTGCTAGTTGTTCAGAAGGATGATCATTTTTAGGTGGATATGTGACTGCCCCTCTCCCGCTAAAACTGGCATTCAATTAGGAAAGAGACAGGACAGATTTCATTTACCAATGTATGCTCCACTGCTACAGTTGGATATTTCACCCCGTCAGGCCTCAGCTCTCACTGCAATCAAGACAGTTCTGGGAGTCTTCAACCTAGACACAAGATCACCAGACTGCATCCTAAAGAAAGCAGGCAAGCACTCTTTTCTTCTTTTGCAAGAGCTGCAAATCTCACCAAATCATTAGCATGAAATATGCATGGCACCAGTGATGCCCAAAGTGCTGGACATTTGTGAACACATCTGTGAATAAAAGTATCTTCATCAAATATTCCTAAAGCAGCCTGCAGGCCCACCCACAGGTAGCCAGAACTCCAGAAAGAGTGTTTCAGTCATTCCCTTAACACATTGCACGCTAAGGTATTGCACTGGCTAATAAAAGGTTATGACACTGAATAAGACATCACCCCTAACCTCAAGAAACTTAGAGATGAACGTGAGAATGATCAGAGTAAGAAGCGGGATGACACACTGGAGCTTGTTCCTCTTATGTCCATTTCTTCTCCAACTACATCAGGGAAGCTGATCTCTGTATAAAGAAACCACAAGGTGATGTGCCTGGGTCATAATGAAACAGAATTCCTGGCCTATGGCAGCAGAGCATCACTGTCCAATCACTGTGTCCCCTCTATTCTCAAGAAAACTACCCTTCAAACCCAGTGTGGCATAGCAGCGAAAGGTTCAAGCTCTGGGGTTGGCCCCCTCTTTTCCACTTACCTGTAGGAAACTCAGGCAGGTGCTTAGCTTCTGCACCTTAGTCTTTCCACCTGAATATGAGCATGATGATAACAGTGTCAAACTTACAGAATTTGTCATAGATTTCAAATATATGTACAAACTTAGAACTGTGCTTGAGAGATAAGCACTAGAGGAGGATTAGCTGGTGCTTATAAACACCAAGAAACTGAGTTTCATCACCTATAGCACTACATGTTCACACTCTGCCCCACGAAGTGCCTGGACCTTCTTCATCAAAGTCCCCAAAATTCTTGCTCAGAAATTTCCACTGTAAAAGGAAGGCTGTGTTCCACATCCCACGGCCTGTGCCTAAGATCAATCTCAATGGGCATCAAATCTTTTATTTTTCAGAGTAGAAAGCCACAGGATGGGCTTTCTCACTTTTACAATAAAAGAGCTGGCAGGACCCAGGAAAACCAGTTCCTCTCTTTAGGGGAGAGTCTCAGATACAAAACAATTGAAGTAGAAACTCAACTTCATTAGAATTGTTTTGACCACCTGAGCTCATTTCTCCATGTGCTTAAACAATGCAAAATAAGCCACAAAGGACTCAGCCTGGCAGAAGCTGAAACATAAAGAGTATTATTTTAACCTTAAATTGGCAACTAAAAGACTCCCAACCAGGCTGTCCCAAGTAGATCTGGCACTCGCACCCTGAGATTTGGGATTTGGCTGCAGCTGGTCCCAAAAGGTTGCGCTAAGGCTTACGAGCCTCATCTACCCTCGTAACCAATGATGCTAACCAGGCTCGGTGCTCACCAGCTCACTCACAGACACAACCAGCTCCCTGAGGAGGGGGATTTTCACAGTCCAGGGCAGCCCAAGATGCAAACAGAAACATTTCCTTTTTACACTAACATATAAAGGAGTTCCTTGCAGTTCAGCATTCCAGGCAATGTGTTAGTCTCTTCCTTTAATCTTCCTGAGTCCAAGGCTGTGTGTGCCTCTCTCTCTAATCCCGATACCTAGTCCTGCATCTCAAGCCCTGTGGGTGTTCAATAAATATTTGCTAAATATATAAATGCCTCATAATCCAAAGGCCACCTTGGGTGTGATAACTGCTGGCTGATCATCTCTGAATGAGATCTTCCCGACTGCATCCCATTCCAAAATAGGATTAGAGACAGCCTCCACGGGCACACAAGAGAACTACAGCCAAGAGAATCTTGGCCCTGACTTCAGCATTCAGCACCGTGGGGACCTAGCCTTGGAAGCCTGACAGAGAATCTATACCAAGAGTCTTGTCTGATGAGGCCCTCAAGGATGCGGGAGGAAGGAGTGCCAGGTTGGCTCAGCTGTTTGGATCCCTTCGCACTATCCTCTTCTTCATTTATCAGGTTAATCACAGCTGCCTAAATCCTACTAAAATTGGGAAATTAAAGCACAGTAGCACTGTTCCATTATCCCATTAGGGATACATCCTATTCGGATTTCCATTCCAGTAGGCAGATAGAGGTGCTCATTCATCACCCTCAAAGGGTGCTCATTAATGCCTGGCCATCTCAATTGTTCTCCTTACCTTGAGAACAGATGTAAAGCTGCTACTCCCAACTATCACCATGATTGAATTCCCTCCAGCTTTGGGCGATTCTGTAGGTTTCCTCCTTCCAAAGCGAGGAAAGAGGTTTTCTTGATTCTCCTTTCTGAACACTTTCTATTCACTTAGGCACAAATCTCTCAGCCTTCCTACACATGGTGGTCTCAGCACGGCTGCTTTCTGCCTAGGTGAATATTTGACATTCATTTTGGCTGCTTCTATGTTTGGTGCATTCTTATCTAAAGAACTTGCTATCAAAGCTGAAAATAAATGATAGGTACTTGCTCTCCTAGCATTATTTATAGCCAGAATCAAATTTGTAACCAAGGTTTCAACAAAAAAAGACCCATCCACACTGGACTTAGGAAAAAATGGGGAGTGTTTCTCTGTCTCTCTCTCTCTCTCTCTCTCTCCCTCTCTATCATGAAGTGGCAGCAGAGGGCAGTGGCTACAAGGTTGAGTACTTGACACAAGAATTGGGGGTGGCGCGGGTGGGGAGTGTTTGTCAGCTTTGGCTGGGCTAAATGATTCTCTGGTGCAGAGTGGTACAAATGTTTGCATCTATGTCTTGGTGGCAGCTAAAAACCAGTTCTGACTCAGGGTTTGAGATGTTGATTACCTCTGGCTTGGCACTGCAGCCCTCCCGAAAATTCTGTAAGTTACTCTATATCCTTTGACAAACTCTTTTTCTGTTTAGTTACCCAGAGTCGAAGTCTATTGTTTCTAACTTAGAGCCCTGACTAACCCAGTAAATTTCCTGCAGAACTGATGCTTTTCCCCAAATTCTCCTCTCATAATAGTGATGGCTTTGGACCCCCCGTGTAAAGGTGAGTGTAAAGCTTTATTCTGGATACAACTTTCAGACACCCAGATGGGCACATTGAGATGGTTCCAGTGAAGCCCAAGCTCACCCAGCTAGTGAGTAGAAGAGTGGAGACTTGGACGCAGGTTTTCTGACTCAAGTCATATACATTTTTTTAGAGACAGGGTCTCACTCTGTTGCTCAGGCTGGAATGCAGTGGTGTAATCATAGCTCGCTGTAGCGTCAAAGTCCTGGACTCAAGTGATCCTCCCACCTCAGCCTCCCAAGTAGCTGAGACTGTAGGTGTGTGACACCACACCGGCTAATTTTTTTTTTTTTTTTGTAGAGAAGGGGTCTTACTATGTTGCTCAGGTTGATCTCGAACTCCTGGCTTCAAGTGATCTCCCCTGCCTCGGCCTCCCAAAGTACTAGGATTACAAGTGAGAGCTATTCTGTTTTTCTCAGCAAAAAGAAACAAATCCCTCTTGAGTTGTCAAGCCAACTTAAGTAAGTGCTGTACTTTACATTCACTTGTAACAACTTTAATATTATACTAAAAGTAGGAGCTACACATCATTGCTCAAGGAAAACCTTACATGTTGTTTCTCATTGTCACACAGTGTAGATCATCTATAATACCACAGTTTTGCAGGCCACCCAAGGCAAAGCTGGTGCTACAACTCCAAAACCTTTTCTCACGCGTAGCTAATTGGCTGCTTCTGTGTAGTGTGCATCTGCGTGTCTGCTCCCACCCATGGCGTTATATTCTTATTAAGAATCAGTTGTGTTTGTTCTGAAACCTAGTTAGGACCATTGTACTTGTTATTGCAAATTCATAATTGAATAAAATATGGGGAAAGCCAATGAAATACTAATATTTTTTTAATTTATTGTTTTGAAAAGATTCAATAGAGGTAAGTAAGTAAAACTTATGAGGAATTAGGAAGTTTACAACCGTCCAACTGTAAAGTCATAAAAGTAAAGAAAGATTCTGTCCTCAGAATGCTTTTCAATGGACTTTCAATTCTCAATTCACATTCTTGTTCTGATTCTTAAAGTTCTCCATTTAAAGACACTGACACTGGCAATTATGGAAGATGCGTTATGTACATAGTTTATGCAACAAAGAAATAAAGGTATTCCAATCAGCACAACAATACTTAGAGAACGCCCTGAACCTACCACATCGTATTGAAGAGTGAATATGCATATGCATGCTTTAAAGTACACGTAAATGTAATGCGTAAATTATTATGCATCCTTTTTTGTGACTCTCCACTTTTAGCTGTCAGTAGATTAGCTGGGTCCAGTTGCATCAGATAGGAAACCAGCCACTTTTCTTTTTTTGCAGTCACTCTTCTGGAAGAGAAATCCACCTGTTCTGGATGATGTAGTTATGGGACAGACTTAATTACCTGTCGTGTGTCTGGGTGCTGTTGATCTACCTTTCTAGACCATTTTTGCTATGTACACCAGCTTCTGTGAGGTGGGCTCTTCCTCCCGTTCATAGAGAATTGGGAATCCATTGCTTGCAGAATTCTCAGAGACACAGCCGGGCACAGTGGCTCATGCTTGTAATCCCAGCACTTTGGGATGGAGAGGTGGGTGGATCACCTGAGGTCAGGAGTTCGAGACCAGCCTGGCCAACATGGTGAAACCCCTGTCTTACTAAAAATAAAGAAATTAGCTGGGCATGGTGGCGGGTGCCTGTAATCCCAGCTACTCCAGGAGGCTGAGGCAGGAGAATCACTTGAACCCAGGAGGCAGAGGTTGCAGTGAACCGAGATCATGCCACTGCACTCCAGCCTGGGCGACAAGAGTGAAACTCTGTCTCAAAAAAAAAAAAAAAAAAAGAATTCTCAGAGATTTAGCACTCTTAAAGAAATCATCAATTTATGTTTTGTCATATGCAGGAAGATAGTCCTGAGACAGCACTAAGTGATGTGAAGTTTCATGTCCAGATCAATCCAAATATGCCATGTTATAATCTAGAATTTTTAAAATAGTGGCAAGTTTTATGATCTTCTATAGATCATAGTAGAGATTGGATAAGGAGCATGCCCAATTTCCTACCAGTGGCTATTTGTCATGCAAGTACGTGCTCATTCAGAATTTTCCTTCAATGTAATAGAATAATCCAGCCATTCTTTTATATTCGAAAGTTATTAATTAAGCAACTATTATGTGTTAGGAACTATTCTAGACATTGAGGCTACAATGATGAGCAAAATAAAGTTCTGCTCTCATGGATCCTATATTCTAGTAATTTATCCTCCCTACCAGTGAGCTCCTAGAAAATACAAATTGTATCTAAATCATCTTTGTATTTCTAGCACTTAACATGGTGTCTGACATTTTACCCAATCACAGCATTAAAGAGGTAGAAAGTCTTTGCAAGCTGTATATAAACATTCTGAATCTATGAACACACATTGAAATTAATCATTTTGTCTTCTTCCTACAACAGCCACTATTGGAACTTAATATTTACAATGCTATTTTTACTTTTCTGGTTCATGGATTATTTTAGTAGAGAAATTTTAATTCAGCAAATATTCGAATGCCTGCTTTGTGCCAGGCATTGTGCTAGAGACCTAAATGGCTTTAGGATAGAACAGCATCCAATCTTCACACTGATTTCTCTCCTGAAGAAACAGAAACAGATGTTCTCTTTTAAACCTGCCTGCACAGCCTAGACTTCTCACAGCTTAGGAGAAGAAAGTTATCATACAATTCTCAGTACTCCTTTGCCTATCACTCCCAAAAGAAAGTTATTTTCTGGAAGCAGTAGAAGAAAAGTACCTTGTCTCAATGAAATCTGATCATTTGTTTGGGGATATTGTTTTCTAGAGCTGGCAACTGTGCAATCTGCTTGTGGAACTGCAGAAATGATGTGGGCAAGGCTGAGGAGAGGAAGGTTCTGCTTAGCCACACTCCTCCTGCCCTTCCTGGGCTCCCAGACAACTCGCCAGCAGAGTAATAAAGATCTTCTCCACTTTCTGCGAGCTTTATATGGAAGTACTCGTCTACCCTTTAATAGGTAAAGATAACTGCAGTTTTAAAAAAATTATTTAAAATATTAATATTAAAATTATAATAATTTATCACTATAATAATGAAATGTTATTAAAATATTATTTTAAAATATAATAAAGTTATTATACTCAATGTTGGTCTAAAAAAAAGTAGACCTCTGGGAGTGTTAGGGGTGACAACTAAAACTTGCTAAAACTTTCAGGAGGTGACACATACCAAACACCCAACTGAAAAACTGTAATCTACAGTAGATCATTCAGATTTTCCAAGTATGTAAATAAAATACACTCACCTGGCTGGGCGCAGTGGCTCAGGCCTGTAATCCCAGCACTTTGGGAGGCCGAGGCAGGCGAATCACGAGGTCAGGAGTTCAAGACCAGCCTAGCCAACATGGTGAAACCCAGTCTCTACTAAAAATACAAAAAAAAATTAACTGGGCATAGTGGCAGGCGCCTATAATCCCAGCTACTTGGGAGGCTGAGGCAGGAGAGTCGCTTGAACCCAGGAGGCGAAGGCTGCAGTAAGCCAAGAGTGTGCCACTGCACTGCAGCCCGGGCAACAGAGTGAGACTCCATCTCAAACAAAAAAAAAAAAACCACTCACCTAATGACAATGGAGAATACATTTTATTGACATTTCTCCAAACCCATACAAGGTACAACACCAAGAGTGAGCCCTAATGTAACTGGCGACTCTGGGTGATAATTACACATCAATGCAGGCTCATCAGTTGTGACAAATGTACCACTTCAGTGGCCGGTGATGATGATGGAGAAGGCTACGTGTGTTGTGGGGGCAGGGGATATATAGAATATCTCTGTTCCTTCTGCTAAATTTTGCTGTGAACCTAAAACTACACTAAAAAATTAAGTCTATTTAAAAACAACACTCTGATCTTTAAAAATGTCTTCTTCAAACATATATTAATATTTATGTAGCCATAGCAGCATAAAAGCCTAATGCTCTCAGAGAAGACTAGGGGTGGAGAATTCATTTTAAATGTCTTTAACTGGTGTAATAATCATCAAGAGGATGAATGGAGAAAAGTGCAACAATGTATTTATCAGAAAAGCTGAGAATTCAGTCTCAGAATAAACTCTGACATCTATGTCTGTTTACCTGAGCCTTTAGATGGCTCGCCCAGTTTGTAATCTTTCAGAAACAAAAGAGCAAACAGTGAAAAATCATTCATGCCCTCTGGATAACTGCCAGCCCATTTCTAAAGTACCTCACTACAAGGAGCTAAGTATGTGGACAAAGAGAAATTAAATGGGATTTTTTAAATGCTTTCTTTAAAAAACTGAATGTGCTTTTCCATTTTGTGCTATTTTTCTTCTCTATACGCACTGCTTCTCCTGGATGAAGCTGTTACATAACTGCTCTTGCGGAGAGGAGATCATTTCCTGGCCCCAAAGGAGTTCTCGGAATACTGAGAGAACATGTTACAAGATGGACCCCAAAAGAAGAGCATCTGGTTTCCCTAAGTATAATGCTCGCAGCAGAGAAATCACCATAAATAGCTTTAACAGAGACCAAATGTGTCCGTTTCAATCCAGTGTTTTATCACCCACCAAGGGAATTTATCTGGGTGAAGGGAGAGACGGGGAGTGAAGTCATTTAGCAGGGCATGGTTCATAACTCTTTTATTAGGACCAACAGGTCAAGGTCTTTAATAGCTGTAAGATGGAAAGTTAAAGTCATTGTTATCCAACCACATTTAAAGAATGAAAACATAATTGAGAGAGAAGAAAACTAGTTCCTCCGAAGGTTAGGGAAAAGAGAGAGGACTGTATTTAAAAAGTGATTTGGAGAATTAGAGAGGGAGGTTGTATGTGCTTTTTTACTCAATCAGAATATACTTGGAAAAAATCATAACTAAAATTTCCTGAGTAGTACTATCTTCTTGATCCTGATACATTTGGGATTTTCTTACTGTCTCCAAGGAAATGAGTTGAGGATGCTCATCTTAGGAGAATTAGCATGTACTAAAAGTGAAATAACAGGCTTCTGTCATAGGAGAAATATAACCACGGAACACACTGATTTGCTGCGAATTAACAAAAACCGTAACAAACAGTTGGTAATTCAAGCACATGTCTATGCAAAGAATATATGCATATTTAAGGATTATTTATTTTATTTAAATAAGAAGAAGCAGCCATATGGCATGGAACGGATAAGATATTTTAGGGCACTGTAAAAGGTGCATCTCACTCTATTTATGAGGAGGTTAGGAGAAACTCCACAAATAAAACTTAATGGATTGAATTCTGGTGAGACACGGTGACTCTCTCAAAGGGAAATTCAGACATTCCATGGAGAGCCTGTAGGATTAACTAAATTGCTGGCATTTTTCCTTGTCAGGATGGCAGAAAACACCAATGTACCACTACTGCTGGAGGCTTTGCCGTATCTCCTAGCATCACCAAAATCCTTTTGCTTTGGAAAATTAATCTGAACTGTATGAAATTTGACCACAGTATCCACTGGAAGAATCTATTTTAACTATCCTGAATCCACTCTCCAGAGAAGTCCTTACTTGTTAGATGTCTTATGGACCAAGTTGTGAGTACTTCAATTTAGATAACGTGGCATAAATGGAATAATTAAAAAATAGAGCCTGGCACATGGGCAAAACTGAGACGTTTTTCTTATTTGTCTTCCAAACTATTCTTTTCAGATCTGATCATGTGCAGACAATTTAAATCAGAAATAGCTTGAGTGTTTCCCCTGCTGCAGTCCTACCATTCTTATAATGAAAGAGCTAACTGCCATCTTCATCAGCACATTACAGCATGCAAACAATCCAAACCTTAGTACAGCTGATTGATTGAGCCACTAAAGGCATCAAAATCCTCTAATTGAGCTGTCTGAACAATATTAAACGCCCACAGAGATGTGGTGGGAAAAGAATTCAGACCTACCTCATCAAAAATAAACCCTGTTTAATTGCAATCAGCAGCTTCCTTGCCTTTGTTTCATCCTGTCATCCACTACATCCACCACCATGAAGTCCTATCTCTGCCTTGCCCAGGCAGAATTGTTTGATTTATTGACGGCTCAATACCGTGACCAGTATTAGGTACACCCATATACTTATTACTGAGCACATACCTCTAACACCATTTTACTCTCTGGCAGCTGCCTTTGATCTCTGCTTCAAACCTGCATTTGTTGAATAACCAGGCTCTCTGACCTCTACCACATCTGACATTTTCCCCTCCAGGTCATCTTGCCGTCCTTCATTGCAGATGTCGACTATAATTTATCCCTTTTGCTAACACCACAGGAAACCAGGTCCCTCTGAGGCCAATACCAGCATCCTGAGCTGATTGTGGTTATAATAAACTGCTGCCCACCATCCATCCACCCACCTCCACTGGCTCTTCCCCTCCTCCTCTTTGAGCTGCCAGTCATTGCAAGAGCTCATTGACTGCCTGCGTGTGTCTACTTATAATAAAGTCATTACAGTGAACGTTGCTTTTGTTAAAGGGAAGCCACACTGTTACAACTGGGTTTAAAGGATATGTTTTCTCCTAAGAATGACAGTCTCTGATGGGCGTTCTTCCTTGTCACTTTGAGAGTGGCATGAGGAACAGTTGGAGGGGATGGAAATGTCCTATATCTTGCTTAGGGCTGTGGTTACCTAAATACATACAAAACTCAATGAACTCTATACTTTAAAATATACCTATTATTGCCTAAAAAGTACACTTCAAAAAGGTGATTGGAAAAAGCCATAGACAGATTGATAGACAAAACGAAGCATCAGCTAACTGCAAAACCAAACTCATCCAAATAACAAACCATCTCCAATTTTCTAACTTTACACCTAGGATCCAATTCCCTAAACTGAATATAATTTAGAGTTTTTATTTCATTCAGAGATTGTTAATGCAAAATTCAAAATGGTTGACATGTCATCTAAGCCCTGCCCAGTGTTTGATGAGACAGCATAAGCTATTACCTTGACACAACTTTAGGAAAAGCAGGCAGCCTAATTTCCCCTATATACATATGGCTGGAGGCAAGAAATCTGATTTCAACAGAGAATTTCAAATAATCGGCATCCTCCACAACCCATATAAAGTGAGGCCAGGTTTGGAGGGATTCCAAAGCCAGGGGTAGCAAGAAGCCTTAGGCCAAACAGATGATTTAAAAGACATGTGAAGAAAAATTTCAAATATAATGTTTATAGAGCAAAATAACATTTGTTTTTTTCATTGTGCAAGGATATCTTGAAGGGGAGAGCCAAGCTCAGTTGCTGCTTGTAAATCAAAATAACCCTTTCATTTTTACCTAACAAAGACGAGAAAGGGGAGAGAACAAGGTTACAAGGTGATATTCTTACCTAGTGAGAATACTAAAAGGAATGCTGTTGTTGTCAAAATGTGTAAGGTCTATAAATCATATGGGTTAGACTAACAGGACACACAATTAAGCATAATATTGGCAAAGCATGATTTTTTCCTTGACAAGGATGAATTGCTCAATATAAACCCTGGGAAGAACTAATATGAACAAAGAAAAAAAATAAAGAGAATCCAGAATAAGGTAGTTTCTGAATATCAGATATTACAGAGCAAAGGAAAAATACCATAAAATATTTCGTGCATGATAAAACCTTGCTTATTCAAATTTTTGGTACATAAGAATGGCACATATACCGCAAAATAGAAGGTGATTAAGAAATAAGTTATTTCATTTTAGAGGGTAGTCACACATATGGACCCTACACACACATACACACACACACTTTTACACTCCCTGGTCTTAACACTCTTCACACTCCAGCTTATTGTTCACAGTGTAGATCCCAGCTGAAGGCTGGTGTGGAAGAAGCCAGGCAACAAAAGATGTGCATATGGGTTTAAGAATTTTCACTGTATTTTTAGGATGGATGTTGACAAATGACTTTAAAGTAGCTCAAAGAGACAGGCATCATTTCTTGAAAAATGATGCTCCCTGGTTCATATAAGCTGACATATTATAACATTTATTTTGGTTTAACAAGCTGACAGCCTTCCAGCTGTAAATTAAGAGGCATTTCTACAACAGCTGCACTGAGTCTTTATCAAGGCAGTTCTTGACCATTCAAGAGACTGCTGCCTAACCAGTCAAGTCAAGAGATTCGATCTAATCAAGTACATCATATCCTTTCAAAGGTTTCAATAAAAAATACTTCCATGAGTTAGCATTTAAATTCTGAAACACTAAAACATTTAGAAATATACCAACTCTCTAGTATACTGCAAGAGGTAGGTGTTATTATATCATCATATAACAGACAGAAGAGCTGTGGTTTAGAGAGAGTAAGTAATGGGCATAAAGTCACATGTAATAAACAGAGGAGCCAGATGGATCTGACACCTAAGGCCATGGCAGCTGTAGGAGGCAAAATTGAATTTTGGTCACCAGTAGGACACCTATGTAATTAGGACATTAAAAACACTAAAAGATAAAACCTTGTATTCAGCTGGGCGTGGTGGCTCACGCCTGTAATCCCGGCACTTTGGGAGGCTGAGGTGGGTGGATCACTTGAGACCAGGAGTTCCAAGAGTAGCCTGGCCAACATGGTGAGACCACCCCCGTCTCTACTAAAAATACAAAAAAATTAGCCAGGCATGGTGGCGCGCACCTGTAA
This sequence comes from Homo sapiens, assembly GCF_000001405.40. Classification (NCBI taxonomy): domain Eukaryota; kingdom Metazoa; phylum Chordata; class Mammalia; order Primates; family Hominidae; genus Homo; species Homo sapiens. The sequence goes on from NC_000002.12 coordinate 151,185,897, forward strand.
TCCAAGCTACAGGGGAGGCTGAGGTGGGAGAATCTCTCGAACCCAGGAGGCGGAGGTTGCAGTGGGCTGAGATGACGCCACTGCACTCCAGCCTGGGCGACAGAGCAAGACTCCGTCTCAAAACAAACAAACAAAAAACCTTGTATTCATTGAGAAGAAATTGTGTATTGCATTATTTTTTCACTTGAGAAGCTGGTATTTCAAAATGGTTAAGAACACAAACCAGTACGCTGCTCACGCCGATCCCGCTCCGCTGGTTCCGCACGCTCCGCACACCAGCCTGCGCGCACCATGGGGCCACCGTTCAGCAGCTGGAAGGAAGATGGCGCCTGGCGGACAGCAAAGGCTTTGATGCATACATGAAGAAACTAGGAGTGGGAATATCTTTGCGCAATATGGGCGCAATGGCCAAACCAGACTGTATCATCACTTGTGATGGCAAAAACCTCACCATAAAAACTGAGAGCACTTTGAAAACAACACAGTTTTCTTGTACCCTGGGAGAGAAGTTTGAAGAAACCACAGCTGTTGGCAGAAAAACTCAGACTGTCTGCAGCTTTACAGATGGTGCATTGGTTCCGCATCAGGAGTGGGATGGGAAGGAAAACACAATAACAAGAAAATTGAAAGATGCAATCAGTGGTGGATTGTGTCACGAACAATGTCACCTGTACTCGGATCTATGAAAAAGTAGAATAAAAATTCCGTCATCACTTTGGACAGGAATTAACTACAAGAATGAACAAGCCCCCAGTTCAATAAGCAAATCTCCATACTGCTTTTTTTTATTACTGTTTTCAATTATCTTTATCACAAACATTTTACATGCAGCTATTTCAAAGTGTTGGATTAATTAGTATCATCCGTTTGGTTAATAAATATATGCGTTTGTGCTAAAAAAAAAAAAAAAAAAAAAAAAAGGAAAAGAAAACAGACTATGTAGCCAGATTACCTGGTTTCAAATTCCAGCTCTGGCACTTGCTAGCTGTGTGACCTTAGGCAAGTTACTTAACTTGTCTGTGCCTTGGTTTCTTCATCTATGAAATGGGGATAATAATACTACTTAATGCATAAAGTTTTTATAAGGGCTACATTTATGTGTAGTAATGGTATTGTGAGTATCTTTCTTTAAAGTTCTTTATGTTTTTGAGAAGCACATTGAACTACTTAGAGAAAAGTGTCTATGATATCAAGAAAGTTGGGGTACAAGGGTATAGACAAAATTGTCCATGAGTGGATAATAGTTAAAAATGAATTGTCAAAAAAACTACAAATATTAGCTGGGCATGGTGGTAGACTCCTGCAGGTAAGTCCCAGCTACTTGGGTGTCTGAGGTGAGAGGACCACTTGGGCCTAGGAGGTTGAGGCTGTACAGAGCCATGATGGCAACACTGTACTCCAGCCTGGGTAACAGAGCAAGACCCTGTCTCAAAAAAAAAAAAAAAAAAAAAAAGAATTGTGCGTATATAGAGGTTCATGTACTATACATACACAGGCACCCCTGTGTAGTTTTGGAATTTTTTATAACAAAAAGTTTTTTAAATATTTTATGTAAAACATTTAAAATTATACCTGGAACATAGTAAATACCATATAATAGCTATGATTATTACAGCAAAATTCCATTTTTATATGGATCTGTATCCATATAAAATAGATCTGTATATGGATCTACTTTAATGCTATTTACATATAGCCCCTTTTTTATTTCTAGGACATAATTAAAAATAAGCAATAGAGATTTATTCTTTACATCTATAGTTGGCTTAGAAGAAAAGACAACTGAAGTCATACAAGGAACTGTTATCAAAGAAGATGGAAGGCTCATCCATCATTTCGATCACGTTGAGTTGAAGAATCTGAGTACAGTATAATAGAGAATAAAATGTAGTCAGGTAATAAAAATTAATAATATTTCACATGTATTGAGGAGATATTATGTGTGAGGTACAGTCACAAGTGGTTTCACATTTGTTACCTCATTTAATCCTCTTATCCACCCAACCTATGAAGTAGGCATCATAATAATTAGCTCCTTTTTTTTTTTTTTTTTTTTTTTGAGACAGAGTCTTGCTCTGTCGCCCAGGCTGGAGTGCAGTGACATGATCTCGGCTCACTGCAACTTTCACCACCTCCCCGGTTCAAGCAATTCTCCTCCCTCAGCCTCCCGAGTAAGTGGGATTACAGGCGCCTGCCACCACACCCAGCTAATTTTTGTATTTTTAATAGAGATGGGGTTTCACCATCTTGGCCAGGCTGGTCTTGAACTCCTGACCTTGTGATCCACCTGCCTTGGCATCCCAGAGTGCTGGGATTTCAGGCGTGAGAAAACATTGGCCAAGAGAGGTTAAGTAGCTAAAACCTGCTACATAAGACTGACACTAATGCTATATTTTTCTTTCCCAAACATCACTGGCTCAGGAACTGAGAGGTAACAAATCTTTACCAGGCAGACAAAAAAATAACATGCCCATCATCCCTCAACCAGCTAGTTACTGTAGGAGCCAACACATCCAAGCCAACAGTCTGACTCCAGAGCCCTGACCCTCAACCACATCACTATAGAAGACCTGGGTTCAAGTCCTGACTCCACTAAGGTTTTTAATCTTGTGCAAATTGCCCAACTTTTAGGTCCTCCTCAATCCTTTCACTTGCTTTGTTCTTCCTGGGTGTTTTGCCTGAAGCTATAGATGGTGCCCTTTCAAAGGCCTCAGCATCTCTGGGTTCCAGCAACAACCACAACGAGTCAGGAAAAATATCTGCAAACTCAGGATCACCAAATAACTGTCGTTAGGTACTGCCAGGGATTGCTTGTCAACACATGGCTAAAGCAGTTGCTGTCGACCCTACCTGCACACTAGAATCACCAAGGGAGCTTTTAAAAATCACCAATGCCCAATCCTACTCCCAAACCAATTAAATCAGAATCTCTGGGGATGGAGTCTGGGCACTAGAATTTTTTTTTTTAAGTTACCCAGGTGATTCTGTTGAATCCAGTGTTGACAGCTGCTGAGCTAAAAGATGAGAAAACCCATAGATAGGCACGGAGATTTAATAGAAGCCAAAAACCTAAATATTCAAGTAAATCTTTCAAAATGATGCTTCCCCATATTACTATACTCTATATCTGCTTATTTTTAAAATCCTAATTCCAAAATAAGTATACTATTCACAAATTTACAAGGTATGCATACATGTTTATGCACATATACACAAACACAAATACACATATGGTAAGTATGCTTGTGTAAGTGCATTATTTTTATACCACTACAGCCATGTATGCTATAGATCTGGTTTGGGGATAAAATTAGCATCAAAATATCAGTAGTATTTCCATTCTACCACCATACACACACACACACACACACACACACACACACACAGGCGCGCGAACCACTTCCTGCTAGTTCTCTCTAAGGCTGGGATCTCACCTTTGCATCTTTCTAAAATTGAGGAACACAGGAAGTCATTTCAGCTGCTGACAAATGAGAATAACTTGACTCTAGGTATAGTCATATACTTTAATCAAGGAAGTAAATGCCTTAAATTTCTGCTGGTTTCCTATTGTCATTAAAATTACAACATCTTAATTTTTATAGCAACCACTGTTGGATTTTTATATAGATGTGTATTTAATAATTTTTCCTGTGTCACACAAAGAATGTAATGTGGACAACTGAAAGGGAAAAAGGCAATGGTATTCAGAGGTTTAAAATAAATTAAACATTCCTTACAGTTTTTTCTGGATGACTTCCCTCCATAAATTATATCTTTTGCACTATGCCATTTGTTTCCCCCAACTATTTCTATATGATGTAATAATTATATGCTCCATTGAACTCAAAAGCGTTCGTGAAAGGTTAGGTGAACAGAACAAATATAAGAAAATGTAAAGAAAACGCTGCAGTTTGGTCTTTGTTGGTACATAAAAAAAAATTTTAAGTGAACAGAAATTTCATGGAAAAGACAGAAGACACCATCATTCTGTTCAGGTTACATTCTACACAAAGCTCAACGTTAAGAAGACATTTAAGCCACTTAAACATGGTGTCTCCTTATTACTCATGTCTCCTTTTCCTTGCATAAGCAATGAAGAAGCACACAATGATATTAGGAAAATGTTTAAATATCATTCTTGTAGCACATAAGAACAAATGGATAATTTACACTATAAAAATTAAAGATAGGCCGGGCGCGGTGGCTCACGCCTGTAATCCCAGCACTTTGGGAGGCCGAGGCGGGTGGATCATGAGGTCAGGAGACCGAGACCATCCTGGCTAACAAGGTGAAACCCCGTCTCTACTAAAAATACAAAAAATTAGCCGGGCGCGGTGGCGGGCGCCTGTAGTCCCAGCTACTCGGGAGGCTGAGGCAGGAGAATGGCGTGAACCCGGGAAGCGGAGCTTGCAGTGAGCCGAGATTGCGCCACTGCAGTCCGCAGTCCGGCCTGGGCGACAGAGCGAGACTCCGTCTCAAAAAAATAAAATAAAATAAATAAAATTAAAGATAAAAATAAACAGGATTTAAGCTGGGCATGGTGGTGTGCACCTGTAAGTCCCAGCTGTGCAGGAGGCTGAGGCAGGAGGATTGCTTGAACCCAGTAGTTCAAGGCTGCAGTGAGTTATGATCATATCTGTGAATAGCCACTGTACTCCAGCCTGGGCAACATAGAAAGACCCTGTCTCTAAAAAAAAATGAAATACAATAAACAGGATTGGATTATCTGTCCTCATGGACCTATGAGCAATTCAAATCTCAACACATCCTTTACAACATGTCCAGTTTGTCTTAGTATCTTAGATGTTTAAATCTGAAAAAGCTAATAAAGCTTACTAGTGCAAAAGCCAGTAGGTGTCAAGAAAACCGCAACAACCTATGTACAGATTCAGCTTTCAGATAGCTCTTCCACCTCCTCCATTAGTAAGGTAAGGAATGGATGCTGCTGTGTACCTCCCTGCACTCTGCACATACTGTGCTTTAGGAACCACTTTTCAAGGTTGCCCTTGGTATTCTTTTTACTACATCAAAACTTGGCATTTGAAAGGAGGGGCAGATGAGAAAGTAGGAAAAGAAAATATACTATGATTTGCCCTGGACCTTAGCTCCCCTATGAATAGCCCAGTATACTCCAAAAGCATTTATGCTGAATTTCTAAATACATTCCTAATAGCATAAGAACTAAAATTATCTCATTGCCAAACAAAAGGCTTCTGCATTGAAATGTGACAGCTCGCTGCTCAGGCAGCTTGTTGCCAGAAGGATACACACAATTTCCAGCAGAAAATTGGTTTCAGGATTTCACCCAATAGTCCAGAAATAAAATAAACTTCCCTAGCTCTTTGCAACAGGGCAAGGCCATTGGGATTCACCCCTGCTCCATTCAACAGAGAGCCCTGAATTGCCTTCCAATGTAAGAATTCAAACAAACTAAACCAGATCATGTCTCAAATGCTATAGACCAGCATTGCATTCTGAGGCATTTCTATTTCTTCAGCGATTTTATTCACAGAATTGCTCATGACTTCAGACAGTATTGCTTAATTAAGCCCCAGTAGAACTGAATTTAAGCTTTCACCTGAGAAAATATATTCCACCATTACTCAAGAATGCAGTTTGCCACTACTGGACATGACATGAATCGTTTAGCTCTACTAAATAGAAGTTTCCCAAAAGTTCCAAGCCATTTTTTGCCTTCATAAAAGCACAACACATGTCCTTGATAGTTAGCATGTGAATATGAATAGAGAAATTCATGATTTGGTGGCATTTTCAAAAATGGACTTTCAAAATTATTTTCGTTTTTTAAAATTGCACTACCAGATGCAAATTTAGTGATCATTAAGCCTACTCTTCTCATTTTACTGATTAGAAAGGAGACCCGGAAACACCAACTGATTGGTTCAAATCAGGCAGCCATCTAAGGTAGAACCAAGACCAAAATCCAGCTTTCCTGCTTCCTTATGTCTCTTTTCAAAGGAACAGAAAAAGGACATGAAAAACAGAAGGTCTAGAGAATGCTGATTCTCTCATGAAAGACACGGCCTCCCAGGTGACTGGCTCCTATAAGCCTGGCAAAAGCTGCCAGGGGAACAGTCAGTTGTCCATCTGAACGGAAGGAGGCAACTTAAAAGATGAAAGAATCATGAAAGACCCCTGCTCCAGCCCCAGCCCCCCATAAAACTGTTAAGTTTTTTAAGTTTTATAGGCATATTTGGCTTTAAAGAAAATCTGAAACATAAAATCAAAATTTATAGATCAGATATGTCTGGAAGCACGGTTTATGTTACAAAAAAATGGAATTTTTGCTTTACTAAACTCTTCACTACAGTTTTCTCTGAAATAATGACTTCCCTTATGATTAATAAATATCCCATTCAGGTGCAATATCAGGGCTATTTCTATGGCATTAAGCAAGGTACACCTCTGCACTGTTGACTCCACTAAATTTAGCTTACTTTCTTATTGTAATTGGGAGGAAAACTCATAGTGTGTGATGCCCACAGACAATGGTCTGCTGGTGCCAGGTCATGCCCACTCACAAGAACCTATTGTGGGCCTGTCTTCCCAACTCTGCATTCAGTGGTTAAGGGGTCTGATAGTTGGTCCTTGGTGGATGAACACAGTAAGGAATGGAGAAGGCATGAGACTGTGAAGCAGGTTCGCTGTGTACCAGTTGCCAACTTGTCTGAGTCTAGTGACAAAACACATTCATATGCAACAAGTTCCAGGAAGCAGAGGTATTACTTACAGATAGGCAGCAAGGAACAAAAGAAGCATGAGATCCATGGTGAGCCAGTTCCCCAAGGCTCAAGAAAGCTGCCCAGGCAGGATGGAATCTTGACTGCATGTGCCCCACTTGCAGCACAGCTGAGGACCCTGAAAGGCAGCCACCCTGGGTTGTATACCTCAGGGGCATGTAATTCACTGGGCTAAAGAACATCTTGCTCCCAGGGGAGAAAGGAACAAAGCCCAGACTGACCCATGAAGTTCCTGCCTAACTCAAGTGTTACATCCGCTAGGAAGGACACAAACAAGGCCTAGACTGTTTCAGGCAGCTCCTCCCTATCTCAGCTACTGCTTTCCCAGCACATTCTATAGTTATATATATAGAACTACAGAAACTACAAAAAGCGGGCAGAACTGAGTCAGTTCAAGGCCACCTAAAAAACTGTTCTTCAAAAGCAAGCTTGTTTAAGTTCCATAAGTTGCTTAGCACAAAAAATAAAGGATCATACAGAAATAAATGGTCCAGGGCCCTGGTGGGATTCCATGTAGCATGGAGTCTGGGCCTTAGCAGCTTAACTCCCTGCAAAAAAAAAAAAAAAAAAAAAAAAAAAAGAAAAGAAAAGGGAAGTATACCCTACTGGGGAATGGAAGTTTAGGGAAGCCATTCCAAAGGCCTCAAGTTCTGAGCCAGCCACAGAGACCATGGCCCAGGCGATGTGCCAGCATCAACAGGGCAATGACAGTGACACAGAGCAGCCAGGACTACGCTGGGCAGGGGATGCCTGGACTTCATGTCCGCAGGTGTACCCATAAAAGAGGAGTGACTGGGGCCATCTCACAGCTACCACCTGGAATCTTAAAAGCCCATGGAACTATGAGAGAGGACAATTGGTGGGAACAAGTAGGAAAAAAGATACATCTGCACCTCTAAGCTAGTGTCATCAGGAGACATCTGGTAAGTGGAGCATAAGAGATGGGAAAACACTAAATGAAAGCTACTGCTTTGGCCTAATTGGCCCAGACCTGTCCTCCTAACAATCAAATTTCATTTAGCCTGAATTATTTGGTCTCAAAGCCTTAATGACAGAACAAAGACCTGAATCGAGAAACACGCACATCCTCCACCCACCAGGTAGGGGTCAGTAGTCACTGAGACTATTTGTGTGTGGGAGTAATCACCGGACTCACAGGATGTTAATGACAATATTTAATGAGGTGCACTATTTCGCTCTAGCAGAGACTAGAAAGTATTTATAATTAGCAAAGTTCTAATGGATTTTATACTGCAATTGGTGCTTATGTGGGGAATAGCATATTTAGGGTCCATTTAGCATCATTATATTCCTTATGGCCTCTTTTGTGATCTTTACCCACCTAACCCAGGAGTAGGGTGATACGAACCTATTGAACTGTTTGTTATCTCTTGCTAAACATAATTGGCCTTGCATTAAAGACACAGCATGGAGTTACCTAACATCCAAGTCTATGGCCAAACCATCCCATTATTGTCTTAATGCAACTGTGGCTTCCCAAAATTCAGACAATGCACACAAACAAGAATATGTTAAAATCATATCTGCCATTCAAACTGACTTTCCAATTTGACCTGAGGATTATGATGGACATGTACATGTGTAGTAAATAGTCAGTTTCATTCGGGTAACCAAATATTTCTTTTCTTATAGGCCAATTCCTGAGTATAAATAAAAACTTCAATTGTGACTAAGATTTGCTTATCTTTTCATTGTTGATGTATTTGGTTCCACTTGTATCATTGAGGTTAATGAAAACATTTGGGATAGGAAACATTTTTAAATCTTGTAAAGTTTATTGGTCCAGTGCCTTTTAAAAAGTATTATCTAATACATTTTGTATCGGGTTAGTGATGAAATATTTTGGCATAAAGAACAAAAGGAATTTTTCCTAGGGCTCTTCTCATTTGCAAAATGAACTAAAAAATGAAACCCAATATTCTTCTTATCCCACAATCCTATTATGGGCTCAACAGGCCAATAAAAAGTATCCAGCTGGGTACATGGATTGGGGGTCCAACCTTTATTTATTCAGTTTGAATCTTTCCAAATAATCGCCTCAGTTCAATAATTTTCAACTCTTCTTTCATTTTGTCCCAGATAGATCCGGCCTAAATGACTGTTTTAGAAGAAAGTGGATATTCCACCAGTCAATCAAGAAATTTCCACAGAAGATAAAAGGCAAGCAGATTGAATATGGGAATTTACCCAATTCCAAGAGAATTTGTTGTGTCCTGCAATCATTTGGTTTTACATCTGTGTCCCATCTAGGAGCAGTCACCCAGTCATTTAACCAAATACCAAATCCTTAAATTGTCTGCAAATACACTGCGGTTCATTTGGGTAGATTTCTTTTTAAAGAAAGTCTATATATTATTATTAAAATAATAGCACATGTTTATTAGTAGACAATTTAGAAAGTATATTCAAACCAAAAAATAAAAGAAAATGAAATTATCCATATTTTCCTCCTACTTCTAAAATATGTTTTGTGACTCTTTTGTTCCATCATGTTCCCATCCTCACTCCCTCTGTATAGGTGGGTGTATGTGTGTGTGATGCTTATGGGTTGTGTGGGGTGTGTGTGTGTGTGTGTGTGTGTGTGTGGTATTGGGGGGCTGTCGAGGGGTGTGGGAGTGTCATGTCAAAACCCTATTAACCCTATTAAGGATTCAAGAGGCCAAAGAAGAGACCCAGAGCCAGCAAACAAGACATGGGGTTTTACTGGGGGCTTACACACAGAGGGGAGAGTCCAGTGGCACGTGCTGGACAGGAGAACTGCAATCGCTTGCAAATAGCATGCAGGTTATACAGCATTTTCACTTAACATCCTCCCCCTAACGACCTCCGCCCAGCAATCTTCATTTAACCCAAAACTCAGGGCCTCGAACCCCTGCATGGTGTGTAGGGGGTGTGTGGTGCACGTGTGTATACTCTAGAGATCCAAGTGTTGGAATTCATTGCCCACATTACTTGCTTTGCCACATGCACCTATGTAACTCCACCACTCTAAGATGATACCTGGTCTCAGGAAGTTTTGAGCTCAGAATCCTAAGTGTTGAGCTTAGGATCTTTGTTGCTCCTCATGCCCCAAAACTATTACTAAATTGCTTGCCTGGATTCTGGCCTCACCTTACTCCACATACTTTTAGTCGACATTTTGTTTTGTTTCCACCTGTTAGACCTGCTGGGCTTGTCTTATCCGAGGACACCTGGCCCTGCTGGGCCCTTTTGGTACCAGTCTCTTCCTCAGTTCCACCCTCTGCTCTGATCTCCAATCTCCAGTCCCCCTCTGCTTCCTGCCTACACTGTCTCGCACTCTACCTGGACGTCTTTTTCTCTTCCTGGATCTCCTGACATTGCTGTTTCCTTTGACAGAGGCTCCTAGGCATGCCTACCTAATCTCCAGATCCCAGCCTTGCTGGTCTATCACATCCCTCTACTAAAGAAACCCACTTCTGACTTGTGGTGTATGTAGACAGACCTTTAAGGACTCTGTTTACTCAGCAATTGAAGCCTAAGGAGATTTCTTACCACTTTCTTTTTTGGATCAGAATGATCTTTTTTGTAGAACAGTATTTTAAAGCAGCTACCTGCAATTTCAAGAATGGTAAACTTTAGCAATTGTAAAACAAGTATAACTTCCAGTCTTGGAAAGCAAACCACAGATCCACATAGCTTATAATGTCCGCCCAAAATAAGAAGGACTGCTGCATATTTTATAAGTTCAGGGAGTTGTGATATCCTCCTATGCCATTGAATGTTGTAAACAACATATTGGGCTTAGAAATAACTTTTCAATTTCCCGTAAGACTCTCTACCTCATCCTGGCTCTGCCCCTTCTGGTCCTACATTCTTACCTTGAATCCATGCCCCAACTTCTTTCCCAACTCTAGCACTGACAGTTACCATGATAGGAGAAGTTTGCAATTTTTTTAGGAAAATAAATAAATACATTAATGTAACCATCATTACTTGGAAGTTTTAATTGTTTTATGCTGGTTGGATATTACTACTTTTAACTCACAACATCCAGTTGTTGTGAAATATCTAATAAGTTCATAATTTCAGCTCTCAAGAGTTCTGATTTATTCCCTGATACATAACTCATCCACTCTGCTATCTTGTTCAGAGCACCAAAGCAGGAATTAGGCAACAGAGAACAAGACAGGAAACCTCTCGTTGAAACACAAAAAGCAAAGGTCCAGGTAGGCAGACAGGATTAGCTCCCATCCCTCTCCTCCCTTCTCCTGTTTAAGGAATTACTCCAGCAAGTCTCTTCCCTCTCTTACATCAAGTTTTCTGTTCCTAATGTATCATTTCCATCAATCTGCAACTTGAGACATCAAATAATGATTTTAGCTTCCCTTCTCCCTCAAACCACTCTCCACTTTCAAAACAAACACCCAGCAACCAACACACATACACACACACACAGACACACACACACACACACACTTCCAGAGAACAAAATATAAAACAAGTTGGGAAACTGCATTGGAGAAAAGAAGTAAAAATTATAATTAAGACACCCACACACCACTTCCTACTGCCACCCCAGAGACAGAATGGGTGCCTGAGAGAATTTCCCCAGAAGTGTGACAGTGATTTTGAGTGGAGGGAATTGCTGACCACTTCTCTGGCAGACCCAGCAGGATGCCTGATATGGCATGGACAAATGGTCAGCAGAGAGAAGGAGGAGGGAAATTAGGCAAGATAAGGCAAGCATCACCTCTGGTTTCATAAGCAGCCAAGTGTGGTGGAGTGGGGATTTCTAGTTTTTTCATGAACTTAAGAGTAGATATTTGAAGATACCTAGAGAGAAGATCCAGCTTGCTAACTAGCCTCAAAAGAGGCCAGCCAGAAGAATGAAGGTGTATTAGTCCGTTTTCACGCTGCTGATAAAGACATACCCAAGACTGGGCAATTTACAAAAGAAAGAGGTTTAATGGACTTACAGTTCCACATGGCTGGGGAAGCCTCACAATCACGGCTGAAGGCAAGGAGGAGTGAGTCACATCTTACATGGATGGCAGCAGGCAAAGAGAAAGAGCCTGTGTAGGCGAACTCCTCTTTTTAAAACCATCAGATCTCGAGACTTATTCATTATCACAAGAACAGCACAGGAAAGACTTGCCCCCATGATTCAATTACCTTCCACCGGGTCCCTCCCACAACATGTGGGAATTCAAGATGAGATTTGAGTGGAGACACACCCAAACCATATCAGAAGGGAACCACACTCTTGAAAATTGGAGAGCAGGGGAGGGGAAGCAGTGGTGCCTCCACAGGATCCCCTGCAGTACTCTGTAAAGAGCACCAGCCCAGACGCCAAAGATCATCCCATGTGACACACAAGAGAGCCAACACTGGAAGTCATCCATGCCTAGAGGCTCAACCATGGACATCAGTAGCTGGACTGCATTAGCATTCCAGTGGGAAACAAAAAATAAGGGAGTGAACCAACTTTTATGTTGCCAAACTGTACCCGGGCACATAAACGAACTCCCCGTCTGCCTTACACTGCCAGGGGATGGACCCTGAAGCTCAATGGGATAGCATCAGGACCATGAGTGGGGAAGAGAAGCCTCAGAGAGGGAGCTGTGAACTGTGATGTGAAGCAGATAGTAACCTGTCAATTTGACTGATGATTTACACAACAGAAAGTTTTTAAATGTAGTTGACTGAAATACATGGTCATGACAAGATTGTTTTCTGCTGCCCGGTGAAAATAGTGGCTTTAAAAAGAATTAAATTCTGTTAAATAAATATATATTTTTCCCATCTCACTTGTAATCACTTAACTGACTTCTGATGGCATATACGCCTAAAAGTCAGAAGGAAGAGAGCTCACCTATTGTGAAGAGGACTGAGACATTGAATAATGAATTGAATGAGATCACAGTGATGATGTCAGGCAGAGGATATTAGCCTGATGTTAAGACTAGTTTTCTAGGTCCAAAGTGAATCCAAAAACAGGTTTTTTTCTACCCAGGGAAGTGTACCTTCACACAGGAACACAGACTTACAGAACATGATATTAATGAAAAGGACAAGCAGAGTTTAACGCCTCCTCCCAACTTCTCAAATCCAGTGGGAAAGAAAAGGTGTACTTCTAGCCACAGAGAGGAGATCATTTCTTCTCAACATTCCAAGCAGGGTGTGGCCCACGCTGATGACTGAGGAGTCATGTTGGGGAATGGGTCCAGCTCAGTGGCCAGAGGGCCTTGAGAAACTGGCTTCTTTATCATCAGTCCAGCTCAGGGAAGTCCTTTCATCAGAAAAACCTAGGAGATGCAATGCAGCAGCATGGGTCAAATATTTGTCCCACTGTCTAATGCTCCTCAGAAAGACACCAGGAGGCCCCTCTTCAAATAAGGCAGCTGATTTTAGTCTTACTTATCGGGAATGTCCAGGCAAACGGCAAGTAGCCTAGACACACTGAGAAGCCAGCCTCCAAGCATAGCAGGGTGGTCAGGAAGACAGGAGCTGAAGTTTTTCAAGGACATGGGGTGGGTGGGGAGAAAGGAATGAACAAGCATTTTTAAATGCACAATTAAAAGCCAATTAGACCATTTTGCTTCAAAAATCAAAGTAGGGCCAGGCCTGGTGGCTCACGCCTGTAATCCCAGCACTTTGGGATGCCGAGGCAGGCAGATCACTTGAGGTCAGGAGTTCAAGACCAGCCTGACTCACATGGCAAAACCCCGTCTCTACTAAAAAATACAAAAATTAGCGAGGTGTGGTGGTGTATACTTGTAATCCTAGCTACTTGGGTGGCTGAGGCAGGAGAACTGCTTGAACCTGGGAGGCAGAGGTTGCAGTGAGCCAAGATCATGCCACTGCACTCAAGCCTGGGCAACAGAGTAAGACTCCGTCTCAAAAAAAAACAAAAAACAAAGTGCATTTTTAGGCAACTTGCACCAGCCAACTTTATATCTAAGGTCTGTAGGCTTCTGTTGCAAATGTATAGAGGATAGAAAAACCAAAGAAAGAAAAATCTCAATTCTAAGTGGAATTTGCTTGGACAGGCCTACCGTGAAGGAAGGCCAATCCACGGAGGACTGTCTAAGAGATCCCTCACCGAGCCTCCTTCACTGCCAATTTCTTAATACGTCTTTACTGCATACTACAAAACTCTATCATAGTTTCAGAGTGCCACTGAGGAAATGGAACTATTAGTGTCCATACATGTTTATATACAGAAATGAAATATTTTAAAATTTCTTCTAATTTAATTATAAAAATATTTCTGCCACTAACAGAACCCAGTGTACATTTAACCAAGCATGAGGTCTGAGCAAAGAAAAATAAGCTGTATAGATAGTGGCAAGTCAAACAAATATCTGCATAAATAATCTTTATATTTTTATTATTTGTATGGCTCCCCAATTACAATTACAAAAGAGTTGAGAGATAAGAAATCATTGAATTCTGTTTTAAAATAGCCTGGAATCTTAATCTCCACCGTAACCTGCCAAAATATTTAAGAAGATATTTAACTACACTCTCACTTGGCTTCATTTAATTTTTTATAAATGTGTTTACCATCATGATTATAACTTTGAAAATATTACCTTATAAATATTTTATCAACAAGAAGTTGTAGCACTCCCCCACCCACTGACTTTGAGAGAAAACAAAACTGTCTTTCTTGATTTGAGCGGAAGAAAATTTTCCATATATATCCACAAGTTTTGACAAATTTTGTCGTGAGTCATTCTGAATGGAAGCTTCTAAATTCCAGTGTGAGAGGCTTGCGAAGGACATCAGTTATTGAGCTTTCAGGATTGAAACTCTGCTGTTATTTTGTGATACCAATCTTGGTAATATAGAGATAATTCCGCTAATGTACTTGGAAGAGCTACAGTGAGATTGGATTCAAAGGATGTTTGTTAGAAATTAGATGTGTTTTCCTCCTATAGTTAATAGCTTTAAAAAGTAGTGATACTATCCTACTTCCTGACACACATGTAAAAGCATCAACGTCTTCTTTTATCTCAGTTTGCCTTTTAGCAGAAAATTACTTGAACTTCCAATGGTGTTAACTTATAGAAAAATGAGAAAGGGGCATTTTGACTTTCTTTAAAAGATAGTACCGGCCTCTGCCCTAGACCAAATCCTTTGAGCCTGATTTCAAAGACTAAGTAAATGATACATGAGCACACTGATAGCCTTATGGCTGCAAATCATTCTCTACCTCTAGAATCTAAAAAAAAAAAAAGAAGAGAGAAGATAATGGTTCAGAAGAAAAGCACAAGAATTTGGGGGAAGGGGAAGAGTGGCAATAAAAACGTATGCCTGTTGAAGGGTTTTTTTAAACCACTTCCTGAAATAACTGGCAAAATAAAGCCTCTAAATGTTTAAGCCAAATTAAATTGCTTACAAATGATCAGTAAAACATGGTTGCCATGGTTTCAAGTGCCCACAATGTGATGTATGGGCTAAATACTGCCTTGCAGCAAAAATGCTTGTGTATTAAGCATGAGCCACAAAAAAAAAAAAAAAAAAAAAAAAAAAACCTAATTATCGTGTTCTTAGGTGTTCAAAATCTTTCAAAAATAAAATAATGATTAATTATAATTTTTTAAGTGTCAGCTGATCTTACCTGTTAGTGTGACTGCCATCAGCCGTTCCTGCTCCAAGTCCTGAGGCTTATCTTTGCACTAAAACCCAAGCCCTCCCCAGATGTCTAGCAGAAAACTGAATGGCCTCTGATCATGATAAAGTCACAGACAGCCTCTGACCCTACAGGTATCCTAAATGCTCAATAAGAAAACCTTGATTTTCTAGGAAGTTGTTTAAAGCCATTTTCCCAAAAGAATCTGAAACTTCATCGTGGGTTCGGGTTTTGTTTTTGTTTTTGTTTAATTTCACCAAAGAAGACCCTTATTTTCTATTCCTTTACCCCTTATTTCCTCCATCACACTCCAATATGGAATTTTGTGGACTTAAAAATCAGTCCCTTGATCAGTGAATATTTATTGAGTAGTACTATTAGGCCAGATGTTATTTAGACATTAAGGTTACAAAGATAAATAAGATATAGCTTCTTTCCTCATAGAAGACATTGGTTAGTGAGTCTAATTTTTTAGACCAGTAATTTCTAATATATTGTGGTAAAGCAGTGGTAGAAATATGGGCAGCATGTTATTCACAGAAGAAAGAGCACAGAGGAGAGGCACAAACTTTAGCCTGGGAAATCCAAGAGAGCCAGGAATCTTCCTAGAGTTTACCCTTGACTTGTATGTCAGCCCATAGTAGGAATTAGCCAAGTGTAAGGGGAAGCTGAAGAGAATTCCAGTTGGAGGAAGAGCAGAGTCCCAACTCAGTATGTTCAAGGAATTATAATACCGTATGTCCCAATGTGGCATAATATGTCAGGTAAGAGGTGGCACAAGATGAAGTTGGAGAGATGGACAAAAATGAGGTCCTAGATTCTCATGATATGATTTTTATCCTAGACTCTTGTAGGATCCTAAATCCTATTGGTTCTGTTTCTCTGGAGAACCAGCCATGTTTAGGAATACAAGGTTAATGTGGAGTCATTGAAGGTTTTGGGTAGGAGAGTCATGTGGTCTGATTTGTCTTTCAGATAGATGACTTCGAAGGGCAAATTTGAAAGGGACAAGAGTGAAAACAAGGAAATCACCTAGGAGACTACGTGTGACTATTATTTTTATGTCAATTCGGCTGGGACACAGGATGCCCAGATATTTGGTCAAATATTATTCTGGGTGTTTCTGTGAAGGTGTTTTTGGATGAGACTGACATTGAAATTGGTGAATTTGAGTAAAGCAAATTGTCCACCATAATGTGGGTGAGCCTCATCCAAGCAGTGGAAGGCCTGAGTAGAAAAAGAAACCAACCCACCCCTGAGGAAGGAAGAGGTCTCCAGCTGACTGCCTTCAGACTCAGATTCATCTGCAGCATTGGTTCTTCCTGCCTGACATCCTTCCAGTGGGCAGCTGTGCTCTCCCAGGGTCTCCTGCACCACTGACCTGACCTGCAGATTTTGGACTTACCAGTCACTAAAAGACCATAAGTCAATTCTTTATAATTAATCAACTCATTGATTAATTGACTTTCTATTGGTTCTGTTTCTTGAAAAACCCTGAGTATTACACTGTGGGTCCCAAGACATAGATGATGAGGGCTCAAACTGGAGTAGTGATAATAAAGGTGGGGCTTAACATAATTTAACAAGAAAAATCAGCAATACTAGTGACTAAAGTGTGGGGAGGTGGGAGGAGGTGCTATGTACCCAAGTACTTTGCTAAGTGACAGTCTTTGACTCCTGTGCTATAGGACAGGTTTATGAAGCTGAAGAAACTCAGACTTTACTTCATTGCAAAATATGGTGCCTCTATGGTGCCTCTTTGACTCTAGCACAGGAGTCAAAGACCATCACTTAGCTAAGTGCCTGGGTGCATAGCTGTACCATCAACTAAGGCAGAGACCCTAGAGGAGGCAAAGTCCCAAGCAGAGTAATACAAGTCATGAGTTTGAGACATGTTGAGTTTGAGGTGCCCTGGGCAACAGAGTTGAATATATGAGTCCAGAGTTCAGAGAAGAGGATGGCTGGAAATGCAGATTTGGAGTTTCTCCTTTATCATTTAGAACTGTGCACATGATACTTAATACAAACACTCAGGAAAAGGATGAAGGAAGAGAAAAGCAATGAGCCAGAGGCAGAATTTTGGGAACCACTCAAGTTTAATCAGTGGGCAAAGAAAGTAGAAATGAAAGTAGGGCAAACAAAGTAGACCCCAGACAGCTTATCACAAAAGTTTAAGAACCGTGAAGAGTCAGATTGTACTCTACTTGCTGAAGACACAAGACAACTGGGTTGGAGACAAAGGGTTTTATTACTGACAACAGTAGCAGTAGCCTGAACGTCAGCATTTTCTTGCACAAGTTTCCCAAACACCAATTCCCACAGGGTGGTGCTTCATCACATCTCTTCCTTCCCCTTTAAAGAAATGGTTAAAGAAAGGAAAATGCTTGGTAGATTTGTGAGAAGTCATTACAGATAGTGGAGCTAAAAAAATTGGCCAAAGGGAATAAGCCCACTATAAGGTGACCAGAATTACTTCCCGTTATGGGCCAGAGGCATGACAATCACCAGGCTAAATGGATTTACTGTGTTTTTCAATCATCCACACAGACTACCACTGGACCTACATCATTGAGAATAAGCCAAGATCAAACCATTATGGGAAGACACCCTAGATTTAGTTACAGCAACACCAAGGAATGGTGAGAAATCCTAACAAGGGAAACAAATTACCATGGTTTTCCAACCCGCAGGACCCCCAAGCCACAAGTTCAGCAATATGTTCTCAGCACAGAGAAACAAAAGCAAACAAACATAGAATCAAATCTCTGCATTGAGGAAAACTAGTCATAAAGCTCTAAGCTCAGTGGCGCAAATCACTGTCGCATTGAGACCCGCCATAACCTCCTAGGTGAGTAGTTCTCTGGGAAAGTACTTACAAACTTGTCTGGGAATTTCAAGCATGTTTTAACCCCATAAGTTCCTTTAATTACTTGAGCATATGTGTTTTATGGCTCAGTGAGGGAGTTATAATCTCTGGACACAGGTTTATGAATTTGAAGAAACTCAAAAGACCTTATTTAATTGCAAAATATGGTGCCTCCATGGAGATCTAAACAGCCATTTTTAAAAGAGCACTTTTTTAAAAAACTGAAAGAGAAAGAATCAATTGCGGGTCATAAAAAATGTATATTTCCTATAATTACACATGTGTGTATTTTTTATTATATGAATTATATACTTTGTGTGACATCTACATGTCTTATTAAATGATATAGTCATTAAGACAACAAAATCACTCAAGTACCATTTATATCATATTTTCAATAGCCACATAAGAGATAAAAATGGTACAGTAATGTCTGGAAAGTAAAAACGTGTGGTATATAAAGAGATCATCATCCGTAGCTTCATAGCTCCTTTGAAAAAACTTAACCAGACATACAAATCAACGTTAACAGTAGTTTCTATCACCCAATACTTCAAATCTGATCTTTTTAAACTCATACAAGTCTTTCATGATCCTTTTATCCCCATACTTCATAATGGAGTTTGTCTCTCAAAACTCAGATCAGATTCTACTTGCCCTAATGTCACACCCCATTCACCACTCCCACCCTCACAGAGCTTGTCACTCTCTCCAGGATTGATTGTAAGTCTGTCTATTGTTGTTCTTACAATACTGAATGGTAATTTATTCACTCAAGCATTTGCCTCCCCAGTAGACTTTCCAGCAGGCTGGGACTCTGTCTTGTACATCTTTGAAGGGGATGGCAGAGCAAGTGCAGAATCTTTTCCAAACCTAATAAGGCCAGTAAAGAAATTCCAGTGAAAAAGAGCGCTGCCGCCTCCAAGTAAATTTTTAATGAATTGCTTCCTCCAACAGTCATAGCTCCCTCTGGTCCTGCCTCCTTTGAAATCCGTTTTTTATTGTTGTTGTTATTTGTTTGGGATTGAATATCGCCTAAAACAAACAAGTACTAGATGCTATAACTATATCCCAGGAGAAACAGATTAGAAATTCAGCAATATAATCGGCCACTTCAAAAATCTCACTCAGTGACACAGTCAGCTGAGAGTTCTGGGCCCAGAACTAGTAGCCAGTCTGGATCCCCAGAATCAGGTAGGGATGACCCCTTGTGTGTGTTTTAATGCAATTTTGGAGACTTTGAAAACATACTGCAAAACCTAACAATCCACAAAATCACAGCATGGAGGCTTCTGATAATCTGGAAGCAAAGACAGAAAGATCTTAGAAGTCATTTCTGTATTTGTTAATCAAGAAAATACAGAAATCAAGAAAATACAGAAGGTATTTGTTAATCAAGTTAATACAGAAAGAATTTATTAAGTTCTTACTATGTACCTAGCGATGTTCCTGGAGATTTTGTTTCTGTTATCAAGAGTAAAAGTCACAGTGCTTGTAAGTAACTGAGACTTAAAATGTGGAACAAAACCTCACATATAAAACTACAAAGTAACAGTAATAGGCAGTACATAATGAATGCTAAAATTGAATAGATTAGCATACTGTTTAGGATGACCACATGTCACAGTTAATCCAGAATTCTTCTGGTTTATGCCTTTGTTCCCGTTTGGATGATAAATTACATAAAGTCCGGTGTCATTTCAAAGAAAGGATTTTCCCTCCTTAGAGTAAAGGCATGTATTGTTAATTCTTTACTAGGATAGAAGGAGAATAGCCATCAATTTCTACCCTTGGAAATGACACCCAGTAATCATATATTAGAGGAATTTTTGATTTTTTTTGTTTTGTTTTGCTTTTCTGCTATTGTACTGTTAGATTTCAGTTATCAATGACGAATTATTTTGGTTTTGTGAATATAACCCAATCTTTTGAAGTAATTGGTAGCATCCTTGGTCAATATTTACATTTCTCACACTTATAAAAAGACAAAAATCTATTTTTGAGCCAAAGTGGAGAGAAGGAACAAGAGAATTTTACTATTTTTTTCTTTTCTGTAAGGTTTTAATTTTTCCATGTGAATATGCTATCTTTTGTATAATTTGAATATATGATTTTTAATTGTGACCATCTTTATAATAAAAATAATATTTAAAAAGCAAAGGCAGAATGAGGAATATAATTCATGCAAATGTTGACTCCCTGTTGACATCTCTCTTACATTAAAAAACAAACAAACAGACCAACAAAATACATAAAATTAGCTGAGTGTGGTGGTGGGCACCTGTAATCCCAGCTACTCTGGAGGCTGAGGCAGGAGAATCGCTTGAAACCGGGAGGCAGATCTTGCAGTGAGCCAAGATCGCACTATTGCACTCCAGCCTGGGCAACAAGAGTGAAACTCCATCTCAAAAAAAAAAAAAGAAAAAAGAAAGAAAAAAGTCTGTAAGAATGTCTGAAAAGCCTAACACACTTTGGCACAGGTTTTCAGAGTCCCTGACAAGCCTGTGTTCATAGCATGCCCAGTGCAACGTGTGCTGCTACAGAGGAATTGTTTTTATAGACTGTGTTTGTTTTGTTTTACATTCACTTTAAAAACCTAAGAAAAGCTGGGGGAAGGATTAAAGGTTCATAACAAATTTTACAAGCCTGGACAGTGAAGAAAAACCCCAGAGTGTTATGAGGTGTTAAATAAATTGAATTGACTAAACTTTCTGCCCCATTGTCATGATGGCCTTTACACATCTCACAATGTGGAGACTATTAGGTGTTAGCCTGGCTTAGGAAGATAAATTTTCAACTTCCAGACAGAAATGTTGATTTAGTGTATACTGTGTGAGCCACAGCATTCTTGTTCTAATCAATTCTGGCTTTAATATTTGCAAAAATGCATATGAGTAAAAAGAAAGACAGAAAAATGTTGGTTAAACTTATTCAAAATGCAAATATTTTCATTTTCTCCCTCATTATTGAAGTTTTCCTGCAGGTATAGTCATAAAAGGACCCCAAGGCTAAAATAGAATTGGTACAGCTATTTTAAACTATTAGCAAGAAGCCAGTCTTCTGGGACATTTTAGGTGCAGGCTCAAAATTGATGCACAATTTTAGTGCAAACGCATTTATCTATTCTGCTATATAAATTGGTTTGCCACAGGGGCTTTTCCTCTGTCCATTATGTAATCTTCTTATCGCTTTATCATATTATGCATTATGGAGAGGTCTACAGTAATAACTGAACAACAATTATTTTTCATGCGTGGGATCATTTTGATTCCATCCAAGCCAGTTTGTTAAAGACAAAATACCCTGACATTCTCATGGGATGTATCCTGAGACCTTTGAAAATCTGCAAATCTGTGAATACCACTGTAGAATAAAGTTTCCTTCTGACAAAAAACAAGAACAGAAAAGTTTAAGGAACTCAAAACTTCTACTGGTTTGGACCTGTTTCGCCTCCATTTCGATCACCAACATGTTTCTAGCCAATTTTTTTAGTATAAAAAATTAGTTTTTTAACTGATTCTTTGGAGTTACCTTGTTCATTAAAAAAAAAAAATAGAAATTGGCCGGTGGCTCACGCCTGTAATCCCAGCATTTTGGGAGGCCGAGGTGGACGGATCACGAGGTCAGGAGATCGAGACCATCCTGGCTAACATGGTGAAACCCCATCTCTACTAAAAATACAAAAAAAATTAGCCAGGAGTGGTGGCGGGCGCCTGTAGTCCCAGCTACTCAGGAGGCTGAGGCAGGAGAATGGAGTGAACCCGGGAGGCAGAGCTTGCAGTGAGCCAAAATCACGCCACGGCACTCCAGCCTGGGCGGCAGAGCAAGACTCTGTCTCAAAAAAAAAAAAAAAAAATACAAATCAATAAAGCAATCAAGTAAATACAAAATTGATTATTGCAGAAGGCCAATAAAATAGGCAAATTTTTGTTAGTTTGACTAAAGAAAATACAAATAATGTTAAGGTAGAATCAAGAAAGACAATATAATGATATCAACCTAAAACAATCAAAAAGGTCAAAATTTAGTTTAAAGAGAGTTTGTTCAAAGGCAAAGTTTGAGGAGGGCCTACCAAGAAATACAGATTCCAAAGAATGGAAGTCAGCGTTCCTAAGTGTAGAAGTTTGGGGTCATTTATATACAAAAAGTTTAAGAAAACAGAACAGTATTTCAATATCTTTTTACATAAAGCTTAATGCATAATTGCAACAATCTGATGAGTCAAGGTGGTCTAGGTATGAGACAGTGAAGGATTCAGTTAACCTATAACAAAGATCAGTGATTGAAAAGAGAGAAGATCTGGTCTCTGGCTGTCCCTAGTCACTCACAGAACAAGAACAACGAGGAAGAGAGTTCATCTATAAACTAAGAGGCAGAAGTTGTAAACATGCTACATGACTCAAGGGCTTAATTTCTCTCTTGGAATAATAAATTTACAGGGTCCTGAAATCTTATTTTCTTTTACAATGATGTATGTAAAGAATGTTATTTTCAATTTTAAGACAATGTGGTATAACTTTATACAAGTAAACTTGAAAATCTAGATAAAATAGAAAATATAGAAAAATTAAAATGAACAAAATTGACTTAAAAGACTAATTATTAAGCCTAAATTCATCTATAAATATAGAAATAGTAAAAAGTTGTGGGGGAAAAAAAAAACAGTGTGCCATAGTAAAGGTACTAGTCCAAGATAGTTTTGCAAGAAAGTATTATGAAATCCTCAAGGAGCAAATAACTTCTATGTCATATGAACCAAGTAGCGTTTTTTCAAATAATACAAGAATGGTCAGCATGAGGAAATCTACTGATGCTAATGGCTTTATTAAAAGATTACAGGGGGCTGGGCACAGTGGCTCATGCCTGTAATCCCAGCACTTTGTGAGGCTGATGCAGGCAGATCACTTGAGGTCAGGAGTTCCAGACCAGCCTGGCCAACATGGTGAAACCCCATCTCTACTAAAAATACACACATCTGTCAGGTATGGTGGCTCATGCTTGTAATCCCAGCTACTTGGGAGGCTGAGGCAGGAGAATCACTTGAACCCAGAGAAAGTATTTAATAAATGTACCATTAATTTTGAATTTTAAAAAATCTTATTAATAGAAGAATAGAAGAAAATTACTTAAATTTGATAAATTGCTTCTACCAGCAACCCTCAGGAAACTTCATACTTAATGATGAAAGCTAACATTCTCATTAAAGTTAGGAATAACTTTAATGCTATCATTAATACTCTTTCACATTGTTTCTGTTTAACCTGTCCAAGCTAAATGACTTGTTATGAGTCTTTGTTTTCAGCACTTAGTCATTTACACAGATACACAGTCTACATCATGAGGATCACAAGTAGAAAAATTAGAAAGATCAAACAAAAACCAGGTGCTGTGGCTCACGCCTGTAATCCCAGCACTTTGAGAGGCCGAAGCAGGTGGATCACCTGAGGTCGGGAGTTCGAGACCAGCCAGACCAACGTGGATAAACCCCATGTCTACTAAAAATACAAAATTAGCCAGGCATTGTGGCGCATGCCTGTAATCCCAGCTACTCAGGAGGCTGAGGGGAGAACTGCTTGAACCCGGGAGGCAACGGCTGCAGTGAGCTGAGATCACGCCACTGCACTCCAGCCTGGGCAACAAGAGTGAAACTCCATCTCAAAAAAAAAAGTTCAAACAACAAATGGATTTTTTAAAGAGATATTCAAAATGTAATATCCAAATCTTTTAAGGATTTTTGTTGTTGTTTTTATTATTATTATTATGATACTTTAAGTTCTAGGGTACATGTGCACAACGTGCAGGTTTGTTACATATGTATATATGTGCCATGTTGGTTTGCTGCACCCATCAACTCGTCATTTACATTAGGTATTTCTCCTAATGCTATCTCTCCCCCAGCACCTCACCCCCCGACAGGCCCCGTGTGTGATGTTCCCCGACCTGTGTCCACGTGTTCTTGTTGTTCAACTCCCACCTGTGAGTGAGAACATGCGGTATTTGGTTTTCTGTCCTTGTGATAGTTTGCTTAGAACGATGGTTTCCAGCTTCATCAGATTGGTTTTTTTGTAAGGCTGCCTAAGAAGCTCTGTCTACTCTAAATATAATTCTCTGCTGTAGTCATTTAGAAATTAAATAAAATACATTTTCTTACATACATTGCTTGATGGGAATATAAGTGCAATGACAATCAGTAGAGTAAAAAGCATGTTAATGCCTCAGGTTCCATAGCAGCTTGGTTAACTACGGCGTAAATTCATCTCTCCAGACCTAATTCAGGAGAAATGTCGTTACAGTAACTGAACAGATCGTAAGCTCCACAGGCGCCATGCTTTCCGCGGAACAGTTTTCATTGCTAACAGAGAATGCTGACTGCATTTATTTTAATAAAAGTCTGTGGCTTGTGTACAAGTAGAAGAGTATTTTTTCACTACATTAATTTTATATGTTTTAGAATCTAGACTAAAGGCTATAAATTAGAGGAAAGACGACTAGAATATCCTGGGTCTCTGTGACATAGCACCTTTGAAATAAGTATTACAAAAAGAAAGTACAGCAAAATAAATACGGTAATATTGGATTATAACCCAAAGTATAAGACAAACACCCATGAGTCAATGCTAGTATAAATAAGTGAGTGAATAAATAAATAGGGAGAGAAAAGATAAATCTACCATGCAGAAGAATTCCAAACAATTTGTATGGCTATTCCACCCTCAGGGAAGTGGAGCCTAACTCCCAACTTCAAGTGTAGGCTGCACATCGTGACTTCCAACAAGTACAGCAAGCAAACGGGGGAAAGAGTAACTTGACAGTGGAGAAACCTGATAAACACACCTAAGCGAGGTGCTCCTGGTAAACGTCAAGAGTGATAAGTCATGTGGATAGCATGCGCCCTTAATAGGATGTGATGAGACTGGCACTTTACCTCCTCAAAACCCATAATCCCAGCCTAATCATCAGAAAAACATCAGGCAAATCTCAGTTGAGGGGCATTCTACAAAATGCCTGACCAGTACTCCTTGAAATTGTCAGGGTCATCAAAAACAAGGAAAGTTTGTGAAACTGTCATAATCAGGAGGAGCCTAAGGAGTTGTGATGTCTAAGTGTAATGTGGTCTCCTGGATGGGAAACTGGAGCAGAAAAAGGACTTTAGGTAAAAACTCAGGAAATGTGAATAAAGCATGGACTTTAGTTCATAATGATGTATCCATACTGGTTCCTATATTGTGACAAACATGCTATACTAATGTAAAATGTTGATAATAGGGCAAACTGGGCATGGACTAATGAGAACTCTGTACTGTCTTCACACTGTTTTGTAAATCTGAAACTATTCCACAATTAAAATGTATTTAAAGATAACAAAAAGGAAATACAGATAAATGAGCTGATGTATTTTTTTTTTGTTTTTTGTTTTCTGTTTTTGAGATGCAGTCTCACTGTTTTGCCCAGGCTGGAGTGCAGTGTCATGATCTCAGCTCACTGCAACCTCCACCTCCTAGGTTCAAGCAATTCTCCTGCCTCAGCCTCCTGAGTAGCTGTGATTACAGGCACGCACCACCATGCCCGGCTAAGTTTTATATTTTTAGTAGAGACAGAGTTTCACCATGTTGGCCAAGCTGGTCTGGAACTCCTAACCTCAAGTGGTCCACCTGCCTCAGCCTCCCAAAGTGCTGTGATTACAGGCATGAGCCACTGTGCCGGGCCTGAACTGACGTTATTTCTGCAATGCTACTCAGCAAACAAAGTGATAAAGTAGAGCCTTGACACTTACAAATTTAATAGTCATTGGATACCTTGATTAATAAATTAGCTGGGCAAATAATTTTAAATTGGAGATCATTTTCTATTATAATTTTGAAGACATTTCTCCATTATCTTAGAGTTTCCAGCATTGCTGTTGCAATATTGATGCCATTCTAACTTTGAATTCTTTTTTATCTCTCTTTGTAAAAAAAACATAAAATAAAATTGGTAGAGTTCCCTTATTGTCCCTGGTGTCCTGAGATTTCATCATGCTGCACCATTGTGCAGTGAATGAGGTGGACCCTTCAACCAAGAAATTCATGTGCTTCAGTTCTGCAT
Source organism: Homo sapiens (assembly GCF_000001405.40). Taxonomy (NCBI): domain Eukaryota; kingdom Metazoa; phylum Chordata; class Mammalia; order Primates; family Hominidae; genus Homo; species Homo sapiens. The sequence continues at coordinate 151,212,229 of NC_000002.12, forward strand.
AATTTTTGTAATTATTTTGTTGATGAATTCCTCTCCTCTATTTTATCTGTTTTCTCTTTGTAAAATTCCTATTATTTTGGATTTTAGGTTTCCTGACGTTGTGCTCTAATTTTCTTATCTTTTTTCTCTCATTTTTCATCCTTTTTCTCTTTTTTCCACTTTCTGAGAAATTATTCAGCTTTACATTTCAACCATTCTTTCAGGTTTTCCCAACAACTCTTTGTTTTTGTTTTTACTGATCTTTTTGTTACAATTATTCTATTCTTGCTTCCTGTATGGAATCTCCTATTCTCTGAGGTTTTGTTTTGTTTTTGTTTTTGTTTTCAGATAGAGTCCCTTCTGTTGCCCAGGCTGGAGTACAGTGGCGCGATCTCGGCTCTCTGCAACCTCCACTGCCCGGGTTCAAGCGATTCTCCTGCCTCAGCCTCACAAGTAGCTAGGAATACAGGCACACGCCACCATGCCCAGCTAATTTTTGTGTTTTTAGTAGAGACGCGGTTTCGCCATGTTGGCCAAGCTGGTCTTGAACTCCTGACCTCAGGTAATCTGCCTGCCTCAGCCTCCCAAAATGCTGGGATTACAGGCATGAGCCACCATGACCGGCCTTCTCTGAGGTTTTAAGTGATAGTTTTTGTAAAGTTATCTTATCCCTGAGTTGTTTGGTGTTTTATGTTGTTTACTACATACAAGAAGCTTTGCTCTGATGCCTGATAATTGCAGATTGTCTGTACATACTTAAGAGTGAAGCTTTACAAGTCGATTAAAACCTGGAATATTTTATATTAAATAAAAAAGGAAATCTTGTCACATGCTATACAACAAGGATGCAACTTGAGGACATTATGCTAAGTGAAATAAGCCAGTCACAGAAGGGCAAATATTGTATGAGTCCACTTATGCAAGAGATCTGAAGTGGTCAAACTCATAGAAACAGAAGTGTGGTGGTTTCCAGGGAAGAGGGGGAAATGGGAGTTGTTCAATAAGCATACAGTTTCAGGTTTGCAGGATGAAAATGTTCTGGAGATCTGTCACACAGCAATGTGAATATTCTGAAATACTTACTGAACTCTACACTTAAAAATGGTTAAGATGAAAAATTTCATGTGTTTTTTTACCACAATTAAATTTGTTTACATTTATTAAAAAGTTGATTAGAAGTTTTGAGCACAAAGGTGGGGCTGTTTTGCCATGGGCTCCAGTTCCAAGCGATGAGGACAGCTATTTCCCTAAGGAATCCCTAGCGTTAATGTCATTAGGTCTCTCCTCTTGGAAAGCCATGGGCTGCTGAGATTCCCCAGAGAATGATCATCCGAATTCCTCTCCTATAGGGTATGGGACTGGCTGCTGGCTTTCTGTGAGGTTTGTAGGGAAAGACAGTGATTCAGTGATTTCAGAATTGAGTATACAAATTTTACCTTCTTCCCTGCCTTCAGTATGGGCCCCTGTCCTCAATTGTGCTTGGAATCCTTTCTACGTTACCCCTTCCATGTTACATTTCCTGGGAATATAGCTTCAATCTTCTTCCATGATGATGGAAGAGCAAGCCGTCATACAACTCTGTAGAATCGGGACGCAGGCCTAGGGAGCTTAACTGCTTCTGAAAGAAATCAGACTACTTTCTTTGCACTTACAGAGGTATCCGCTCTAATTAAGCCTTAGGGATTCAACTCAGTGTAAATCAATTTGTTTCTCAACTTTCTCCACTGCTTAGTGAGGATTCAGTCATGTCAGATCTGCTTAATCAATTACCACTTTCCCATCTACTTATCAATTTTCAAAATTTTATTCATTTTCTCTCCCATTCTCTTGTCCTCAAGTGTTTATGCCTTAAAAAAAAAAAAAAAAAAAAAGTTTAGGCCGGGCGCAGGGGCTCATGCCTGTAATCCCAGCACTTTGGGAGGTTGAGGCAGGTGGTTCATTTGAGGTCAGGAGTTTGCGACCAGCCTGGCCAACATGGAGAAACCCTGCCTCTACTAAAAACACAAAAACAATTAGCTGAGCCTGGTGGTACACGCCTATAATCTTAGCTACTTGGGAGGCTGGTGGGAGGCAGGTGGGAGGACCGCTTAAACCTGGGAGGTGAAGGTTGCAGTAAGCCAAGATTGCACCACTGTACTCCAGCCTGGGTGACAGAGCAAGACTCCGTCTCAAAAAAAAAAAAAGTTTAGATTAGAGGGGCTTAGGGTTCGACAAGAGGGTGATAGCTATTGCCTATATTCATCCACCATCTTTACCCAGAAAAGTTGGCTTGTTTTCTATAATTTCAGACTTAATAACTAATTTCTTGGTTGGAGGTGATGTAGTGGAAAGTATCAGAAATTTAGAATCAGTCAACGTGAGCCAGATTCTGGATCTGCCATTTTCTTGTGTGACCACAAGTTAACTAGCTTCTCATATCAGTTTCTCTGTTTATAAAATGAAGATGTTAACACATAGGCTTCTTCTGAGGATAAAGTGAAAAAAACATATGAAAGTCATATGTAAAATAACATATGTAAATCTCATGTAAAACTTAATGCTTGCTTAATAAATACTCTTCTTTCCGTTCCAATATTAGTTGTTCAATTTACCTTCCACTAGCAACTGTAACATTCTGGTAATAACCTCATTCTGGGCTCAGTTTCTACAATATTATTCAAATCACACTAGCCATCCTCTACTGGCTGTACTTGCCACCTTGAGATCTGCTGTCCGATTACGACATTCAGTCTCAATTGGGTGCTGTGTCATTTTGTTGGAATAAGTGCAAATTTTAAATTTTAAAAAAATTCAAAAATGAATGCATTACTTTTGAGTCATTTAATCAAATCTACTTTTACCTTACTATTGATATTTCCAAAATTTCCCTTAAAAAGTAAAATGGACTTTGGTTAGATATCAAGATCTGGACAATTGTGTAGAACTTTAACCATCTGAGCCCAGAGTTTTGTTCATACCCTTGGAGATGCAAAGCAGCTGGTTACTGTCCTCATGTTATTACATTTTCTCCTAACCCACTCAGTGATAACATACCAAACCATCTGCAGCAAAAACATGCCAAGGTTTTACAACAAACTGGGCACTAAGCATTGCTCCATATAGACCATCAAGAAATTCACAAATCAGTGGCTTAAAGACTTTATTAAATTTACAAATATTTCTTGAGTACCTACTATGTTCCACTAATTGTCATAGGTATTTGGGATACACGAGTCAAAGAAACACATTTAAATCAAGAATCCTTGCATTCATAGAGCTTATATTTTAGTGAAAGAGATAGACAATAAACACAATAAGTAAGTTATAAAGTGTGTGTTTTTTAAATAGAGCAGGGAAAGAGGATCAGAACTGCTAGAAGAGGTATTGCAATTAAAATAGACAAGATTTCTTATGTACTCCAGAGATCACCACTAAATCAGTGATAGTTGTTTGGTCACAAGTAACAAACAACTTTAAACAGAACATGAATATATTAGGTAGATATCAGGGGACATACAAAATTGATAGCAATACCAGAGAAACAAGTCGAAAAAAGGTTAGGAATCAGGGTAGCTCCAAAGCAAGTGGAATTAATCAACATTCTCCACACCTACCATCACTGGAACGAATAATCTCCTAGCATCTCGTACCCTTTCTGCATTGCTCCAATCAAGACTGGAAGTTCCAGGAGCATCTGATTAACCAAGCTGGAGTCACTTGCCTGCTTAGTGGGTAGACAATCCCAAAAAGAAAATTTCCAGAGGGAGAGTTAATTCTTCAAAAGGAAATTAGTGTGTGTGCCAAAGTAAGGGAAATGGGTGATGGGCAACCAAAACAGTACATGTTCACTATTGCAAGTGCCAGCTCCAGAAAATCTACATAGAAGGGGTGTAGAGAAGCAATCTGATTGAAAAGAGGCAGTAGGGTACGGTTCTTAATCTGCATTTTGATAGCAATCACACTGTTTTGACTTAGATTGTTTATTTATGTTGGTAGTTTTGAAGAGTTGCTTAAGATTATTGAGCCGGGTGCAGTGGCTCATACCTGTAATCCCAGCACTTTGGGAGGCCAAGGCAGGTGGAAAACTGGAGGTCAGGAGTTCGAGACCAGCCTGGCCAACATGGTGAAACCCCACCTCTAATAAAAATACAAAATTTAGCCGGGCGTGGTGGTGCACGCCTGTAATCCCAGCTGTTCGGGAGGCTGAGGCAGGAGAATCACTTGAACCTGGGAGGCAGAGGTTGCAGTGAGCTGAGATCATGCCATTGCACTCCAGCCTGCGCAACAAGTGAAACTGGGTCTCAAAAAAAGAGATTATTAGCTAGATTAAGCCTCTACAAGCGGTGCCTGGGGCCCTCTACTGATCACAGCCCCAGAGACACCTTCTGACTGCTATTGCAGCTTGACTGAACTTATTCTAGAATCCCCAGTAGGATGAACCAGAAGAGACCACCATGTGGACTTTAGTACACTACAATGTTCTTTTAGTTCACTACAATGGCCTTTAGTAGTGAACAACAAAGCGCATCCTAGACTAAATTAAACAGTCATCAGCCCATTGGACTACTCTTTGTGTATGTTTAATTATCCAGGGAAGAATATTTCACCACTTTTCAAAAGGGGATTTGGAACATATGCTGCTATAGGAACAGTAGCATAGATTTGAATCCCCCCAAATCGTCACATGAAAACAGACAAAACAAATATACAGCAAAACCAAAAGCCACAGACAATAGTTACAACAAAACTAAGTCTTTTCTCTGATCATATTGGCAGTGGTTGTATTAGTATTAGTATTCTGAGATGATTCTGTGTATAATAAAGCAAATTAGTAATGCTAGAATATTCTAATTTTCTCATCCCTCATGTTGTTATCAGTGGAAAGTATCCATACGGGGCTGCAGCAACCTCAATTCTTGGCTTCTCAGAACAAAGAATTCACCTGAGGGACATAAGGCAGAAGGAGAGACTGAGGCAAGTTTTACATCAAGAGTGAAAGTGTATTAAAAAGCTTTAGAACAGGAATGAAAGGAAATAAAATACACTTAGAAGACGGCCAAGTGGGCAACTTGAGAGATCAAGTGCGCAGTTTGACCTTTTGACTTGGTGTTTTATACACTGGCATAGTTCCGGGGTCTTGTGTTACTTCTCCCCTGATTCTTCCCTTGGGGTAGACTCTCTGCATGCTCATGCTTGAACCCACTTGCCCAAATCCTGACATATTATTGGGAAGCGGCTGATCACCAGTTTCAGGTGTTTCCTATCTATTGGAAGACTGCTTTTCCCCGGCACCAGCTATGACCAATTGTTATTTAGACAGTGAACATCAGCCTGATCGTCACCAGATGGTCACCTGACACTCAGGGTGTGGTGGGGGAGGGGAGCCCTCTCCTGCTTGCTTATACCAGACTAGCTACCCACTGTAACAACACCCTTAACAACCATGATTTCCAGGGCTGAAGAAGACATAGATTTAATAGATGAGAATGTTAAGTAAAAATCTTGCATTCCTGAATTTGAATTGGCAGTATCACTATGAACTCATGGGGTTTTCATCTTTAAATATGTATGTATACACTGAACTATGCATTATATATATACACATTATATATATATATTTAAATGTAATATATGTATATGTGCGTATGTATATGAATATATATGTTTAATTTTTTAGCTCTGTCAACTGAAAAGTGCTAGAAACAATGACCAACCCAGTAGCAATGAGCACTCCTAACACATAGTCTGTGTCTTGTAAAATCAACCTAGACTTGATCTATTTGATCATGATAAGCAGTTGCAAATTTTATTTGCTGATATTTTATTTAGTGTATGTGTTCATAATTTTTTTTTCCTTAGACAGGTCTCTGTCATTCAGGCTGGATAAATAAAACTTTATGTTTTATTTACATATGGGTAAGATATTTCCCATAAGGGAAATCAAGATTTCTTGAGGAAATAACTAATTCCAATGTTAGAGCAAGAAATGTACAGATGAATCAGGAAAATTTGTAATGCCAGGTAATAAGCTATCAATGACTGCTGGTATCCTGTCAAAAGAACCTGGAAGACAGCTTGAAGAAGCCCCTGCTAGCAAAAAAGAGAGTGCTTAATAGGCATTGAGTGAGTAAATACGCCAAGTTTTCATATTGATATGGATATGATTCTGGACTTTTTTTCCAAAGGTTTACCTATCTCTATACTAATAATACCTGTTTTGATTTGATATTTAATAGTGTTTTTAAAATACTAACTCTTGATATCTGGTAACAGGACTACTGTACTTGTTCTTCAAAATTTCCTTGGCTCAGGATCCCAAGTTTTATGGAAAAAAAACTCTACTGTTAGTATCTTTTGAATTCCATTGTTTATAAATTAATTTAGGAACAGTTGCCATATGGCACTGGGTAACCTCATTCATAAACTGAGAGTCTTCTCATTTACTTAGATTTTCCTTCGTACTTTTCAATAAAGTTGTATAATTTTAGAAGTAAGTTCTTGCATATCTTATATTAAATTTATTCCTGGGTTCCTTATAATTTTTCTGCCATTATATACAAGATTTCTATTCTAATTACCTTTTCTAATTGCATTTTGTCTCTGAATAAAATGTCATTGACTGTTTTGTAATTATATTGTATCTAGTAACTGATTGAATTTTCTTATTAGTTCCAATTCTCTTGGATTGTCTACATAGACAATCATATCATCTATGAATCACAACCATTTTGTTTCTTGATTTCTAGCCCTTATACCTGTTTTTTTTTGTTATAGCATACAATTGCAAGAGTCTCAGTATGTTTATATAGCACTCATTGTTGTCATATTACATAAATTAATGGCAATGTCTGTGTCATGAATTTTTCCAATGACTTTATGTTTTATTTACATAGGGGTAAGATATTGTATGAAATGTATATATAACCAGATTTAGGGAGAGTTTAAGATGGAATGCTCTAAAATATAAGCAGTCTGTCTTTGTCAAAATGTCAAAACCAAACATCTAGCACTGATATCTGGAAGTGCTTGAATGAACTGGTTGACACATAAGAATAAACTATTTGTAGATCACAGCTTTTCTGACATGAACTGCATTTTATCATTCAGTATAAAAGTTTTCAAATACAGAGTTCTATGGGAAACAAAAGAGAACATTTACCAGTCATTCTAAATAAAACCTCAAAAGACAACATGTCTGCTGAGCAGAGTGCAGTCTGTATTATTTTCAAATGTATCACCACTAAGTATGATCCTTGCTGTGGGTTTGACAGATATGCTTTTTCAGCTTAAGGAAGAGTTCCTGGTTTGCAGTTACATTTAGTGTAAAGTTAATATCTTTTATTCCTGAAGTAAAATCAACCTAGGTATGATCTATTTGATCATGATAGGCAGTTGCAAATTTTATTTGCTGATATTTTATTTAGTATATGTGTTCATAATTTTTTTTTTCTGAGACAGGTCTCTCTCTGTCATTCAGGCTGGAGTGCAGTGGCACCATCATGGTTCACTGCAGACTAGACCTCCTGGGCTCAAGTGATCCTCCCTCCTCAGCCCCCCAAGTAGCTGGGACTACAGACGCACACTACCACACCTGGCTAGATATTTTTTATTATTTTTAGTAGAAATGAGGTCTCACTATGTTACCCAGGCTAATCTCGAAGTCCTGAGCTGAAGCAATCCTCCCACCTTAGCCCCTCAAAGTGCTGGGATTACAGGCATGAGCCACCATGCCCAGCTCATAATTTTTTTATATAGTTATTGTACATTTTGGTTTTTTACCAAAATTATATAGGTATCATAAAATGAGTTTGGGAATAGAAAATTCCTTTTTATTTATTACAGTAATCTGTATCCAGTCAGCCCTCCATATCCAGGGATTATGCAAACACAGATTCAAGCAACTTCTAAGAGAAAATATTTGAAAAATAATTTGGCAATAAAAATAACACAAATTTTTAAACAATGCAGTATAACAACTGTTTGCATAGCATTTACATTGAATTAGCTAATATCCGTAATGTAGAGATGATTTAATGTATACGGGAGGATGTGCATAGGTTATATGCAAATACTATGCCATTTTACGAAAGAGACTTGAGTATTTGTGGATTTTGGTATCCTTGAGGGTCCTGGAACCAATCGCCTGCAGATACTGAGTGACAACTATATAGTTAATCTGTTTCTTGCCGGTTGTTGGAATTCACCCTTAAATCTTCTGGGCTTTTTCATGTGAGATGATTTTACTTTATTCATTGTTGTTAATGAATCCTGGTCTGTTCCAGTATGCTATTTCTTCTTTAATCCAATTTGAAACCTTTTTTTAAGAAAATTATTCCTTTAACATAAGGTTTAAAATGCATTGGTGGAAAGTTGTTCATGATAATCTCTTGTACTTGCTTAAATCTCTCCAGCATCAGTAGTTATGGCTCCCCTTTCCCACACACAATATTGTTTTGTTCTCCATTCTCACTTCTTAGTAACATGAGCCACTTCATAGTTCTTAGCGAAGTTATGGGAGAATTAAATTATTTGAATCTTTCTCTGAAAATGTCTTTATTTCACCCTCTCTCTTCAATGAAAGTTTAGCTTCAAATAGAATTCTAGGTAGGTAGCTCAGCACTTCAAATATATTGTTTCACTGTCTTTTGGCCTCTATTTCTGCTGATGTGAAATGTGTTGTCAATCTACCCATTGTTTTTTTGTAAGTAATCTTTTTTTTTCAGGTTGCTTTGTGGATTTTTCACTTTGTCTTTTGCAATGTGCAATTTTACAATGATGTGTCTAGATGAAAGAGAGAAATTCAAAAATAGGGAAAATGGAGGAGCTGTGTTCAACTAAAACAATGGCAGGAAAAATTCCAAAACTGGTAAAAGATGTGTCTCCTTAGATTGGAGAAATGTAACAACATCCCAAACAGAATAATTACAAATACATCTATTACATGGAATATCCAAAAATATGTATCCAAAAATATATATTCTGTAAACAGAAATAACAAGAGAATTTAGCAAAGTCACTAGATGCAAGATCAATATTTAAAAATCAATTGTCTATCTTTATGAGCAATAAACTTTTTAAAAATATCATTTATAGGTCAGGCGAGGTGGCATATCTTTATCAGCAATAAATTTTTTAAAAATATAACTTATAGGCCAGGTGAGGTGGTTCACACCTGTAATCCCAGCACGTTGGGAGGCCAAGACAGAAGGATCACTTGAGTGCAGGAGTTCAAGACCAGCCTGGGCAACAAAGTGAGACTCTGTCTCTACAAAAAAAATAAAAAATTAGCTGGGTGTGGTGGCACATACCTGTGGTTCCAGCTACACAGAAGGCCGAGGCAGGAAAATTGCTTGAGCCCAGGAGGTCAAGGCTGCAGTGAGCCATGTTTGCACCACTGCACTCCATCCTGGGTGACAAAACAAGACCCTGTCTCAGGAAAAAAAAAAACTGGCAGTATTAAGTATTGGTGAGGATGTGAATAACTGGTACTCTCATATGCTGCTGATGAGAGTGTAAATTTGTACAATCAATTGTAAAACTATTGACAGTATTTAATAAAGCTAAACACACCCCTTCCCTATGGCCCAATAGTTCCTCTCATAGGATATATCCACAAGAAATGAGTGTATATGTGCACCAAAAGTCATGTACAAGCATGCTCATAGCAGCTTTATTCATAATAGCAAATATAGGACATAACTTAAATATCCATGAACAATAGAATATATAAATAAATTATGATATATTCTTACAATGGAATACTACTCAGCTTGAAAAATAATAAACTACAGCTACAAACAACATGAATAATTCTGACAGACAAAATGTTGAAAGAGGACAAACACAATGGATTATATGTGTATGATTCCACTTTTTTTATTTCAATAGTTTGGGGGAACAAAACTATTTGCTTTGCTTTTTGGTTACATGGATAAGGTTTGTTTTGTTCTTTGAGATGGAGTTTTGCTCTTGTTGCCCAGGCTGGAGTGCAATGGCACAATCTCGGCTCACCGCAACCTCCACCTCCCGGGTTCAAGCAATTATCCTGCCTCAGCCTCCCAAGTAGCTGGGATTACAGGCATGCGCCACCACCCCCAGCTAATTTTTTTTTTTTTTTTTTTTTAGTAGAGATGGGGTTTCTCCATGTTGGTCAGACTGGTCTCGAACTCCCGACCTCAGGTGATCTGCCCACCTTGGCCTCCCAAAGTGCTGGGATTACAGGTGTGAGCCCACGCCTGGCCATACATGGATAAGTTCTTTAGCAGTCATTACTGAGATTTTGGTGCACTCATCACCTGAGCAGTGTACACTGTAGCCAGTGTGTAGTCTTTTATCTCTTGCACCCTGCTCCCCTTCCCCCCGCATCCCCAAAGTCCATTGTATCATTCTTATGCCTTCGTGTCTTCATAGCTTAGCTCCTACTTATAAATGAGAACATATGATATTTGGTTTTCCATTCCTGAGTTACTTCACTCACAGTAATGGTCTCCAACTCCACCCAGGTTGCTGTGAATGCCATTATTTCATTCCTTTTTATGGCTAAGTAGTATTCCATGGTGTATACATATATATATGCGTATATATATATGTGTGTGTGTGTGTGTATATATATATATATATATATATATGATTCCACTTTTTGAAGTTCAAAAACTTGTAAAAGTGATCTATGAAGTTGGAAACTTGAATAATGATTACCTATAGGACAATGATTGCAAGAGAGGCTTCTGCGGTGATGGTGATGTCCCATATCTTATTCTAGCGGTAAACAGGTGTGATGGTTAATATTGTGTCAACTTGATTGGATTAAAGGATGCAAAGTATTGTTTCTGTGTGTATCTGGGTCTTTCTGGGTGTTGCCAGAAGAGATTAACATTTGAGTCAGTGGACTGTGAGAGAAAGACCCACCCTCAGGAAGACCCACCCACAATGTGAGTAGGCACCATCCAATCGGCTGCCAGTGTGGCTAGGAAAAGCAGGCAGAAGAAGGTGGAAGAAGCTGACTTGCTGAGTCTTCTGGCCTTCATCTTTCTCCCGTGCTGCATACTCCCTGCCCTCGAACATCAGACTCCAAGTTCTTCAGCTTTCAAACTCTTGGACTTACACCTGTGGTTTGCCAGGGGCTCTCAGGCCTCCAGCCACAGACTGAAGGCTACGCTGTTGGCTTCCCTACTTTTGAGGTTTTGGGACTTGGACTGAGCCACTACTGGCTTCTTTGCTCCTCAGCTTGCAGATGGCCTATCATGGGACCTTACCTTGTGATCGTGTAAGTCATTATATATGAAGAGGAGTTTATGTATATATATTTAAATACATATATCCTATTAGTTCTGTCCCTCTAGAGAACCCTGACTAATACAACAGGTATTTTTTTTTTAATTTGATTGAACACACATAAGATTAGTGTACTACTAAGTTATACCTCAATTTTTTTTTAATTTACACAATGACATATATCCACACGTAGTCATATTGTATTTCAATTTATTTTTTCTTTGAGATAGTGTCTCGCTCTGTGGCCCAGACTAGAGGGCAGTGGCACCATCTCAGCTCACTGCAACCTCCGCCTCTCGGGTTCAAGCGATTCTCGTGCCTCAGACTCTTGAGTACCTGGGATTACAGGTGCGTGCCACCACGCTCAGCTAATTTTTGTATTTTTAGTAGAGGTGGGGTTTCTCCATGTTGCCCAGGCTGGTGTCAAACTCCTGACCTCAGGTGATTTGCCTGCCTCAGCCTCCCAAAGTGCTGGGATTACAGGTGTGAGCCACGGCGCCTGGCCTGTATTTCAATTTCTATTCTTTTAGCATTAACTTTAAATTTTTAACATGCATACTTAGCCAAATATCTGAAGTTAGTCAGTATTTCTATAATATTCCTGAATGATTTAAAAAAATTAGGACACTTTAATTTCAATCATTCCCTCCCATCTTCCATTTATCATTTTTCAGTATTTTAGCTTCACCCTATTTTTTTTAAGTACCACCATCTACATTCCCTCAAAAAATCAATCTTTTTTTATTGTGGAGTTCTTTGATCATCAGTTTATTTAGATTTAACCAGGTTTACAATTTATTTGTTTTCCTTGCACCTTATATCTCACTCCTTCCTTCTGAGCTTATTTGCATTTTTAGTGAAATATATCATGTGTCATTTGTGTTTGTGCAAACTTGTTTTCACATTATTTCTGTAAAACACACTGGAAATTTCACTTAGCTGAAGTCAGCTTTTATTTTTAGTTTTTTGGATAAGTGGTTCTTACACTAGGTGAATAGTGCACATTCGGATTTCACATCCACACAGGGGTTTTCTTTTTTTTCTTTTTGTGAGACAGAATCTCACTCTGTTGCCCAGGCTGGAGTACAGTTGGTGAGATCTTGGCTCACTGCAACCTATGCCTCCCAGGTTCAAGCAATTCTTGTGTCTCAGTCTCCTGAGTAGCTGGGATTACACGTGTGCACCACCAAACCCAGCTAATTTTTGTATTTTTAGTAGAGATGGGGTTTACCATACTGGCCAGGTTGGTCTCGAACTCCTGGCCTCAAGCAATCCATCAGCCTCAAGCAATCCACCCTCCTCAGCCTCCCAAATGCTGGGATTACAGGCATGCACCACCACATCCAGCCAGGGAGTTTATTTTCTAATAGGGATTTTTTTTTCCATTTAGGCAAAAGAAAACATTCTTGTGATTTATCTCAGCTAGTTGGTACAATTCTAGTATCCATTCTGTTATGGAGAGGGAAGACTTCCTGGATCTTAAGCTTTGTAGAAGTCTTGGTTCCAGCAGACTCCACTTTGCCTCCATCTCTTGCCTTTATACGGAGGTTAAAACCCAACCTCTGACAATTAGGATTCATGTCTGCATCAGATATAGAGCTCCAGATGGTGATGCCATTCCCCTAAAAACTTATACTTGAGGCTTTCAGTCTCTCCTTATTTCTGGTTGTTTTAAAATATTTTTTCCAGTATATTAAAGTTTTTGTAGCAGATGGGTAATCTCGTTAGCTCAATTTACTATTTTCTAATCCCAGAAATCCTCTCTAGGTTTTTTCCAGATATGATACTTGTATTATTTTAAGTTTTTTAACAAAAATAAATACATAATTTTTAATAAAACAGAAAAATCCAATTCAAACTAACTAAATCTACAAAGGAAGCTTGCTTCAAGTAACTGAAAAGTCCAGAAATAATGTGAACTGATATAGTTCAAGCGCTGCCTCACCCTGTTTCTCTGTAATTTTCCCATCATGTGCTGGCTTTGTCCTCCAGTTAACTTTTCTCACGGAGGCAAGATCATTTGCAGCAGCAATATAAGGCCATATGCATTCTTGTTCCCTCTTGGAGACAGAGAAGTTCCACAATCATTGATCAAAAGTGTTGAGCTACTTGGTATTTGGACCACCTCAGAACCAGTCCTTGCGGTTGGAGAAACACAAGCAATAATTGGCTAAAGCCTGGGTCACCTGAACCAATCGTTGGGGCAGATGACATAGAACCTCTATTACCCCATTGGCTTAGGTCCCACTTCTGGGGCTCACCTAAACCATATGGCAGCTACACAAGAGAAGAAGTGTCCAATGAATGTTAGACAACCATAATATCTACTTTACTCTATTTAAGTTACATATCCCCCCGGCCGGGCGCGGTGGCTCACGCCTGTAATCTCAGCACTTTGGGAGGCGGAGGTGGGCGGATCACAAAGTCAGGAGATCAAGACCATCCTGGCTAACACGGTGAAACCCCGTCTCTACTAAAAAATACAAAAAAAATTAGCCGGGCGTGGTGGCGGGCGCCTGTAGTCCCAGCTACTTGGGAGGCTGAGGCAGGAGAATGGCGTGAACCCGGGAGGCAGAGCTTGCAGTGAGCCGAGATGGCGCCGCTGCACTCCAGCCTGGGCAAGAGCGAGACTGTCTCAAAAAAAAAAAGTTACATAACCCCCAACCTTTACCTATGCAAGTTGCTGTTTGAACCCAAGGATAGAACTTTACGTTTCTGCTAAATTTAGAGTTAGCTTTGCACAGTTCCACAACAGAGTTGAAGATTATCACTTGCTTTGTTTTTGTATATCGGTTCCTATTCCTCATTTTCTACTTTATATAAAGAATTAAATTTCCATCTAGTTTTTTTATTACTATGTCAAGCACAAAAGACCCAATCAAATACTTATCAAATATGCAGTTATATTTGAAATCACCTAGATATAAAAAGTAAGCTGTGTGATAGTGTCATCAAGTGTGTTTAAAGAGAACCTGGGGAGCACATCCAAAACACAAACTATCACTCTTAAAAAACAGCAGAAACTGAAGCATAAGATACTAAGTTGATTAATAGCTTAAAAAAATACCTCATATATATCAGGATTCTTGGAACAGAGAAAATAAACTATGGTTTCATACATGAGCCACAAATTAGAAATCCTAAAGTTAAGCAGTATAAATAATACATGCATTGGATGGCAATAGGGCTGCTTGTTACATGGACAACTGTATGTATTGTGCTGCAAGATGAGTAACAGCAGAGATTTATTTATTTATTTCATGGTGATTAAAGATGTTCCCTAGCTGAGATGAGTTTACCAGCTAGTAAGAAAAATTTAAGATGAGCATTTTGCACTGCTGCACTTTTTCTAAAACGTAGTTTTTTATTACTCTAATCTTCCATAATCTATAGTGATGCAGATGGCTGTCTAATATTTTGTTCACAGAGTATAAATCAGACATCAGTATTTACCCTTAAGAGACAAATGTTTTATTTTGCTATGTGAAGTGTTTTATAAATTTCACTGAAAGTGATACCCCAATGTAAATTGCTATTAAATGATATTATCATTAATAATATCATTTAGCCGGGCGTGGTGGCAGGCGCCTGTAGTCCCAGCTACTCGGGAGCCTGAGGCAGGAGAATGGCGTGAACCCAGGAGGCAGAGCTTGCAGTGAGCCGAGATATTATTAATAATATCATTAAATGATATTATCATTTAATATCTATCAAAATTAATATAAATGTAGAAGCTACATACTGGCATTTTATTATAGTCAATATTTATATTCTTTGAAGACAGCTATTTCTGGCTAAAATAATATGTAAAATAGTCCATAATTTGAGACATCAACATAGAGAAAAATGAATTGATTGAAATGAATCAAAATAGCTTTATAGAATATAAAGATGTCTGTGTATGTGAGGGGTGTGTGTGTGTGTGTGTGTGTGTGTGTGTGTGTGTCCAGGAATCAATTTCTATGTCAGTAACTACATTATCTACACAAGCCAACTTCTCTTATGTCTTCATGATATTGGGTCAATAACGGCTTCTCACCTTGTGAGATTTGGGCAATAGAGTCCCTTTCAGGCAAAATTCCACTAGTGAGTTTGCCTTATAGGAAATCAATAAGTTCCTTCCTACGTATTTTCTCTTCCATAGCAACAGGAATAAGAGACAAAATAGGCCTACTTAATGTGCAAAATATGTGCCATGCTTCTAAGTGCTGCTAACTCCAAAAGAGAAGCCGTTTTTGTTTCAGTACTATTAAGTCTTCTAACATTTTCTTGCCCTACTCTATATGGCAGGTTATATTCTTCATATAATTGCCAATTATCCAGGGTGAATATAAACATAACTCAATTGTTTAGCATAAAGATAAAGAGCAAATACAAATACCTCTGACAGCCTAACTCTGTCACTGACCAGTCACTTAATTTTATGAGCTTCAGCATATTCATTTAAGTGTATTAGGTATATACATAAGATGAAAGCAATAATAATAATACCTTTCTGCCAGGTTCAGTATTGCAAACTGACCTAAGCCAAACTGTCTATTTAGCAATTATCGGGGGTTTTTTGGTAAATGTTGAAAGCCTCCTTGATAGATTCACAATCAGAAGTAGGTGGGGGCATCTTCCACTACCCCACAATTTCCTTCCTGGTGGCATATTATAATGAAAACAAGTCTTAGACAAAATTATACCAAAATGCACCAATAATTACTAGCAAGCAAACAGACAAAAAAGCCACATAGTTTATTCTTGTAAGTTTGAGAAAGGCCTTGTCTCTGTGTTCAAGCCCTCCAAAAATCACCTTGCATGAAAGGCTCTTCATACATAGGGCCTCATTATAAGTACCTGGTCATCCTAAAGAGTGGCCAGAGAGGCCCCTGTGGAAGATACCAATGAATATGCTCTTTCATTTATCCACTCACTTACATAGATCATGGAAGAGACTTTAAACATGAGACCAAAAATTTAAGTCCAAAATTACAAAATGAGAGGATTTACTTTGTCATTCACATACACTCTGCCATAGTCTAGAAAGAGTCAAAATTTTAGTTTCAGAAAACTACAAGAATGGAACAGATTTTCATAGCTGAGCCCAGAACTACAAAAAGATACCATATTGTACATAAAATTCTAACTTCTGTTGAAATGGTTAGCATGTTTGCAAATATCTTGATGTATGATGTGTCAGATAATATGACTTGTTTTTCTGATCACCATAAATACTGAGCATAGAAAAATATACACAAAAAAACATATATAGCATTAGGAAAAACTGGGAGGGTTGCTTTTGGTTATAACTTCTAGACTGGCAGTCTTACTTGTCACATTCAATTTGTAATCAGACTTCAATGGCTTAAGCAACCAAATCTATCCTTCCATTTGGCCCCAACCCCAATAAGAAAGAGACCCACATCTAAATTTTAAAAAGATAAGAATATTCAGCACCCTCTAGAAAACACTGGAACTTACTGGATAGAGTCAGTTGTTTGAATGGCAAGATAGCTGAGTGTTCTAAAATTCAAGAAACAATTGACTCACTGCCCTCCATACTGTGATGAAACATGTAGTAGTTACCTTTCAGGCATTGGGCCAAAATGAAAACTGTCCAGAAGAATTCCTTTTGTTACTGAGCTATGCCATAACATCTCAAGAAGAATCATTGAACACAGAATTGAACAACTTTATATCCCTTTACTTAACCCAAACCTACTCCCTGAATTATCCTCAAGTATAATGAAATGAGTAAATGAGATGTTACATGTAAAATACTCAGCACAATGTTTAGTACCCACACAAAAAAACTACCCACAGCAGGAGTGAAGTGGACTAAGCCTAGCAGGAAACTTTTATGATGGCTATTCATCCCTGGAACCCAACTGAGCTCAGGAGAGGCAACAGAGTCCTCTATAAACCACAAGGACATAGGACCAAACCAAGCACTAGACCACAAAGTGAAGTCACTTGGGATAATGGATGCACTGGGTGCCAGTTAGCTTTTATCACAATGTTGAAAAAGTTTGGTTATAAAGATTATAAATCATAGATCTTAAAATGCAAATGAAGAAGAATAGCTTTACAGTGGATTACAGAATGGGTACATAAAAAATCCCCTTCTGTTTCTTCAGTAGATGGCAAGTCTGGGCTCTATTTTCCCATATTCTAAGTGAAAGTCTCTGAAAACCATGGACCTACTGAAAGAGCTCCCAATGAGGCAGTGAGCAAATATTTTATTTGGCATTACCATAAGCTTAAAACCATGCTAAGGGTGATTTAATAGCAAAATACATATGACTTTTTTTCTGCTTTCAAAGAGTTTATAAATAAAATGAGGAGGCAAGGAAAACACAAGTGAAGTAATAGTAAAAAAACTAATATTGTATATATAAACATATATATAATAAGTTTTGTACAAAAACCATAAATGCCTTAGAAGATCATGAAGAAAGAAACCAAAGAGGACAGAGTTCCATGAGAAGTCTCAGTTAAGAGGCAAGATTTCAGCATGAACCTTAAATAATGAGTAGGATTTTTATGGATCAAAGAAAAGACATTCCCAGTGAGAGAGCTGGCACAGAAGTTTGACTAAATATACAAAGACTACCCTATCACAACAGAGGTTAAATGCAAGGAAGAAGTGAGGGCTGAAATTAGAAAGAAGGGACTCCAAATATAAAAGGCCTTAAAAACACTAAAATAAATATGAATTTGTGTGGGAAGAAGTAGGAAGCCATTGAAGATGTCTAGCAGGAGCCAATTTAGTTGTGAGGCACAATATTAATGGGTATATGGTAAATTGAAAAATAGCCCACCAAAGAAATCTACATCCTAATCTCCAGAACCTGTGAATATGTTGTAACTTACACAGCAAGAGAGACTGCATATGTGATTATGTTAAGGATTTTGAGATGTGGAGATTATTCTGGATTATCCAGGTGGGCCCTATGTAATCACAGGAGTCCTTGTAAGAGGGAAGAAAGAGGGTCAGAGTGATATGGAGCCATGCCTCCAGAAAGGCTGGCAGCCTCTAAGCTAGGAATGGTAAAGTATGATTTCTCCTCTCAAGTCTCTAGAAGGACCAGCCCTGTCAATACCTTGATTTTAGCCTGTAAGACACATTTTAAACTTCCGCCCTCAGAACTATAATACATCTGTGTTATCTTAAGCCACTACATTGGTGGTAATTTATCAAAGAAATAGGAAATTAATATAGGGCAGATGTGGTGAAAATCTGAACTCAAGAAGGTTAATCACCAAATGAACCTAACAGACATCCACAGAACTCTCCACTCAAAAACAACAGAATATACATTCTTCTCATCTGCATATGGCACATACTCTAAAATTGACTACACAATCAGCCGTAAAACAATACTCAGCAAATTTTTAAAAACCAAAATCATACCAACCACATTCTCAGACCACAGTGCAATAAAAATAGAAATCAATAGGAAGAAGATTACTCAAAACCATATGATTACATCAAAATTACACAACCTGCTTCTGAATGACCTCTGGGTAAATGATGAAATTAAGGCACAAACCAGCAAATTATTCGAAACTAATGAGAACAAAGATACAATATACCAGAATCTCTGGGACACAGCTAAAGCAGTATTAAGAAGAAAAATTATAACACTAAACACCCACATCAAAAAGTTAAAAAGATCTCAAATTAACAAACTAACATCACACGTCGAGGAACTAGAAAAATAAAAGCAAATCAAGCCCAAAGCTAGCAGAAGACAAGAAATAACCAAAATCAGAGCTGAACTGAATGAAACTGAGTCATGAAAAACCATTCAAAAGATTAATAAAACAGAAGTTGTTTTTTGAAAGAATAAATAAGACAGATGGCTAGCCAGACTAATAAAGAAAAAGAGAAAGAAAATCCAAATAAACACAATCGGAAATGACAAAGGAGACATTACCACTAACCCCACAGAAATACAAAAAACCATCAGAGAATATTACGAACACCTCTATGCACACAAACTAGAAAACCTAGAAAAAAATGGATAAATTCCTGGAAACACAATCTTCCAAGACTGAACAAGGAAGAAATTCAAACCCTGAACAGACCAATAACAAGTTTAGAAATTGAATAAATAATAGAAATCCTACCAACCAGAAAAAAGCCCAGGACCAGACAGATTCACAGCCAAATTCTATTAGATGTACAAAAAAGAGCTAATATAATTTCTACTGAAACTATTCTAAAAAATTGAGGAGGAGGGACTCCTCTCCAACTCATTCAATGAGGCCAGCATCATTCTGATATCAAAACCTGGCAGAGAAAGACAAAAAAAACAAAACTTCAGGCCAATAGCCTTGATAAACATAGATACAAAAATCCTCAACAAAATACTTGCAAACCAAATCCAGCAACACATCAAAAAGCTAATTCACTGTGATTAAATAGGCTTTATCCCTGGAATACAAGGTTGATTCAACATATGCAAATCAATAAATGTGATTCATCACATAACAGAATTAAAAACAAAAACCACACAATCATCACAATAGATGCAGAAAAGGCTTTTGATAAAATTTAGCATCCCTTCATATTAAAAATCCTCAAAAAACTAGGCATTGAAAGAACATACCTCAAAATAATAAAAGCCATTTATGACAGACCCACAACCAACATCATACTGAACAGGCAAAAGCTGAAAGCATTCCCCTTGAGAACTAGAGCAAGACAAGGATACCCACTTTCACTACTCCTATTCAACATAGTACTGGAAGTCCTAGCCAGAGTAATCAGTCAAGAGAAAGAAATAAAAGGCATCCAAATAGGAAGTCAGGAAGTCAAATTATCTCTGTTTGCAGACTATCTGACTTTATACCTAGAAAACCCCACACATAGTCTCTGCTCAAAAGCTCCTAGATTTGACAAACAACTTCAGCAAAGTCTCAAGATACAAAATCAATGTACAAAAATCAAGATCATTTCTGTACACTAATACTCTCCAAGCTGAGTGCCAAATCAAGAATTCAATCTCATTCACAATAGCCACAAAAAATTAAAATAAAATACCTAGGAACACAGCTAACCAGGGAGGTGAAAGAACTCTACAACAACTCTACAAAGCACTGCTCAAAGATATCAGAAATAACACAAATGAATGGAAAAACTTTCCATGTTAATGGATAGTAAGAATCAACATTATTAAATTGGCCACACTGCCCAAAGCAATTTATAGATTCAGTGCTATTCCTATCAAACTACCAATGACATTTTTCACAGAATTGGAAAAAAAAATTTTAATTCATATGGAATCAAAAAAAGAGCCTGAATAGCCAAGGCAATCCTAACCAAACAGAACAAAGCTGAAGGTATCACATTATCATAATTCAAACTATGCTGCAAGGCTACAATAACCAAAACAGCATGGTACTGGTACAAAAACAGACACATAGACCAATGGAACAGGATAAAAAGCCCAGAAATAAAGCTGTGCACCTACGACCATCTGATCTTTGACAGAGTCAACCATAAATGGAACTCTCTATTCAATATATAGTGCTGGGATAACTGGCTAGCCATAGGCAGAAGGTTGAAACTGAACTCCTTCCTTACACCATATACAAAAATCAACTCAAGATGGATTAAAGACTTAAATGTAAAACCTAAAACTATAAAAACCCTTGAAGAAAACCTAGTAAATATAGTTCTAGACATAGGACCTGGCAAAGATTTTATGATGAAGACACCAAAAGCAATTGCAACAAACACAAAAACTGACAAATGAAACCTATTTAAACTAAAGAGCTTCTTCACAGCAAAAGAAACTATCAACAGAGCAAATAGACAACCTACAGAATGGGAGAAAGTATTCACAAACTATGCATCTGACAAAGGTGTAATATCCGGAATTTATAAGAAAAACAAATTAACAAGCAGAAAATAGCCCCATTAAAACATGGGCAAAGGACATGAACAGATACTTTTCAAGAGAAGACATATACATATGTCTTGTGGGCAACAAGCATATGAAAAGAAGATCATCATCACTGATCACTAGTGAAATGCAAATCAAAACCACAATGGGATACCTCTCACACAGTCAGAATGGCTAGTATTAAAAGGTCAAAAGCCGGGCACAGTGGCTCACACCTGTAATCCCAACACTTTGGGAGGCCAAGGTGGGTGGATCACCTGAAGTCAGGGGTTTGAGACCAGCCTGACCAACATGGTGAAACCCTGTCTCTACTAAAAATACAAAAATTAGCCAGGCATGGTGGCACACGCCTGTAATCCCAGCTACTCAGGAGGCTGAGGCAGGAGGATCACTTGAATCCAGGAGGGGGAGGTTGCAGTGAGCAGGGATTGTGCCACTGCACTCCAACCTGGGCAACAGAGCAAGATTCTGTCTTAAAAAAAAAAAAAAAGTCAAAAAACAACAGATGCTGGCAAGGCTATGGAGAAAAGGGACTGCTTATACACTGCTGGAGGGAATGTAAATTAGTTCAGCCATTATGGAAAACAGTTTGGCGGTTTCTCAAAGAACTTCAAACAGAACTACCATTCAACCCAGCAATCTCATTATTTAGTATACACCGAGAGGAATATAAATCGTTCTACCATAAAGACATATGCATATGTATGTTCATCACAGCACTATTCACAATAGCAAAGACATGGAATCAACCTAACTGCCCATCAGTGTTAGACTGGATCAAGAAAATATAGTATATATACATGAGAAAATACTACATAGCCATAAAAAAAA
Organism: Homo sapiens; assembly: GCF_000001405.40. Lineage (NCBI taxonomy): Eukaryota > Metazoa > Chordata > Mammalia > Primates > Hominidae > Homo > Homo sapiens. Next base: position 151,234,191 of record NC_000002.12, read on the forward strand.
AAAACACACACGAGATAATGTCCTTTGCAGCAGCATAGATGGAGCTGAAGGCCATTATCTTAAGCGAACTAATGTGGAAACAGAAAACCAAACATCCTATGTTCTCACTTATAAGTGAGAGCTAAACATTGATACACATGGACACAAAGAAGGGAACAATAGACACCAGGGCCCACTTGAGGGTGGAAGCTGAGAGGAGGGTGAGGACCGAAAAACAGCCTATCAAGTACTATGCTTATTACCCGGCTCACAAAACACACCAAACCCCCACAACACACAATTTCTCTATAGAACAAACCTGTATATGTGTCCTTAAAACTAAAATAAATATGTGGTTTTTTTTTAAGAAAAGAACGTCTGTCACAGGGGTTTTTATTCTAGGCAACATAGAAAGGATCCACTAGCCAATAATTCTTATAATCTTATCCCATAGAACATACACATAGTTATTTGTGCCTTCTCTCTCTAAGACTACATTAATGATTTAACCCAACAATCCTATTTCCAGAAGAAAGCTATTATCTCAAGTTTTCTTGCTACCAGAAAACTGAAAATCCTGATAAGAACCAACTGAAAGTTTATACATATGTAGAATCTGAAATTTTGTTTACATGAACATACTTTGGAAAATTATAAATCATTTTAGAGAATTCAGAAAATAGTAACACTGAGAAAAACCTGTGCATGCATTTTGTAATCATGGAAGAGTCAAAATTCTACAGGTAGAAAACAGGCTGAAAATACTACTCATCTGCAAACACATGCTAGCCTTCATGAAGAAGAAAGGATGACTTCAAGGGCAGAGCCTTCAGCCCAGAGGGCAAAGCTGCGAAACAGAGGATTATTCCCAAGCCTTGAAACCTAATGTTGTTTGCCCTGCTGGATTTCAAATTCACTTGAAACTGATGACTCCTTTTTTCCTTTCATTTTGTCCCCTTCTGAACTGGAATGTCTATATCTGTTATCCTATGCCTGTCCCACCACTGTATTTGGAGAGCAAATAACTTGCTTCTTTAGTTGAGTTCACAACTTCCCAGATGGAGGTGAATTGTGCCTCAGGATGAGTTATACCCAAAGCCTTACCCAAACCTGATGAGATTTGGGACTTTTGAGCTGATGAAATTTAGATTAGATTTTGGACATTGAGTTGATGCTGTAATGGATTGAGATCTTTGGAGATGGAATGAGATTAATGTATTTTACATGTGGACAGAAGTAAAGATTTGGGGGGCAGAGGTGGACTGTGGATAGCAGAATAAAAACCCCCAAAGATGTCCACATCCTAACCCCTAAAACCTGTGGATAATGTTACCTTATATGGCAAAAGTGACTTTACAGAGAGGATTATGTTAAGGATCTTGAGACGAAGAAATTACCCAGATTATCTTGATGGACCCAACATAATCATAGGGGTTAGAGCAGCAATGGGAAGTGAATACAGGTGCCCACCAAGGACATATGTTAAAAATACCCTATCTGAGAGGTTAATGTTAAATAATAGTGCAACATCAATTGATTTCTCAGTATGAGTCATGTTTTTTTCACAGAACCTACTTTAAGCACTAAAGCATTAAAGCTTAATGAAATACTCTGGGTGCATAAGGTTAATTAATAGATTGCATCTGTGTAGAGAGCCTGCATGTATCTGAGACTGCAGTTTTCCACTCCAAGCCAATTCTTGGTAGCTTACCAGCGCCATGCTGCCTCTAGAAGGAGGCTAATTACAACACTGGACATCTCTATCCAAGGGGTTGAAATCTAACATCCAAGAACAAAGAGGAATCAGAAGCCAGTTCAGCATGGAATCCCTGTTAAGGCCTCCTCGGAAAACAGGGCAGTAGTGGATCTTTCTCTCCTAGCCAGAACACCAAAGCCATCAAAGCAGGGGAGATGGGTGCCTGAATAAAGTAACTTTGCTTTTTCTTACAGTGCTGGAGAGGAACATGGCATTCATTTGGATATTCTTCTCACTCTAAGCAGAAGGTCCTGGTAATAAACATCTAGAAACTGTCCACTATAAATTGTTTGGTTTCTTTTCTCCTGTTTCATGAGGGCATGGTGATATTATACTCTTGGAATTCCTCTTTTCATCTGCTTCCTTTCTACTGACAGTTCATAAAGAATGGGCCACACTAGAAATAAAGTCTAAGCAGTTATTTCTTAAAATGGCCTGGGAATTTGGGCTCCATGTACCTTGGTGTGGATACCAGAGAGAATTTTTTTTTTAACGGTGGTCATTTCCATGCCCCGGGCTGCACCCAGATTCCTATGTGGTTCTTTGAGATCTGAGCTAATAACTTAGGAAGTCGTAGGAGAAAGGTTCATTAACCAGATGCAAAAATTGCATAAGGGGCTTTTCCTGCCTGTTTGCTGTTCTTAATAATAAAAATGGTTGCCATTTATAGGTTTATACAAAGGGCCAAAATCTATGTGCACTTTATATACATATTCTTGTTAAACCCTCCCCCAAAACATTGCACAGTAGATATCAATACCTCTGCTTTATGATTTAAAAATATGAGATTTAGGGCCGGGCGTGGTGGCTCACGCCTGTAATCCCAGCACTTTGGGAGGCCGAGGCAGGCAGATCACGAGGTCAGGAGATCGAGACCATCCTGGGTAACATTGTGAAACCCCATCTCTACTAAAAATACAAAAAATTAGCCAGGCATGGTGGGGGGCACCTGTAGTCCCAGCTACTCGGGAGGCTGAGGCAGGAGAATGGTGTGAACCCGGGAGGTAGAGCTTGCAGTGAGCCGCGATCGCGCCACTGAACTCCAGCCTGGGCGACAGAGCAAGACTCTGACTCAAAAAAAAAAAAAAAAAAAAAAAAATGAGATTTAGAAACTTTAATTTGTGCCTGATCCGTACTAAAAAGACAGAGGCAGGATTAGAACACTGGTCTCTAAGCCCAGAACCTACATTCACAACTACTATTTACTACTGCTTCACTAGTTTATTTATGTGGTGAGAAGCAAATGTTAAGTTTTGAATTAAAATTATTCAATAGCACAGTATTTTATTATGTTAATTGAAGAAAATTTTTCTTCATGATTTCTGTGAACCTGTGACCTTTCTCTGCATCCAGAGCTCTGAAGGACTTTGGGTATGTTTATGCTATAAGCAATCATTATAGATTATGAGCTAAGTCTACCCACCAGACCAGACGAAGACAACACAGGCTTCAGGAAGAGATATTAGACATTGCAGGAAGAGATATTCAGGAAGAGATATTAGATATTAGAACGTGGCCTGTGTACATCCCTAGTCTCTGAGGACTGAACACTGAAGCCCCTAGATTTGTTAAGGGTTTGAAAGCAGAAAATGCCTTTGTTCCCAAATAGAACCTGTGGAAGTGGCAAATGTCCTAGAGAAGTGTTCCAGGACCTTCCATGACAAACATAGTGTTGGAGCAATACAGCGGAAATGGCCACAAGGGCAGAGCTGAGAAAGCCAGAGTGAAAGCCTCTGAATGTTTCCCCATCCCTAGGGAGGTTTGACAGAGCTAGGGAGAGGCAGATCTGGGGAGGTTTTACGGATGGTCGTCAGACAATGTGGCTGTTATTTGCAAGGACAAACCTACCCAAGAGAAGGTGAAGGTTGTCTGACTAGATATCTGACTCAGGAGGTGACAACCAAGGACCAGCCCCTGACTCACCAGCACCACCTCTCACTCACTTTCACTTAGCAATTCTGCTGGCAGATGAGGTGGGAAAAATCCAGAATTGACCAAGATGATCTTGAATTAATTTTTTGACTCAGTGCAATGTGAGGTTACTCTGAATTAATTGATATTTGGTTTCTGACATCTAGTAAAATAAAACTTCAAACTAGAAATTAAATTCAATTATGGGGAAAGGTGATATTTTCTTGCAAATTTAGTTTGCAACCTAAGAAATACACATTAGCCATAAATGGTGGTAAACTACATCATAAATATATATTGTAAGAATATAGTGTCTCTACTTTTTCATTTTCACTTTTAAAGGTAAATTTAAAACATTCACAAAGGGAGAATAAATAGCATAATGAACTCCAGCTCCAACAATTACCAGATGTTGTCAATCTTGTTTCTTCTATTATCTTCCCACCTCTCTCCACACACGCACACATACTTTCAATTCCCATATTTATATTTAATAGAAAAGGGATTTTAGAAGATATCATTATTTATTTTTTATTTTTTTTTTTTTTGTGGAGATGGAGTCTTGCCATGTTACCCAGGCTGGTCTCAGACTCCTGGGCTCAGGCAGTCCTCCCACTGTGGCCTCCCAAAGTGCTGGGATTACAGGCATGAGCCACAATGCCCAGCCCCAAGATATCATTATGACACCGAAAAAGATTAAGAGTAATCCCATAATATGATATAAGATTGTCTTCCTGTTCAAATTTCCCTAGTTGTCTCACCAGCATCTTCTTATCACTCTTTGCTTGAATCATAATCCAAACACGGTCCACCAATTGTATTTGGAAGTCTCTTAGGTCCCTTTATTGTGTAACACTTTACCCTCTAAGATCTGTGATTCTTAAATCTCTAATGCACGTGGAATCATGTCTGTGAACTGAGCTAAAAAAAAATGTGAACTGAGCTCCACAAAAAAATAAAAATAACAAGTAAAAAATACATAATGATATCTTGGTAATGCTAAAATCCCTTTTCTATTAAAGATACATATGGGAATTTTTGCCTGAAATTATATGTCTAAGGCTGGGCACAAAATTCACAAGTCTGCAAGCTGATTTATAAGTACCACGCTAACTCATTGCGCCACTGAAGCCAGCACAGCTGATTTAAATGTGGGCTACAAGCAGTGTTTCCCCACCAGAGGAAAGAATTCCTCAGACAGGGATCTGGCTCCCTCTAGTGCTTTTTCAGATTATAACAGCCTCTGATTCTCAAACCAATTTAGAAATAGAAAAATAATCCCATTGTAAATAGTTCCATGATATATGCCCTTTTAGCTGCGTATTTCTTATGTCATACCACTCAACAATAAGGAAGGAATTATTTCATTATCTTTGATAATGAAAGATAACGATTACTGAATATCAAGTCCAGAGTCAGAAGCTACATGTTTATTCCTCAGTCTGTGGAAGAAGATGTCACAGTCCACCATTCAAAGTAACATCATCATATAGGAGTGCAAAGGCTTCTTTAAAACAACAACAGCAACAACATCAAAGTAACATCATCATCTCTACCAGAAGTCTTGCTGCTGTTTCCAAGGTACTCCTACTGTTTTAATAGCTCCTTTATTTCAAACTGCCACTTTTTCATTTTACTCATCCCTGCATTTGGGTTAGAATTGGGAGTAGACAGAGGTTCCTCTAAAAGCAATAAATTCTTACCGTTGTTTCTGATATGGCATCGAATGGATAAAAATAGAACAGAAGAGAGGGACAGGCACGATGGCTCACGCCTGTAATCCCAGCGCTTTGGGAGGCCGAGCTGGGCGGATCACTTGAGCCCAGGAGTTCCAGACCAGCCTGCCCAACATGGCAAAACCCTGTTCTACAAAAAAATAGAAAAATGAGCCTCTAGTTCCAGCTACTCGGGAGGCTGAGGTAGGAGAATCGCTTGAGCCCGGGAGGGCGAGGCTGCACCGAGATTGCACCACTGCAACCGAGATTGCACCACTGCACTCCACCCTGGATGACAGAGTGAGACCGTGTCTCAAAAAAAAAAAAAGTAAAAAAGATGAGAGGCAAAATGAAAGAAAAACATACACACAGTTTGTAATAATCCTTAGGACCAGGCCTTGGCACCAGGTAGCAAGAAAAGGGAAGCATAGAAAGTGTTACAAATAATTGACATCTGCTAAATTAATGTACTTTAAAATAATAATTGATTGTACAAAGTATTATAAATGGTATTTTAAAAAAGAAAGCAAGGGCAAGAAAACATACACCCAATCTAGGAAGGCTTGTTTACCATGAATAACCTCTTCATCTCTGAGTATATAGAAATGCATAGTTTTATAGACACTTTTGTGTATTTATGTTTTAAAACTATAGCTACTCTGCCACAAGCCATTTTTAAAAGGTGCATTCCTGAAAGAAGAAATAAAGCTGAATTGAAGAGTGGGGCCAGGTGTAAATTAGTTTCATCTAATGAACACACCCTAAGTCCCTTATATAGGAATTCTCAGGATAGCAATAACATAGCTCTTCAACACTGGTCTCTTGCACGTGTAAGAAATTTTTTCAGCTGTGTCAAAAGAATGCCAAATTTAGGAAAACATTGCCACCTTTGAATTCTTCACCAAAAGCTAAGGTTCAGCAACAAAATCCAATACAGTTCTGATTGATTGTGAATTCAATGCAGCCCAGCTCAAACCTGATTTGACTGTGGATAGTGTTGATTTACTCCTCAGTCTCCAGTGAATCCCGAGGTTTTCTTCTAGGAATGACATAAATAGGACCCATAGATAACTGTTTATAGTATTTACATCATTCTCTATCAGGATGACCTTGGCTACAACTGGACAGCTCAGATCTCAGGAAATGTACCAGTGTCAGATTGTTTTATTTTTGCAATTATATGTTGGGGAGATGAGAGCAAGACAGTAAATATTCCCACTACAAATCATTCTGAGGCTGGAATGAGAAATTTCCTCCATATCTGGGCCAAAAAAAAAAAAGACCACAGGAGTAGAGCTAGAAGACTGCCTGAGATGGGCAAGGGTGATTTGCACCATCGTATCTCTGAATTACCCTTCCACCTTGTGCCACATCACCACCACCTCCCTAGCTAATGGCAGTGACCAAGAGGACAGAGTCCCCTTGTCTAGGGAACACAGGTAAGTACCTGGCCACAGGAGAACAGCAAGAGGGACAGGGATGATCTTTTAGAAACTAAGAGAGGCTGGGCACAGTGGTTCACCTGTAATCCCAGGACTTTGGGAGGCCGAGGCAGGTGGATCACCTGAGATCAGGAGTTCAAGACCAGCCTGGCCAACATGGTGAGCTCCCATCTCTACTAAAAACACAAAAAAATTAGCCAGACATGGTGGCGTGCACCTGCAGTCCCAGCTACATGGGAGGCTGAGACAGGAGAATCACTTGAACCCAGGAGGTGGAGGTTGCAATGAGCCGAGATTGTGCTACTGCACTCCAGCCTGGGCAACAGAGCAAGACTCCATCCCAAAAAAATAAAAAAATAGGAAATAGGAGAGTCTGGTCCGTCCACAAATTCATACAGAAAGAATTTCTGACTCATCTTCTCTGGCATTATTGGGTCACCTTAGAGAAATGGCTGTATGTATTGTTGATTGTTGACAGTTGTATCCTATAAAGTTTTCAAGAACAACGAGTCCACAAATATTAAACCATCACTCCTGACAGAAATACAAGATTAGTTTCCCACAAGCCTCTGGTCATATTTTCATTAATCAATCAATACATAGCCTTGTTTGGTGTGTGTTTCTGTTTAAAGACACCTTATTTAATATACACTGTTGATTCATTAGCAAAGAACTCACAGCCAACAGCACTGAAACTCATGCCTAGATGAAATGTATCTAATATATGTATTTTCTCTGTAAAGCACATCCCAGTCTTTTTACACTTAGGAACTCTAGAAAACACTTTAAACACTAAAAGGGTGGGAGGCTAAGGTAGGAGAATCGCTTGAGGTCAGGAGTCTAAGACCAACCTGGGCAACAAAGTGAGACCCCCATCTCTACAAAAAATAAAAAATAAATTAGCTGGGCATGGTGGCACACACCTATAGCTCTAGCAACTTAAGAGGCTGAGGCAGGAGGATCCCTTGAACCCAGGAATTCAAGCCTTTTTTAAAAGATGCATTCCTGAAAGAAATAAAGCCGAATTGAATTTGAGAGTGAGGCCGGGTGTAAATTAGTTTCATCTCAGGAACACATCCGAAGTCCCTTATATAGGAATTCTCAGGATAGCAGTAACAGCTCTTCAAGACTGGTCTCTTGCACATGTAAGAAATTTTTTCAGCTGTGTCAAGAGAATGCCAGATTCACACCTGGCCTCACTCTCAACTTCAATTCAGCTTTATTTCTTCTTTCAGGAATGTACCTTTTAAAAATGGCTTAAACTGTGCCAGGCACAGTGGCTCACACCTTTAATCCCAGCACTTTGGGAGGCCAAGGCGGGTGGATCACCTGAGGGCCTGGCCAACATGGTAAAACCCTGTCTCTACTAAAAATATAAAAATTAGCCGGGCATGGTGATGAGCACCTGTAATCCCAGCTACTCAGGAGGCTGAGGCAGGAGAACTGCTTGAACCTGGGAGGCAGAGGTTGCAGTGAGCCAAGATCGCACCATTGCACTCCAGCCTGGGCAACAAGAGTGAAACTCTGTCTCAAAAAAAAAAAAAAAAAAAAAAAGGCTTGAACTCCTGGGTTCAAGGGATCCTCCTGCCTCAGCCTCATAAGTTGTTAGGACTATAGGTGTGTGCCACCATGCCCAGCTAATTTATTTTTTATTTTTTTGTAGAGATGGGGGTCTCACTTTGTTGCCCAAGCTGCTCTCAGACTCCTAGCCTCAAGCGATTCTCCTACCTCAGCTTCCCACCCCAGGCTTCTAAAGCACTGGGATTACTGGCTTGAGCCACCACACCTGCCCTACATTTTTGTGCATTTAGTTGGTGATTTTGCTGCTTAGAATGAGCCCCAAGCTTAGCGTTTGAACCAAATAAACCATGATCACGCCACTGCATCCCAGCCTGGGCAACAGAGCAACACCCTGTCTCTAAAAATAAAAAATAAGTAAAAACGTGGAAAATGTATCATTAAATAGACCTCGAAAAAGACAGTTGTTTACAATAAGAGAGCTGAAATAGGAAGGCCACACCTGGGAACATACAGGTGGCTCAAATTTTTTGCCATTTTGTGCACATGGAGTGGGGGTTACTGATAAATGTTTGCAAGTAAGCCGACATATAAATATGGAATCTGTGAATAATGAGGGCCAACTTTGTAAGAGGAGAGGGCTCTGTCCCTAAAGATGCACGTTGCTGGGAGCAGGCCTACCTCGCTGTGTAATGAACACTGCTGAGTCTAACTGGGCAGACTCTTCTTTTTTCACCTGTAGAAAGTACAGCCATCAGCGATGGCCACAGGACTTGGTCAGCATGATGACAAGGACTGCACTAAAATGACAGACAACTGGAGACAATTTGTTAAACAGGATGGGTTCCCGTGGCAAACTGGGCAAGTTTAACAGGTTTCTTTCCTTTAGGCCTGACACCCTCTGCTGAGTAAGTATCCCTAGGAGTTAGAGAGAGAGAGAGTTAAAAAAAAAAGAAAAAGAAAAAAGCCATCTTAAAACTGAAAAGAAAAAAAAATAAAGATTAGAGTCATTCATTTAAATATTTAAAAAGACTGACCTTATCTTGTGCCCCAGTGTGGTTTGAAATAAAATTTATAGGAGGCCATTGGTTTGGACTGAGCTCTTGCACTAGACCCAACAGACCAAACCGAAATGGAGTCACTCATGCTAAAGTTCCACGCTACTAACCTGAAACTCAGTTGTTTATCTGAACTGAGAAATCGGAAGAGAGAGAAAACAGTCAAATCCCCAAACAGGCCAGTTTTAGCCAGCAGGATAAAGAAGTGCCCTCTGCTTTCACCCTTACAAGAAAAGTAACTTTGAATCAACCAGTCCACTTTTTGTTGTCTCTTTCTGCTCTCTTCAGCCCTGTTATGTCTATAAAACCAACCTTCTCTGCATAGCTCATCAAAACACTCATTCTATCTTATAGAATGCAGTGTTGCCCAATTTTAGAATTGCAAATAAAAGCCAATTAAGATCTTCAACTAAATTTATTGTAATTTTGTCTTTTGACAGTGATGAAACAGAATGGATTAGTTAAAAGGGTTGAAGCAATTTTCTGACCACGTGGCATGGTTACAATATACAGCCAACCGCAGAAGTCCAACTCTGACCCTGCTTTAAAAAATAAATCAGAGGGGAAATTTGAAAACCAAAAGAATCGATTCTGATCCACACTCCTAGAGGCATTATATAGAGCTATCTCCGTGGTTCCTTTAAGATGCTCCAGACTAGAGAAGAACCCGGCGGTTCCTTAACATAATGAAGCCAGAGCTCTGCCCTCTCAAAAGCTGGGGTGGCCTATTGTCTTCCACCAGGACACAAACCACTCCTTCTGCCCTAGGGCATAAAAAACATCAGGACAGAATTCTGATATTCCCTCTCAAAACTATGTTGTGAAACAATGAACCCTGCTTCAGTTATACCTCTGTATCTGTAAGATAAGAGATTTGTAATATCAAGCATGGTCTTCCTTCCCCTGTTTTTCTACTACAGAAAAAGGCCTGAAGCAAAAGAAAATCGCCTTCCCTTATTACTCTGAACTGCATCACTTTCTCTCCCTTGACTGGCAGGAATCAGAGGAACGGCTGGCTACTGTTAGTTACAAGGAGCCCAGCCCCAGGCTGACAGCTTCACCTGATTGTCACAAAATCTTATGAGGTCATAGTGTTACAGGAAAGGGGTCCAGATCCAGACCCCAAGAGAGGGTTCTTGGATCTCGTGCAAGAAATAATTCAGGATGAGTCCACAGAGTAAAGCAAAAACAAGTTTATTAAGAAAGTAAAGGAATAAAAGAATGGCTACTTCATAGACAGTCCGGGCTTGCTGGTTGCCCATCTTTATGGTAATTTCTTGATGATATGCTAAACAATGGGTGGATTATTCATGCCTCCCCTTTTTAGACCATATAGGGTAACTTCCTGGCATTGCCATGGCATTTGCAAACTGTCATGGCGCTGGTGGGAGTGTAGCAGTGAGGATCACCGGAGGTCACTCTCGTCACCATCTTGGTTTTGGTGGGTTTTAGCTGGTTTCTTTACTGCAACCTGTTTTACCAGCAAGGACTTTATGACATGTATCTTGTGCCAACCTCCTGTCTCATCCTGTGACTTAGAATGCCTTACCCGTCTGGGAATGCAGCCCAGTAGGTATCAGCCTCATTTTACCCAGCTCCTATTCAAGATGGAGTTGTTCTGGTTCACATGCTTCTAACAGTAGCTATTATCCCCATTTTATAGATGTGCAATGGAAGCCACAAGTCAGTAAGTAGTATTGCCAAAATTCAGCCTCAAATCTATCAAGCCAAAAAACCCATGCCCTCAACCACTCTGCTCTGACTGCCATATAGGCAGTATCCTTCTAACACACAGGACTGCCTGTAAGTAAATGATGCTTACTAGCTTTGGGGGTATTGATGAAGAGTCAAACTCTGTGAAATATTTGAAGAGATTTATTCGGAGCCTAATATGAGTGACCATGGCCCGTGACACAGCCCTCAGGAGGTCCTGAGAACATGTGCCCAAGGTGGTCGGGGTACAGTTTAGTTTTACATATTTTAGGAAGGCATGAGACATCAATCAAATACATTTACGAAATACATTGGTTTGGTTCAGAAAGGCAGGACAGCTCAAAGTGGTGGTTTCCAGGCTATAGGTAAATTTAAACATTTTCTAGTTGACAGTTGGTTGAGTTTATCCGAAGACCTGGGATCAATAGAAAGGAAATGTTCCGGTTAAGATAAAGGATTGTGGAGACCAAGTTTTATTGTGCAGAAGAAGCTCTCAGATAGCAGACTTCAGAGAGAGCAGGTTGTAAAATGTTTCTTATTGGATTTAAAATGGTCCCTGGCTCTCAGTTGATTATCTCCTGGATCTGGAAAGGAAGAAGGAAAACAAAGGGGGAAGGGGATTCTCTATAGAATGTGGATTTTTCCCACAAGAAACTTTGCAGGGCAGTTTCAAGATATGGCAAGGAAATATATTTTGGGGTAAAACATTTTTATTTTCTTCCTTGTCATGCCAGATTGGAAGCAAGTCACGATATACAGGGTTAAATAAAACCCATCTGATGAGAGTTTATGGTTTGCAGGGCATGACTCCCCAGACCCCTTAGATAGGAATTTGGGCAAGATAAAAAATCAGACTTTAGTCCTCAGGAGGAGGGAAAGAAAGTTATTCACATCTAAAAACAGACATTTAAAAAAACCAAAAAGTGTCAGTGAATACATAATGAAATACTGCATTTTTATGGGCATGATTAAGTTACACCTTTCAGAAAATACATGCTATAAGTGGGTAAAAAAGACAATACGAGATTAAATATTAAATATTTAATAAAATGATTAAATATTAAATATTTAATAAAATGATTAAATATTAAATATAGCAGTGAAATTTCAGAGTGGGGCAATTAACACCAGACCTCCAGTCTAAGCCTCCCAGATACCAGGAATCACTTCAGACACATGAATTTGGTAGTGGTGTACAGGGTGAATTAAGGCCCACTTAGAAGACTCTTGCAAATAATCCAAGAAGGAGCTCATTATGTAACCCAGGATCCCCAGGTTTTTGGGGGTATGTGCTATGAAAAAGTATCCACCTGTAACTGTTGCACCTTGAGTTCTTGCTGTTTCAAAAAGTTCCAGGAAGATGGGAGGCCAAGGTGGGTGGATCACCTGAGGTCAGGAGTTCGAGACCTGCCTGGCCAGCATGGTGAAACCCCCCTCTACTAAAAGTACAACAATTAGCCAGGCATGGTGGTGCATGCCTGTAATCCCAGCTACTAGGGAGACTGAGGTAGGAGAATCGCTGGAACCCGGGAGGCAGAGGTTGCAGTGAGCCAAGATCGCGCCATTGTACTCCAGCCTGGGTGACAGAGTGAGACCCCGTCTCAAAAAAAAAAAAAAAAATGTATTAGCCTGGTGTGGTGGCAGGTGCCTGTAATCCCAGCTACTTGGGAGGCTGAGGCAGGAGAATTACTTGAACCCAAGAGGCAGAGGTTGCAGTGAGCTGGAACTGCACCATTGCACTCTAGCCTGGGCAATAAGAGCAAAACTCGGTCTCAAAAAATAAAAATAAAAAATAAAATTTTTAACAACCAATTATTTTATCTTAGGATAAAAATTTACCATATAATTTTTAATACATCAATTGTATTTTCCTAAATTTATATTTTGATTAATAGACCGAAATACTTTTAGTCCTTTTATAAAACCTAAGAAGCCAAGAACAAATGTCTATGTATTTAGCAATTTTTTTTTAATTTGGATATGATCCAGACATTTAATGAGTATCATTTAACATAATTTTAAGATTTTAAAATTACATGAAAAGCTCATTTATAAATGTTTATTTCATTTATAAGATTTATTTCTCAATTATTCCTAGATTTATGAAAATTGAGATAGAACTAGTCATTGTTTTTATTAATCAGTTTTATAGACTGTTACCATGAAGTATTTATCTTGATATTAAGGTTTAAGTAAGAACCTTAAAGTTAAAAACAGCCACCCTGTTGCTAACTCAGAAAAGTTACAGCTATTTTTATTAAAACAACAATATAATCATATTTATTTAAAAACTATATAAACAAAGATCATTTTGTTTTAGGCTTTATGACTTTAAAACATCTAGCAGAGGCAAATATAAAACTGTCTGACCAGTAAACCCAGACAAAAATGTCTGCTGACAATTTTGAAGACATTTCTAATTTTATTTTATCCACAATTTTAAAACCAATTAATTTATCAAAGATTTACTTAAGTCACATCAACTAAAAAAAACTGGGGGTTAATTACTATACATTTTATATGAGTGCTCATTTATTTAAACCAATCAGAATAAAATTTGTTAAGGGATTTCTGGCTGACTACACCAGCTTTTATGTAGATACAACATTCAACATAATATATGTACATACACATAAACACATTTAAACACATATACATAAAGATATTAAAACTTTTATTTTAGAATTTTAGTCATGATATAGTAAAACACGTAAATTCACCAGTTTATAAAAATGATTAGATGCAAATTATTTTTCTGACAAAATGGGCTAAGGATAAGCTTTAAGCTTTTTTAATAGGCAATCTTATAAAGGCTGTAAATCAAATTTGGGATAAAGCAGTTTGAGTCACTCACCAGTGCACTAAATTGAACAAAAAATAGTTAACTGTGAAAGTGTGCTGAATTATGTGAGTAGGACCAAAAGACAAGAGTGATTTTTAACAAGGTTTATACAGTATTTTCTTGGACTCAATTCTTTGTCATTGAAGATAAAAATGCTGCTATTCTTTTTTGTATAGGGAGGAAGGTTTTACATGGGAATTTAATCTTTGCTTTAAAAAAAAAACAGTAGGAAGGTCAAAATGACTTTGTTTTATATCTGCTGGTTTTCAAGTGTTTTTATTTAAGTAGTATGTTAGAATAGCTGTTTAGAGAAGGATAAAGAGGGGATACTGTAAGAAGGGGAGGGGAAAGGTCTAGAAAAGAAAGTTTCAGCCACCTTTGAGACAGTATTTTTTAACAAGGCAATATTTGTATCCTGAATGTGTTTTGTTTTTGTTTTTATTTTTTTTTAGCCTCAAGATATCAATGAAATATGCATATCTTATTTGGAGTGTATGATTTTATAGCCTCCATCTTTTAGTTCAGTTTTAAGAAAAACAGACTAAATGATCCCTGTAATGTTTGAATATGTTACTAGCTGGAGTTCCAGAAAATATTCTGGCATGCCTTTGAACTTTGAGAGCTCATTTCGTGGGTGCTCTGATTTAATGTCAACTATGCAAAAGCCAAGTAAATGCAAGCACTGAATACACAAAGGCCAAATAAATACAAGACAGGACAGAAAATAAAATACATGCTTACCAGTAAGAATGATAAGCCTTCTCCAAAGAAAGGGAAAAATTCCCTCATCCAAGCCTCAAGGTCCAAACCTCGCAGCTGAGGTCAACAGGGGGAAAATAATTCTACCCAACAGATCTACCAAACAAGAGGGGGAAAGACCTCTCCCTAATCATATCCCAAATAAAACAGAACTCGAACCATATCTGAGAGTTCTGTCCAAGAGATACTTACTGGAGGGAGAAAGGATTACCTGTGAAAGTGGTGGGGGTGTAGGGGGTTCAAAGGGCCCCAACATGGGTACCTCATGCCATAACTCCAAAGGCCAATGATTCTCCATGAGGTGAGTCAGCTTTGTATCCCACTTCTGACACCATGCATGTCAAAGTCAAAATGAAAATGTAGACACAAAACTAAATTTAATGTTTTGAGAAGAAAGAATTTCAATTCTAGGTGATCTTTAGTATGTCCAACAAACAAAGAGAAGGTTGAGGGTTTTATTTAAAACTAAGAATGTTACTTGTGGTCTTTCTTTTTTTTTTTTTTTTTTTTTTGAGACGGAGTCTCGCTCTGTCACCCAGGCTGGAGTGCAGTAGTGCAGTCTTGGCTCACTGCAAGCTCCACCTCCCGGGTTCACGCCATTCTCCTGCCTCAGCCTCTAGCCTCCCGAGTAGGTGGGACTACAGGCGCCCACCACCATGCCCGGCTAATTTTTGTATTTTTAGTAGAGATGGGGTTTTACCATGTTAGCCAGGATGGTCTCAATCTCCTGACCTTGTGATCCACCCGCCTCGGCCTCCCAAAGTGCTGGGATTACAGGTATGAGTCACCACGCCCGGCCAACTTGTGATCTTAAGAGAAAGTTCATTGGTATTAGTAAAGCCCTGGGGAGCTGGCAAGCTCCAACTGGTGGGCAATGGCCATAGGTAAAATTAGTCCTAGAGTTACAGCAAGTTATCTCAGCAGCTATAGACAAAACTGGTCTCAGGTTACAGCAAGCAGTTTCAGTAGCCAGGCTCACAGAGAATTACATTCTTGGAGCAATATTATGTGTCCCAAGTACTTTTTCCCCCTAGCTTCTTGAGTCTGTTTTAGTTGGATGTGACAAGAATGACTCAATTAATATTATCAACTTGCACAATTATAAAAGAATCACCATTTTATGTAAGCACTTAGGCTAAAAAAATAGTAAAAACATCCTATGTGGCCAGCAGCCTTGAAACAATAGAATTTAGTCAAATAATGATTACCTGCATAAGATATGCTTTCCATCTAAGTAGTTTCCCCAGTGATTTTTGCCAGTATTCTAATTCTACACGGAGTAAACACAAACTGTAAATGTTAAGAAATTGCCCATGGCATAATAATCACCTTTCAAATTTCTCATATGTTAAGGCTACTTCTTAATAATTATTATTCTCTAATAATTTGGAGTTACAGAGAAAGTAAGATTCCTTCAAAGTTTGGTGAGTTTGCTGGGCGCAGTGGCTCACGCCTGTAATCCCAGCACTTTGGGAGGCCGAGGCGGGTGGATCACAAGGTCAGGAGATGGAGACCATCCTGACTAACACGGTGAAACCCCATCTCTACTAAAAAAATACAAAAAGATTAGCCGGGCGTGGTGGTGGGCACCTGTAGTCCCAGCTACTCCAGAGGTTGAGGCAGGAGAATGGTGTGAACCCAGGAGGTGGACGTTGCAGTGAGCCGAGATCACGCCACTGCACTCCAGCCTGGACAACAGAGCGAGACTCCATCTCAAAAAAAAAAAAAAAAAAGTTTGGTGAGTTTTTTTCAAAGTTTTATTCCTTAGATATTATCTGTGTAATCAGATAGACTGGGCTAAGCCACAGCCTCATTCTTTGTCAACTGGATAACTTCAGAAAAGTGTTTTAACTTCTCCAAATCCTAGTTTCTTCCGCTGTAACATGAGGATAGTCAACACTGACAAAGAAGGATGACTATAAGGATTCATGAGATACGGTGTGTAAAGCTAGCCTCATTCATGGCAATGGTCACTGCTCAGCAAGAGAAAGCAGCCCTTATGACTATATTGCTGAGATTTTATTAACTAACCTTTTGCCCTATTAATTTCATGACCCCTTTTTTAAACAGGTAAGTGTCAGAAGAAGATCCTATAATGTCAATGTGTGTCCTATAAAGGTTAATCAGGACTTCAAGGTATCTCGAACTTAATTGTTCACATGCCCTTTTGATCATTCTTTTCTCTCTATTTTCCTTTCCTTCCAAAATAAATGTCTCTTTTCTAAGCTTTAAGTAAAGAGCATGTGACCATTCCTCAATGAGCTCTTTTACATGTTTTGCATTGTTTGGCTGAGAACCAACTTGAATGCTTTTTAGACAAATTGTGGTGATTTCACCATCCACTTTCTCCTGACTCAGAATGTGGAATTTTTTCAGTGTGCTTTCATAAGATCCACACTTGTGTTTCAGGTAAAGAAAAACATCTGTGTCAAGCACAAGCATTTCTCCACTTCTAGCAGTCTCAGGTACTAAGGTCCTGACTGATGCCAAAGAGTTATTACTTCTCTGTAGATTCCTCTGGGGATTTTGTCTATTCCACTTTCTCTCCTCACTGGTAAAATTTCTGTCTTTTTCTAAGAGAGAACATGCTCTTGCTAGCAAAGATTCTCTGAGCCTCTTGACAGCCAGAAATGATCCTTCCACGGAGATTCTTCCATTGGGTTTCAAAGGACTGAAGCTTAAACTCGGGATTTTTTTTTTCAGGTCTTTTACCAGAGTTTCTAGAGTAACTTCTTTTCCAAAAACAGAAAGATCAAGGATGGCATTTACAGAGCTGAAGATCTGAAATTAAAAAGAGAGAAATGAAAACAGTACTGCCTAGTGGGAAAGACTACATAAACATGTTCTTTTCTGCCACTTTCTTTTCTCTGCAGAAATTGCAATAAACCAGGCCCCAGTTGCCTGCCCCAGACTTCCTGACTTCTTGCACCAGGGCAGCCCATCAAAGTTATCCCATTTTGTTCAATTTGGGATTCACACTCCCTCACCACATACCCCAAAACAGACAGGCTCAAATAATTTTTAGAGGCAGAATTCTTTTTTGAAACAGTTTTATGCAGAACCAATACATACAAACTGTTCTGGTTCTGCTTGGATAGGGTTCCCCCAGGAGTCATTCCTGCCCCCAGTCAAGTTCATCAGATGGCTGCATACAACTCTGAGTGTCTTACAGAATCAAGTTGGTAAACCATTGCTTTGGATTTTAACTTTTTCCTCTTTTTCTTACTTTCTGTCTCTTCAAAGCTTCTTTTTAATGTTCATTCTAATTGTTTTTTCCCAAAATAAGCCTTTAGGTTGGTACCTGGCATCATCCATGACAGTATAAGCGTTTACCATCACTTTAAAAGCATTAAGTGAGGCTGGGCGTGGTGGCTCACCCCTGTAATCCCAGCACTTTGGGGGGCTGAGGTGGGAGGACTGCTTGAGTCCAGGAGTTTGAGACCAGCTTGGGCAACATAGGGACACCCTGTCTCTACAAAAACTACAAAAATTAGCCAGGCCTGGTGGTACACACCTATAGTCCCAGCTACTCGGGAGGTTGAGGCAGGAGAATCACCTGAGCCCAAGAGGCAGAGTTTAGAGTGAGCCAAGATTATGCCACTGCCTGGGTGACGGAGCAAGACCTTTTCTCAAAAAATATACACTTTGTAAAATAAAACATTAAGTGACACACATAGAAAGATAAAAATAGATGAGGTGATAACCAAAATTTCAAGGGCCAGGGTTGGCCTTTAACACTGACTCAGGGAGTTTGCATTTTCCTTCCTAGAAGTCATGGAGTGAGAGCACTTTGTGTCGCCTGCCATAAGAAAAACTTCAAAAAAGAAATGGGATACAGGACTATCAGTACACCTACAGCATCACACCTTACCTTGTCACCAAAATGAGAGACTCTGAGAGAGACTGTGAGTTCAGCATGTCTAGTCTTCCTTGCTAGCCAGTGTTTCTTTTGTCTGATGACATTCTCTGCAACTAAGTGGAAACACTGGCATCAGAAGTGTTTATGGCATGATACACTAATAATTTTTTAATAAAAATAGGCATATTCAATTATAGAAGAATGTCTAAGATTTTTTTCTACATTTTTCCTCTAAATTCAACATTCAAATCACTTTTTTGTTGCACTTTAACTCATTAAAGTTCATTTTATGTGTAAATATTATCCAAATCATGTTATAAAGCACACAAGGTATTATATGCATGAATAAAAAACAAAAATGTAAAGGTATATCCCCATCTCTGTTAATTCTAGTCACAAGAAGACTTTACATTCTTGATCCAAGATATCATACTGTTCTGGTTTTCCTCCCAATTCACTGGCTGACCTGCTGAGTCTCCTTCCTAATCCTCCTCTCTTCCCATTCTCTAGATGTTGGCGAGACCTGGACCTCAGGCCTCATGCTTCTTTGCTAACCTGTACCCCATCCCCTGGGTGATCTCAACCATCTCTATGGCTTTAGACAACATCTCTACGTGAATCGCTTTCAAAATTCTATCTTCAGCCTCGATCTTTCTCCCTTCTGCCTGTAGAACTCTCTACCTCATTATCCTAATAGGCATCTCATTGACCCAAACTGAACTGTTGATAACTATCTCCCTCCCAAATGTATTCTATCCCCAGTGTTCTCCACCACAGAAAATGATATTTAATCCATCAACATGTCCCGAATACCCACCAGTTCTTATCACCTGCCCTGGTACTGCCCTATCAAAGCCAACGATGAGTAGTAATTCCTGTTGTTCAAACAGCTGCTAGGTTGCTCATTTAAGAAAAGGCAGTCCAATCTTGTCAATCCCCTGCTTGAAACCTTCCATCTCACCCCAGAATAAAATCCCAGACACCTTTCCATGATCCAGCAGTTACTGAGCATAAACTGGCCCCGGCTCCCCATCTAACCACATCTCCTATCACTCTCCCCCAGCTCATTCCACTCCAGCCACACAGGCCTCCTTGCTGTTCTTCCACACACCCAGCATGCTCCCCACTCACAAAATTACCAGTCCCTCCCTTGGCCTAGAATGTTCTCCCCACTTATCTGTATGAATTATTCCCTTGGCCTCTGCTCAAATGTCATCTAAACAGAGCATTTCCCTTCCTATTCATCTAAAACAGCACTTTCCGTCATATTCTATCCCTTTATTCTTCTTTATGTCTTGTCGTAGCACTTATTTATGAATATATAATCATAAATATATTTAAATAAACAAATATCTAAGTTTTATATAAATAAATAAAGCACCAAACATATTATAGATTCATTTGTTTAAAATCTGTCCAGATGTACATCTCAAGAAAAAAAAGGCTTTGCCTATTTCACTTATTGCTGTATCCTCAAGACCCAGCATGCTGCCTGGTAAATAACAGGTACTCAGAAAATATTTATGAATGAATGACCGAGGCCAATCTCTCTCTCTCTCTCTCTTTCTCTCTCTCTCTGTCTCTCTGAGTTGCCAATTCAACATATAAAATATTAACTTTCAAAAACACTACCATCTCCTTAGAGAAAAAATGAGCCCCTGAGCCCCTCCTGCCATCCCTTACCTGAACATCCCCATTGAGAAGGAATGACTTAATTAATGGTGACAGCTAAAGGTACTGAAAATCCATAGTGCCTTGGATCTTTCTCTGGACTCTGTCATCCCTCAAGCAAAGCAAGTTCTCTTGCTCTGCTCCAACCCCCATGTGGTATGTTCACCTCCAAGAGCCTGGCATGGAGACTTGTTTTTCTCTGGCAATGTATTTTCTGCCAGCCACTAAGCTGTAAAGAAGGTTGCCCGTTCCATGAGGCTGAAGGGGTATGTGTGCTCTGCCAACCCAACTTCCTCACCATCTAAGTCAGGGATTGGGTGCAGGGAGCAGAATGGCTCATTCTGATCTCAAATCCAAGCCACACTTCTCAATTCAACTTTGCCAGTAATAAGGCAGATACTATATTAGAATATCCATTTATTCTAAAATATATAATTGAGGCCACCTGAAAATTCCCAAAGTAGTCATCTTGTTTATGAGATTATATATCATCTTTGTGGGGTTTTTCTCCATTTTGTCGGTATTTTACAGGTTTTCTACAATAAAATGTAACACTTTCACCCCAAGATATAGACAGATTCAAAATACAGAAGAAAGTTTTCAAGAATTTGCCAGTCACTAACAACTTTATCATGAGCCATTTTCATATCTTTTCTTCCTAAAGCAATATCGTGCCATTTGTATATTCACAATAAAATATTTTTTTTTAAAGTTACTTTAGCCAGGCGTGGTGGCTCATGCCTGTAATCCCAGTACTTTGGGAGGCTGAGGCAGGCAGATCACTTGAGGTCAGGAGTTCGAGACCAACCTGGCCAACATGGTGAAACTCTGTCTCTACTAAAAATAAAAAATTTAGCTGGGCGTGATGGCAGGCGCCTCCTGTAATCCCAGCTATTCAGGAGGCTGAGGCAGGAGAATCACTTGAACCTGGGAGGCAGAGGTTGCAGTGAGCTGAGATCATGCCACCGCACTCTAACCTGGGCAACAGAGTGAGACTGTGTCTCAAAAAAAAAACTACTTTAAAATTTACCAATTCCGTGGATCATTTTAATAAAATGTAATTTTTAAATTTTATTGAAGAAGTATTTCTAAAATTACAAAAATTTGACTTGGAAATACCTTTTTTTTCTTTGAATATTACATATGCAACTCCCTTGGTTCTTGTCGGATATATCACATCTTCAACATCTCCGCCCTCATTCTTAATGTCTTGGAAGTGGCTCTTCACTAATACGGCCAATAATTGATCACTAAAAAGGTCAACTGGAAGACCAGCAACTACAACCGTTCTTTCAGGAGCTTTGGATTCCTTGACATTCAAAACTGATGCCTGTAAGAGAAACAGCAGGTTATTCTTTAAAAACACAAGACTCTATATAATAAAGATGACATCACACTTCAGTGGAGAGAATATCTTATTCTATAAAAGTGCCGGTGCAGCTGGTTAGATACTTTTTAAAAGGGGTGTAGGGGAGTAAATCCTTGCCTCACACCATATACCAACATAAACTCTATATGAATTTAAGAGTTAAATGTAAAAATTAAACCCTTCTTTTTTTCTTTTTTGAGATGGAGTCTCACTCTGTCACCCAGGCTGGAGTGCAGTGGTATGATCTCAGCTCGCTACAATCTCTGCCTCCCAGGTTCAAGCGATTCTCCTGCCTCAGCCCCTCAAGTAGCTGGGATTACAGGTGCCCACCACCACACCCAGCTAATTTTTGTATTTTTAGTAGACACGAGGTTTCACCATGTTGGCCAGGCTGGTCTTGAACTCCTGACCTCAAGAGATCTGCTGCCTCAGCCACTCTAAGTGCTGGGATTACAGGCATGAGCCACCACGCCCAGCCACCCTTTTTTTCATAAGTGGAAAATATTGGTTAATATTTGTCTGATTTAGGAAGGCCTAAAAATAATGGAAGAAGTTACAAAGGAAAAGATCAAAAACATAAATTTAAAAATTTATTAATTAAAAATAAGTCAAACTAACCACAAAATATGGTATTTGGAGGTGGCTGTATGTTTTCTTTACATTGTAGAGTCTAAAGTATGTAAGACAGTAAGAAACACATCCCCTACTTTTATTGTCAGAATCAGGAAAGTTACCATAAAAAAATAAAACATTGGGCCATGGATAGTGGCTCACACCTGTAATCCCAGCAGTTTGGGAGGCTGAAGCAGGCAGATCACCTGACATCAGGAGTTCCAGACCAGCCTGGCCAACATGGTGAAACCCCATCTCTACTAAAAATACAAAAAGCAGCTGGGCGTGATGGCGGGCGCCTGTAATCCCAGCTACTCATGAAACTGAGACAGGAGAATCACTTGAACCCAGGAGGCGGGGGTTGCAGTGAGTCCAGATCACACCACTGCACTCCAGCCTGGGAAACAAGAGACTCTGTTTCTAAATAAATAAATAAACAAACCAACCAACCCCTGGCAAGAACATGGGGACTGCAGTGGAGTAAAGCCTGACTTCCAGCACATATCGGACATGAAAGTCAGCCACAGCAAGTACACACTATTGCAGACCCTGCCACCATGCTGGGCACAGAGTATCAACTGCAAGTAGACCCTTTGTTGGGCTCAATCTCTTTGAACTTATATTATCCAGTTAAGGCTTCTATTTAAATGCTTTAATTTGTCCCTCAGCCTCATTTAGGGAAGTGGATTTATAAGCTTCTCCCAATTTTTAAACAGTCCACCCGAGCTCAAACATAAACTGTCCTAAGCTACCCAGGGTTGGACAGGACAGCTCATGGGCTACAGCGATGGTTAGCAGACCTGAAAGGAATTTGGGGCCCTCAGTCCAGAGGCCTCTCTATTCAACAGGACTCCACTGAAACTATTTCTGACCTACCAGATCAGGAAGACAGTGTAAGAGCACGCATGCGTGCACAAACACACACACACACACACACAAACACACACACACACACACAGTGTCCTGTCCATCCCAAGAGCCCCATAAAATGAAAGTAAAACAATTTTAAAAAGAAGGCCAGGCACGGTGGCTCACACCTGTAATCCTAGCACTTTGGGAGGCCGAGGCAGGCAGATCACCTGAGGTTGGGAGTTCGAGACCAGCCTGACCAACATGGAGAAACCCCGTCTGTACTAAAAATACAAAAAATTAGCCTGGCATGGTGGTGCATGCCTGTAATCCCAGCTACTCTGGAGGCTGAGGCAGGAGAATTGCTTGAACCCAGGAGGCGGAGGTTGGGGTGAGCCGAGATCGCCCCATTTCACTCCATCCTGGGCAACAAGAGTGAAACTCCTTCACAAAAAAAAGATAATTTTAAAAACAATAAACCCAGTTGAAGGGAGCAATCAGCACAGGAGAGTTCAACAAATGAAGATTGAAAACACATGGAAGTGGCCGGGCGTGGTGGCTCACGCCTGTAATCCCAGCACTTTGGGAGGCCAAGGCTGGTGGATCACCTGAGGTCAGGAGTTCTAGACCAGCCTGGCCAACATGGTGAAATGCCGTCTCTACTAAAAATACAAAAATTAGCTGGGTGTGGTGGCAGGCACCTGTAATCCAGCTACTCAGGAGGCTGAGGCAAGAGAATAGCTTAAACCAGGGAGGCGGATGTTGCAGTGAGCCCAATTGTGCCATTGCACTCCAGCCCTGGACGACAAGAGCAAAACTCCATCTAAAAAAAAAAGAAAGAAAGAAAAAGAAAAGAAAATACATGGAAGTATATGGAACGATAAGACAGAGGGAAAGAGCTAACTCAGAATATGCAAAAGGGGGTTATAGTGAACAGGTGACGACTTTCAGAGCAGAACCTCAGAAATAAAGGGACCAAACCAAGGGTTTGTTGACAGGGTATTGGTAAAACAACTGCTCCAGCTGTCTCCTCACATTCCCTACCCCCAGTGCACACAAGATTGGACATGCACATAACATGCTGTAATGAAGGCAGCTGGGCCAAACCACAAGGAAAAAAACTTGAGGATTATTTTACTTTAAAAAAAAAAAAAAAGGCCTGAAAAGCCTGACTGTGCATGGTGGCTCATGCCTGTAATTCCAGCACTTTGGGAGGTCAAGGTGGGCGGATCACTTGAGGCCAGGAGTTCCAGACCAGCCTGGCCAACATGGTGAAACCTAGTCTCTATCAAAAACAGAAAAAATTAGCCGGGTGTGGTGGTGCACACCTATAGTCCCAGCTAGCTACTCCAGAGGCGGAGATAGGAGGATCGCTTGAGCACAGGAGATCGAGGCTGCAGTGAGCCAGGATGGCACCACTGCACTCCAGCCTGGG
Organism: Homo sapiens; assembly: GCF_000001405.40. NCBI lineage: Eukaryota > Metazoa > Chordata > Mammalia > Primates > Hominidae > Homo > Homo sapiens. The sequence continues at coordinate 151,258,679 of NC_000002.12, forward strand.
TGACAGAGCAAGGCTCTGTCTCAAAAACAAAAAATGCCTGAATGAACACTTCAGAGAGAACCTGCTAGCATGTATATCCCAGAGCAAGTTCTCTCCCATTTCTGGGATTTGAAGGGGCCCCAGCCTAAAAATCATAAGAAAACTAAAGTACTTGCATGATTTTAAGTAAATTATGGAATGCAGGCCGGGCACGGTGGCTCACACCTGTAATCCCTGCACTTTGGGAGGATGAGGCGGGCAGATCACCTAAGGTCAGGAGTTCGAGACCAGCCCGGCCAACATGGTGAAACCCCAACTCTACTAAAACTACAAAAATTAGCTGGGCGTGGTGGCACATGCCTGTAGTCCCAGCTACTTGGGAGGCTGAGGCAGGAGAATGGCTTGAACCTGGGAGGTAGAGGTTATAGTGAGCACCACTGCACTCCAGCCTGCCTGGGCAATAGAGGGAGACTTCGTCCCCAAAAAAAAAAAGGAAGAAAGAAAGGAAAGAAAGAAAGAAAATCCATTTGACCCATTTGCTGGGAACATTTTCCTAGAAGTGGAAAAGGAAAAATACACATAACACTGGACCAAAAGGAGAAAAAGTAATCATAGCACACTATTGGGACCTGCTATAAACAATATTTACTGTTTACATTATTATCGGTTTTTCACCTTTAGACCAAACCTGCTAAGTCTTAAAAAAGGCCAGGTGCAGTAGTTCACGGCTGTAATCCCAACACTTTGGGAAGATGAGGTGGGCAGATCACTTGAAGTCAGGAGTTCGAGATCAGCCTGGCCAACATAGTGAAACGCCATCTCTACTAAAAATACAAAAATTAGTGGAGGCAGGCGCCTGTAATCCCAGCTACTCCAGAGGCTGAGGAACCAGAATGGCTGGAACACAGGAGGTGGAGGTTGCAGTGAGCCAAGATCGCACCACTGCACTCCAGCCTGGGTGACAGAGTGAGACTCTGTCTCAAAAAAAATAAAAATAAAAACATTGAAAATTTAAATATGGTTACAAAAAAACAGAAATGCTCAACCCTGTCAATGTAAGAATAAAGGCAGGGCCATCATATCAGAAAGCAAAAAAGGCATAAAGAAAAACTTTATTTTTCTAAGTGAAGCACTAGGGAGAAATAGAAGATTCACTCACTGCATTTGTTTTTATTTCTTTTGGGAGATCTTTTTCTTTTCTTGTTTTTTGTTTGTTTGTTTGTTTTGAGATGGAGTCTAGCTCTGTCACCTACGCTGGAGTGCAGTGGCGCGATCTTGGCTCACTGCAACCTCCACCTCCCGGGTTCAAGCGATTCTCCTGCCCCAGCCTCCTGAGTAGCTGGGACTACAGGCATCAGCCACCATGCCCGACTAATTTTTGTATTTTTAGTAGAGATGGGGTTTCACCATGTTGACCAGGCTGGTCTCAAACTCCTGACCTCGTGATCCGCTCCCCCCTCGGCCTCTCGAAGTCTTTTTTTTTTTTTAGACAGCGCCTCGCTCTGTTGCCCAGGCTGGAGAACAATGGCGTGATCTTGGCTCCCTGCAACCTCCGCCTCCTGGGCTCAAGTGATCCTCCCACCTCAGCCTCCCCAGTAGCTGAGACTACAGGTGGATGCCATCACGCCCAGCTAATTTTTGTATTTTTAGTAGAGACTCCTGACCTCAAGTGATCCGCCCTCCTTCGCCTCCCAAAGTGCTGGGATTACAGGCGTGAGCCACCGTGCCGGGCAGGGAGATCATTTTCTGCACCCCAACAATATCAAAGAAAAACATGCAATCAATTTAAACTCAGGAAATCTTACTTCAGCTCTATGCCCTCATTAGTACTAATACCATATTTCTTTATTCGAATGTCTACTGGTAATTTATCTTTAAAATCAAAGAAACTTCTCCCTGAACCAGTATTTTTAGAAGAAAAAAACATAAAGATGTAAATTTTGTTTGGTAAGAACTAGTTTCTATGAATCATCTAATGAATTAGTACTTCAATGACTTGCCAATATTTGTCCTTAACTCCCTTTCATAGGTTGGAGAAAGTATGGCTAACATAGATAATTTTACTGAGGTCAATTATGAATAATGAGGGTTGTTCATCTCTTCTACCCACGATTAAGATAAAGAAATGCCTAGAGAAAGACAGTCCTTTCAAGGACTTTGAAACGAGCAGCTTTTAGCCAAGACATACTAACGTGATGGCGCATTTCCTTGCATCAGTATTGTGTTATAACAGACTTGGCCATCTTATCAGAAAGCAAAAAGTATATAGCAAAACTTTACTTTTGTAAGTAAGGCATTGGGAAGAAACAGAAGATTCATTGACTGCATTTGTTTATATTGATTTTCTCAAAATCAGTTGTTTATTTTCAATGACGACGCCTCTACCGCCACCAGGTCAACAAAAACGTACTTGCTTTTGCATTTCCGGGACTCTAGCATTTCAGAGCAGGAATTAAAGGCCTTGCCAAGGCTTTTAAGCGATTGATGGAAACAAAACAAAACACAGAAGGATAAATTTTGAATTTGCTAAGACAAGAATTCGCACCAAGGCAGACATAAGACATGAGGATGTCTTCCTGACTTGCGTCCTTGGCTCGAATCGTTCTTATTAGCCCTTTTCAAAAGGCAGCTGTGACCTCCATTTCTGGCTAATCAGGCCACTTTTGTTCCCCCCGAGGCGTGGGAGGACAACAGTTAAGCCCTAACAGCCTGCGAAGCAGCTCCTCGACGAACGGCGGCGTCCCCGTCGCCTGGGCAGTGGGTGTGGGAGGTGACAGCCTAGTCCTGAGCCTCTGGAGCGGGCCTATACTGCACCGCCGTACGTGAATTTCAGGAGCGCGCAATGCCGCCACCTGGGAAGGGTGCAGCGAGGCTGACCTGAGTTTGCCCGCCGGGGTGGACGGCTCTCCGGGGCCCCCGGGGTCCCTGGGGCCCCTCCGTGCGCCGCCCCCTCCCGCGCAGCCCTGCACCCTGGCCCGTCGCGCCCGGTTCCGCGCCCTTCTAGGGGACCATGGCGACGGTACAGGCACGGACCTGCACCGCAAAACCCAAAGCAAAAGCAACTTGCCATGGCGGAGGGGAGACGCGCCCTCAGCGGCCGCAGAAAGCCCACAACCAGCGGAACGCAGGCGATGGGGAGAGGAGCGAGCAGGCAGGTTTTGGTTTCGTTTTTTGTTCCAGCTCCCTTGGAGGCTACGAAGAAAAGGGCGGTCCTTCCACCCGATCCGGCTGTTCTGCGACCTCGTGGCCTCTGAGTGGGAGCTCGGACTCAGGAGTGCTGTTGCCAGCGCCTGCCCAGACGCCCTCCGTAGTTTTGCAACTTGTGGAAGCACTCTGGAGAGAGGCCGAGAGGATTCCTCGACAGGAAATTTGGGAATTCTCTGGGTGATGCATCAGTGATTGCAATTTTGTTTTTACCCGTTTTGCTAAGCAGCAGCAACAACGGCAGAGTTGATTTAAAAAAAGAAAAAACGCAAAAAGGGAAAACACATAGTAGGTGGTGGCCGCTTCCTGTGTTGATACTGGGGGGCTACGCTTTTCCTAACATCAATCATCTCGTAGTTGCAGAGAGCCCTAGATGTCATGATAGTTTTGAATCGCATGCATTATCATGTAAGGGAGTTAAATATCTTGCATGCATGCTCTCTTCTGTGTTTATATATTCGATGCCATGAAATTGAAGGGCATGTGGCTAAAACCTTTTTACTACATGAAACTTTACAACACTTTTGAAAACATTTCAATTTGGTTGATGCGCACTGTAATATTTCTCCAGATAACTGTCCAAAATTTTCCATGGAGAAGGCTTTTATCCTCATTAGTTGCTGGCCTCAAACTAACCATCTAGGATATTAAACTTCTGCCAGAATTTTACATCCAGCTACCTTTACTTTTTAGAACGTATTCTCTATCATGTTATTGATATCAATTTCTACTTCACACAGATGGTTTTTTACAACAGCAAATCAAGTTTTTCTAACATCAGTTTTAAAAAGCCCTGCACTCAGTGAAATCTGGATGTCTTTCCTACGCCCTTATTATCTGTCCAGACTTCTTCCCCTTCCCCCACCGCTCACCTGGGCCTTTTCCTCTGCACAACCTACCCCAGTTCCCCAACCCCCACCTCAACCCCCAACGCCGTGTTGGTCACCTTCCCAGCCCAGACCAGGAGCCCTCTTGGACCTCTGCCGGGTGCTAAGGACACAGGATGAGAGCGCCAGGTCCCTGCCAGCAGAGAGCTCACCACCTTGTCCATGCCTTAGCACAGGAACCCCGAATGGCGCCTGTGGGGACACAGGGAATCTCTGGACAAACTTCAAAATCAAATCAATGAATGCATGAAGAACAAAGGTAGATGGCTAGCAGATATGAAGAAACCCAATCCCACTCCTAAGAAATGTAAATTGAAATAATAAGATACCATTTTTCACAACTAGATCTGCAAAACCAGAAAGTGTTAGCCTGAATGTAAGCATCAGAGTTGCTGCAAGCATAGATGGATGCAAATACTTCTAAAGATTTTTATCAAAATGTAAAGTGCAAAAAAATGTAAAATGCACATATTCTTAGTCTCAGCAATTCTACTTTTAGAACTGAACTTGAAGTTATAGTGCGCAAATGGCACTAAGATATTGTATAGAAATTTTAGTTGTACATTGCTTGAAATACAGGTAGTAATAATTTTTTTATAAACTGGGATCCACCTAGTTTATCATTGGATGGAGCTATTTGTTATACGGCTGATGATATATCAGTAAGGCACAAGGCTATGAAGATTTTAAAACAGAATGAGGTAGGGGGAAGTGGCTCCCGCCTGTATTCCCAGAACTTTGGGAGGCCAAGGTGGGCGGATCATTTTGAGCTCAGGAATTCAAGACCAGCTTGAGCAACATGGTGAAACCCGTCTGTACTAAAAATACAAAAATTAGCCGGGCGTGGTGGCACACACCTGTAATCTCAGCTACTCGGGAGGCTGAGGCTAGAGAATCGCTTGAACCCGGGAGGCAGAGTGAGCCAAGATCACACCACTGCACTCCAGCCTGGGCGAGAGAACAAGACTCTATCTCAAGAAGGAAAAAAAAAAAAAACAGCATGAGGTAGATCTGTATGTAATTCCCCAATTTATATTTTATCTCCAGATTTATATATCTAAGTGCCCACTTGAATGTCAAACAAGCATCTGAAATTTAACAAGTAGAACTCCAGAGCAAGACTCTGTCTCAAGAAAAAAAAAAAAAAACAGAATGAGGTACATCTGTATGTAATTCCCCAATTTATATTTTATCTCCAGATTTTATATATCTAAGTGCCTACTTGAATGTCAAACAAGCATCTGAATTTAACAAGGAGAACCCTTCTTCTCCCCTTCTTAATTCCCTCTCAAGAATTGGCAGCACTGTCTACCCATGAGCTCAAGCTCATGACCCAGTTCTTGATTTCTCTTTTCCTCATCCTTCTTAGTATACCCCAACAATGGGCCTTCCAGAGGGACCCAGTATCAGTCCCTCTTTCCAGCTGCATCCCTACCATCCTCATCCAGTCTCCATCCTCTCTAGCTCCTCAGTCCATTCTTGCTACCATACCCAGAAGGATCTTTTTAAAATGTAAATCAGATTCGACTTCTGTTTAAACACATCATTGTTTGCATTGCTTTCACCTGAGCCACAATGACCTTGATCCTTTTTTTTCTGGCCAGATCTCCTACCACTGCCCTGACCCTCTGCTGCAATCGCAACAAGCTATCAGCCTGGGAGTTTTGCCTGACCTATGTACTGTGTCCCTGCCTCAATAGCTCCGCCCTGATCTTCACTTGACTGGCTCCTGCTGTCACTTGGGTCTTAGCTACAATAATGTTAAAGCCGAAAGACTGAGGGTCGTGATCAACTCAGTATACCACTGGAGGCTGTATGGGTAAACAGCAAACTGTTCTCATAAATGCAGAATGTTGGCAAACTGACAAACTGAGTATGCCACCCAGAAGGAATGCTGAGGGCAGTCATGCCCCTCGATCTTTCAGCCTCCAACACAATAACCTCTCTTCAGAAAGACTAGCTCTAATCACCCAGTCTATCTTCCTACTTAATCATTCCATCACCCCGTTATACCATCTTAATAGCCCTGGCCTCTTTCTGAAAATATCTTTATATGTTTGTTTATATTGAATGTCTTTCTTGCTTTCCCCAACTCATAACTGAAGTCTCCATTCTCTCCAGAAAATGATGAGAGGTCTAGGATTAGAGTTGGGAATCCAGGTCAACCTATCTGTGCCATCGAACATGACCTACAGTAACCTTTAATCATATATATGCCAAACTATTCCAACACCCTTGAAGAAAGAGGACTCCAAATGTGGCAAAATTATTTTAGCAGCATATTACTAACTAAAACTGCATTCAAGAAAATCTTTTAACATCTTATAGCCCCAATTATAAGGCCTCTTGCCTCACTGTACTTTTCTGTCTTGAAGCTTTAATAAAATCAAATTGGAGGGCCGGGCGCAGTGGTTCATGCCTGTAATCCCAGCACTTTGGGAGGCCGAGGCAGGCGGATCACGAGGTCAGGAGATGGAGACCATCCTGGGTAACAAGGTGAAACCCCGTCTCTACTAAAAATACAAAAAAATCAGCCGGGCGTGGTGGCTTGCCCCTGTAGTCCCAGCTACTCAGGAGGCTGAGGCAGAAGAATCGCTTGAACCCGGGAGATGGAGGTTGCAGTGAGTTGAGACTGTGCCACTGCACTCCAGCCTGCGTGACAGAGCGAGACTCCATCTCTAAAGAAAGAAAGAAATAAAATCAACATTTTCCTGAACGTTTTTCATTTGTGACACCAAAAAACTAAAGCAAAACCCATTACAGGATGTTTCACCCGTATCTTGGTAATTACTTATTTTCATAAAACCCTGGGATGTGTTATGAAAATTTCCAAAAATAGAATAAAGAAAACATGTTTAGATAAGTAGTATTCAGTGCTGAAATGGAGCAATGAGATAGTGCTTGGTTACACTGTTAATGAAAGTACAAACCAATGCCTACCTTTCTAGTAAGCAATTCTGGCCTCACTTAACAAGATCCTTAAAAGAGTTTTTCGTCCTTCTGCCTTTCAACCTAGCAATTATCACCTTGAAGTAAGGTCAGAACTGCAGAAAATGTCTTATGTACCAAGACATATAAGGACTTACGTACATCAGAATATTTATAAGTGTGAAGAAATTAGAAGCAACCTTATTCCCAACAATAAGGAAGTGACAAATAGCATAGGGTATATGGGTATATTTACAGCATTAAATGTGATGTGGTTAGAAGGAAAAAAAGAATAGAAAAGAGAACACAAAAATATTTACCATTATCTCTGGATGTGTACTTTTGGTGATTTTTATTATCTCCATAATACTATGTGTATTTTTCAAGATTGAGCATCTTTTCTTTTTTAATACCAAGCAGGTATCATTAATGCTATTTCCCATACAGTTTTGGCTTTCTGCCTTCCAACCATATGGTAAGAATGAACATCCAGGCTCCTTTATGGTTGGGTAGGTCCATATGCTTAGTTCTGAGTTGTGAGTGGAAGTGACAAGTATCATTTCTGGGCCAAAAATTTAATTACCAGTTAAAGACCCTTCAAAGCTCTTTTCTTCCTCTGGCATAACATCTAGCAATAGTAAAGATGGTGGCTGCCATGAGTTTGGGTCCCTAAGTGTTTACCATGAGCAGAGCTCTTTTTGTTGAACCATCAATGGCCATGTAGCTTGAGGAAGGAATAAATGTGTGTTGCTTTAAGTCTCTGAAATTTAAAAAGATTTAAAATTTAAAAATTTTAAATTTAAAAATTTTTCACATCAGCATCACATAGCCTATTCTGATTGATACAGAAATTGGTATTCTGAAATGGAGTACTGCTATGGCCAAAAAAAAAACCACACAATCCAAACACTACTTGAAATACATGACTTTGGCTTAGAGGCCAAGTGGCAGATAAGAAGAAAATAGTTATCAGAGATTAGAAGGATGGTGACCCACATTATGCAGTATAAAAGTACTTTGTAAAACTGTCATGTGATAGCTTGGAAAGCAAATAATGTACCTAATTAGCTTGTGGTTTTGGGGTTGTTATTTTTTAAGTATGGGAAGCAGAAAGTTATTAGCATTTTTCTGTTATCATTGAGTGCATTTAACAAATAATATAAGAAAGAAATGACTTTAGAAAAGAACTGGCCAGTTTGAAAGCAGGAATGAAAGGGAATAGAGAAAGTCCAGAAATATGAACTTCCAACTTATGGGGCTGGAAGAAACATTTCTCATTCCCAAATAATAAACAATAAAACCAAGAAGCCTGTTGAGTAACAAAGATTGATTAGAACTCCGGTTTATCGCGGGGATCAAATCAAGGTGTAAATCTCTAAATAGATTAGGATCCCTCAGAGCGAAAACACCAATTAAGGTTGTGGAATACAATAAACCCTTTCAACTGGACAAAATAGCTCAAGGAAATGAAAGCAAAAGTGTGGCCTGATAGACCCAAAGTATCTATAATTAAATGAGGAGAGTGAAAGAAGCATGAGGCTAAGAAAGCAGAGAACAGTAGCAACTCTAAAAAGTAAGTCTAGAAAAGAACTGTGGATGTGTAAGCTTACCAGAATAAAATAGACAAGATGCCTATTGAGTTTTTCCATTTTACCAGCTAAATAACCACCACTCCAGACTAAAGAGACCATGACTGTTCAAAACTTTATAACTTTGGTCACAAACATTGACCATAGGAAGTGCACTAGGGAAGCTTTTCAGATTCCAAGAGATTTCAAATGCCCATTCTAGATATGGCCAAGAAGAATAATGGAAAAAGAAGAGTGTTCAACTGGGAGGCGGAGGTTGCAGTGAGCTGAGATCGCACCACTGCACTCCAGTGTGGGCGATAGAGTGAGAATCCGTGTCAAAAAAAAAAAGAAGAAGAAGAATGTTCAAGAGCCATAAGGACAATGAGCAAGAGAATTCTTAGAGAATGGAATCAGGGCCTAATCCAAATTCCACACCCTGGGAGTATGGAGCACACATCTACTGAATGGGATTTCAGAATTGCTTTGGCCCAGTGACGGCTATGTGTCTCCCATTCTTTCCCTTTCCAAGTGTAAGAGTTTATTGCACTCATCTTATTCCAGTTCCGCTACTCTATATTGGATGTGTGAGGGTCTCTGCATAAAGAGGAGTAACATTCAGACCTGATGTAGAGCACTTTGAATTCATGCACTTTGAGTTTAATATCATGATTGGATAGAATTTCTTGTTTTTCTCCCTTAAGGATGAGATGACTACGAGTGTATTTTGTGTGAGAAGACAAATGAACTAAATATTGGTGGTAAGACAGGTAGGCTATGCTGGTTATTATTCTGGCTCAGCGATATCTGTTTCTCCTAACTTTTGATAAGACAGAATTTCCTAGTCCCCATATATATATTTGGATTTAAAATAGAGATATATAAGCATTTATATATATACATGTATTTAGATTTTAAATAGAGATGGGGTCTCACTGTGTTGGCCAGGCTGGTCTCAAACTCCTGGCCTCAAGTGATCCTCCTATTTTGGCCTCCCAAAGTGCTGGGATTACATGGATGAGCCACCATGCCCAGCCCAAGTCCCTTCTATTTGAATAGGGCCATGTGACTATTTCTGACCAATGAGATGTGAGAAGAAATGACAAGAATCACTTCTGGGTCACAGCATTTAATTGCTGATACAAGACTTTCCAGATTTCACATTTCCTCCCCCTCCTCCACCCTCCATGATTCTTGTCTCAAGAATGGAGTCTCTAAGTGATGAGGATAAACAGAGTCCCCCTGCCAACCTGTGCTGGATAATCAGCATGGGTAAGAATTGTTTAGGCCCATGAGGTTTGGCAGGTTGTTTGTTACTGTGGCATTACCTAGCCTGTGCTGCCTGATAAATCAACAAACAGCAAGAGGAACTTGTAATTCCACATATGTATCTATATGACTTATCATATTGGCAATGTCTGGAGTTAGCTCATCTTGGACATACATATGAAGGCCCCTTTCTTAATATTCAATATATTAAACAGTCAATATGTACTTTTGATAAGTTTTCAAAGACAGCTGTCCTTCTGTAAGATCCCTAAAACTCTAGGAATAAGCAGGAGAGCCAATACTTGTTTTCTGACATCCAGCCAGACTGCTCTTGGGTGAGGGTGAAAGGAATCCAAAAGAAAAGTATAATTTTCTAAGCTAGAAATATTTATAAAAAAACACATAGGAAAATTTAGAATTGAATTATCAATTTTACTGCCTGAAGAGGACCCCCCAAAATACAAAAGTGACTATTTCAACTTTGTCCTAAATAAATATTAACATAAAATTCTTCCTGATAGGCAATCTGCCACAGACTATCAACAATACCTTCTGTGCCAGTGAGACTGGCAAAATGGAAATTAAAAAGCTACTTTAAAGTTTTCTTCTTAATATTTTTGAGAGCTTTAAATAGTCATTCTATTTTAAAAAGAATAATAGACACGAGAGATTTGTTTAAATGGTAAATATGAAGATTTATCATAAACTGTAGTTTTTAGGCACCATCTCTCATTCTTTAAAGAAAGGTGAAAATGAGAACTCCTGAGAGTAATGTAACTTTAAAAACTAAAAATAAAATATCAGAAGCAAAACTCGAGCTTTTCCTTTTGTTTGTTTTAGATGCCAGGCAGCATTCAATAGGTTTAGAACCTTTTCTAAAAGCCTTTCATTCTGCCAGCATTTTAATATGAATTTAATTCTGCTGCCAGTTCTTCATGAAACCTACCATGTCAGAATAGAAGTTGTCCAAAGGTTTTTTTTCTATTTTTCTTTTTTTTTTTTTTTTTTTGAGACAGAGTCTCACTGCAACACCCAGGCTGGAGTGCAATGGCACGATCTCAGCTCACTGCAACCTCCGCCTCCCAGGTTCAAGCAATTCTGCCTCAGCCTCCCAAGTAGCTGGGATTACAGGCGCCCACCACCATGCCCGGCTAATTTTTGTATTTTTAGTAGAGATAGGGTTTCACCATGTTGGCCAGGCTGGTTTCGAACTCCTGACCTCAAGTGATCCGCCCACCTCAGCCTCCCAAAGTGCTGGTGGCGTGAGCCACCGCAACCGGCCTAAAGGTTCTTTACCAAAAAGACTTTTACCTTCTCTGAATAGGAATCTTTAATTTTATCATTAAAGTTTCTGCAAGTTAAAAACAGTGAGATGCTAGTAAACTGGGTCTCTTTCCAACTAAACTTAAACCCTTGGAGGGCAGGTACTGTGTTTTTACCTCCAGTCATTCCCCAGCATCGAGCATGATAAGTGATGAGTCACTAACTTTGTATTTACCTCTCTCTCCATGCCAAGGTTTTCAAACTCTTATACCAATTGTTTCCATTGTAAGTGCAAAAGAAAGAAAAAGCTAGTCCTTTACGAGCTCTATTTGGAGAGGGGATGGCTTGGAAGGAATCAAGGGACACTTGGCACTTGGGTGAACAGAAATTCAAGAAAAAGATCACACTCAGCTCTGAGAACCTTTAGAGTTGTGGAGTGAAATGCTATGCACAGTGGTAAATGGTTGCTCTTGAAGTCCTTCGAATCTTCAGTTGAGTTTACAGGAATCACCAACTGCTGAATGTAACTGCCTTTGTTTTGGAAAATGTTAAGAGTCAAGTCTGCATATTGGTGGGCATGGGGCCACAACTGAATTGGCCCACAAGACCATAACAGGATGAGCCAGCACTGGCAGGGGACATCTGAATCACTTAAGGTTGATTTCAGCAGACATGGCACCAATACACATAATCTATAAACAAAACTTTTTATTACAGTGCACTTATTGTAGTTGAAAACATGCAGCACCATTTGAAACAAAGAAGATTCAGAAACATGGAAATAAGTTTTGTATCTAAACATAAATGGATGGTAAAAATTAAAGTTTTCATTTTTTAAGGAAAAGCATATTCATTTTTGTCAAACATTTACAGTAATCCGGGTTAAAAAGCTATAGTTTTCATGATTCTGTTAAGTCTATTCTTCAAAGTATGCTATGTGAGGTTGACCTAGAGAACACTTGACCACATCTACTTCTCCACCTCCATTCTTTGCCCGTTGAAAGTGAATGTTAATTAAATCCTCCACAATTTCTTCATCCATTTGAATGCCTTCCATTCCTGTCAGAAGCACTGTCCTCTTAGATGTTCCTGAAAATATCTAAGAAGGAAAAAATGATAAATAGAAAGATTTCTAAGAGCTTTGAATTACAAAACTTTACATTCATAATCTCTGCTTAATATTTTTTATTTTATCTTAGAAGAGACAAGAAATCTTAGGAAGATTTTCCAAGCAAGAGAATATCCAAGTCAGATCTGAGTTTTAGAAAGAGAACTCTGGTGGCATTATGGAACACAGAGGAAAGGAGGGATGCTCTGGGAACAGAAAGACCAGGTAAAGAGGTAGTCAGAAGTGGAGCTGGCAAGATTTAGTGACCAAATGAATGTTGGAGGTGAAGCAAACTGAAGAGTTAAGTATGAGTTCTAGCTTTTAAGTTGGTGGAGTAGGTAGATGGTGGTACCATTGGATACCTGAGAAGGAAGAGGAAAAGGGAGCAGGTCTGGGGTAAAGATAATGAGTTCAGAGAAAGTAGGCAGGAATTCTTTCTCATGCTCACTGACAGTAGACATATGAGAGAAATGCAACTATGTCTCCATGTACAAAAATAAAAATTGTGCCATTATCTGAGTAATTTCAGTTTTAAAAATTGTATAATAAAGTACAGTTTTGCATTAAAATGCTCCTTCAAAAGACAAACTCATTTTGCACCAAGCAAAAATGAAGTAAAGAAACCATTTTGCTATCCCTCATTGATAAGATGCATAAGTAACAGACTCACAACAACTTTATTTTTTGTGGGGTGGGTTTGGGCAGTGAGTTCTGAAAATGAGAGAACAGAGATGACTTTACCTGATACTTTTTCAAGTGTATTTCTGTGTATGGAGAAACAGTAACTCTATGGCAGGTTTGATTTATATAAAGAGGGTATTCTTTCTTTTTCAAAATCTTGTCAGCCACTAAAAGCAAAACAAAAACAATACTTGTCTTTTTTATATCATAAGCATTTTTAACCAAAGTTAAAACTTCCTTCAAAGAGAACACTATTACAGTAAATATTGAGTTAAAAGATTAATTTTTAAGAAATTCTAAAGCCCACTTTGAAGACTTCACAGTACATAATTTTGAAAACTACAAGACCAAACAATAATGAGGTTTAAAGCCTTCATTCCATCTTGAATTATTCACTGCAGTCAATCAATGCACAAAGGGTTGCAATGTCCTCAGACAGATCTACTTTGAGCTATAAAAAATACCATAGTCTTTTGCAGAAAGTAACCCACTCATCTAACAAGACTGGACTGTTTCCCAGTTTCTCAAAAGCTGTAAGTGAAAACTATGATTAGAATACTATATACATTTTTTTCAATATATTCAATAAACTGAAGTAATGATGTTAACCAAAGCAGGGAGGGGATTGAATGTCATCTAGAAAAACTGAAAGGAAATAAAAATTCATCAGTTTTCTACAACACAAAGAATAGTCTATTTTTTAGCAGTATTTTTTTCTCCTAGAGTGGTGAAAGGATGTGTGTCAAGACTGTAACATTTAACAAAAACAGTTCTTGGGAATATACAACCATGTTTTTTATGACTCTTCTCACTCATCTACCTTGGATCAGCAATATGGTACAATGATTAAGAGTGTAGGCCCTCATTGGCGAGAATATGGAGAAATTGAAACCCTGAGGCAATGCTGATAGAAATGTAAAATGGTACAGCCACTGTAGAAAACAGTATGACAGTTCCCCAAAATATTAAAATAGAACATGATATGATCCAGCAATTCAACTTCTGGGTATATACCCGAAACAACTGAAAGCAGGGACTCGGACAGATACTTGCTCGTTAATGCTCAGAGCAGTATTTTTCACAATAGGCAAAAGGTGGAAGCAACCCAAGCATCCACCAACAGATGAACAGATCAACAAAATGGATATATAAAATACACACACACACAGAGAATATTATTCAGCCTTTAAAAAGGATGAAATTCTGATACATACCACAACATGGATGGACCCTGATAACATTATGCTAACCAAAATAAGACAGACAGGAAAAGGACAAATATTGTATAATTCCACTTGAATGAGGTACCTAGAATAGGCAAATTCATAGAGACAGAAAGTAGAATGATGGTTACCAGGGGCTGGAAGAAGAGGTAATGGAGAATTATTGTTAAATGGGTACAGAGTTTCAGTTTGGGGTGATTAAAAAGTTCTAGAGATGGATAGTGGTGATGGTTGTACAACATTGTGAATGTACTTAGTACCCTTGAATTGTACATTTAAAAATTGTTAAAATGGTAAATTTTATGTTATATATATTTTATCACAGTTAAAAAAAAAAAAAAGAGTACAGGTCCTGAGTCAAATAGACCAGCTTCAGTCCTAGCTCTGCTACTTATGAGCTATGTGGCCTTGGATATGTTGCTTGACTTCTTAAAGCCTCAGTTTCTTTTTCTGTAAAATAAGCATAATTACAGTACCTACCCTGTAGATTATTGTGATGAGTCAGTAAGACACAGTTTATGAAGTATCTGGCATATTTATCTCCAGAATACCTTCACATCCTTCAGTAGTTACCTGCTGGATAACCTATAACCTGCAGAAGTATTTTTCCCATCTGGCTAGATGTAACCTCTAGGAGAACATCCCCAGATGGCCCAAGGACACAGGTTCCAAAGCTAGTATTATCTCTCACAGTAGAGTTATAAATTGCATTCTAGTTTATTTTATTTTATTTATTTTATTTCGGTTTTTTTGAGACCGAGTCTCACTCTGTCACCCAGGCTGGAGTGCAGTGATGCAATCTCAGCTCCCTGCAACCTCCACCCCCCAGGTTCAAGCAATTCTCCTGCCTCAGCCTCCCAAGTAGTTGGGACTATAGGCGTGAGCCAGCACATCCGCTAATTTTTGTATTTTTGGTGGAGAAGGGGTCTCGCGATGTTGGCCAGGCTGGTCTTGAACTCCTGGCCTCAAGTGATCCACCCGCCTCCGCCTCCCAAAGTGCTGGGATTATAGGCATGAGCCACTGCGCCTGGCCAGATTTTTTAAAATCCAAGATATAGACAAACTAACACCAAACAGGCTAAATGAATATATGAATTTGGCAAATTAAAATCTGGATGCTTGACTATGGAAGTTTCCACCAAGTTATTGTTCATTTCCAAGACAACATATTACTGTAGCCCTCAAGACCCCTTCCTTTTATAGCTCTCCCTGACACATCCCACCAGGATGTCCTAAACATCATCCAAAAGCTCAGGTCAAAAATGCATATTGGGCCAGGAGCGGCGGCTCATGCTTGTAATCCCAGCACTTTGGGAAGCCAAGGCGGGCGTATCACTTGAAGTCAGGAGTTCGAGACCAACCTGACCAACATGGTGAAACCCCGTCTCTACCAAAAATACAAAAATTAGTCAGGCATGGTGGCATGCACTTGTAATTCCAGCTACTCGGGAGGCTGAGGTGGGAGAATTGCTTGAACCCGGGAAGCGGAGGTTGCAGTGAGCTGAGATAGTGCCACTGCACTCCAGCCCGGGCGACAGAGCAAGACTCTGTCTCACAAAAAAAAAAAAAAAAAAAAAAAAAAAAAGGATATTGACATGTTTTAATGTGCCCAGAGAAAAGCCTGGAAAGACACCCAAATAACCATAACTAACTAAATAGTAGGAGAAAGGGAAGTTTGAGGAAATGTCTCTTTTTGTTTTTTTTTGAGACGGAGTCTCACTCTGTCGCCCAAGCTGGAGTGCAGTGGCGTAGTCTCGGCTCACTGCAACCTCCACCTCCTGGGTTCAAGCTATTCTCCTGCCTGAGCCCCCCGAGTAGCTGGGATTACAGGCATGCGCCACCACACCTGGCTAATTTTTTTGTATTTTTAGTAGAGACGGGGTTTCACCATGTTAGTCAGGCTGGTCTCGAACTCCTCACCTCATGATCTGCCTGCCTCGGCCTCCCAAAGTGCTGGGATTACAGGCATGAGCCACCGGGCCCGGCCGAAATGTCTCATTTTTACTAAATGTTTGCTCTTCTGTATTATTTCACCTTCCTTAAAAAAGCATGTATTACTTTGTCATGAAAAAATCTAATCCATCAATTTTTTTTTTTAATTTTGTTTTTTGAGACAGGGTCTCACTCTGTCTCCCAGGCTGTAGTGCAGTGGTGCAATCACAGGTCACTGCAGCCTCAACCTCCTGGCCTCAAGTAATCCTCCCACCTCAGCCTCCTGAGTAGCTGGGACCACAGGCACGCACCACTATGCCTGGTGATCTCAGCTCACTGCAACCTCCACCTCCTGGGTTCAAGTGATTCTCCCTGCCTCAGCCTCCCAAGTAGCTGGGATTACAGGCACTTGCCACCATGCCTGGCTAATTTTTGTATTTTTAGTAGAGATGGGGTTTCGCCATGTTGGACAGGCTGGTCTTGAACTCCTGACCTCAAGTGATCCGCCTGCCTCCGCCTCCCAAAGTGCTGGGATTACAGGGGTGAGCCACTGCACCCTGCCTATTTGTAGCAATATTATCTTTCCTAGTACTGTCCCTGGAAATAATTTCCTACACTCTACTATTTTATAAGGTTTTTTAAAATCCCCAATTATCATGCTAATACATTCCAAATAAAAGAAGTAGAATAGGAATACTTTCAGAAACAACAGAACATGACTGAAATGGCAGAGTGTCTGTTAACCTTCTACACCCTTGAGTACCTCCAATCTCCACAAACGTGATGACTGCACTCCCGGACTGTCTGTCATAGTCCACGCGGTCCACCTCTCCGCCTCCATTTCGGGACTTTGAAAAGCTCAGCTCTAGTTTGTCTCTCATTTGATCTTCACGCAATGTGTCAGGAATTTCAGTAACATTGATTTTCATTTTAGAAACTTCTACATAAACCTGGAAAATGATTTGATGTTCAGAAATATGGATGAGAGAAGTGCTTGTGATGAACAGAAATCCAAAAAATTTTAATCATCCTGTTACCTGGAATCTGACTCCTGAATTTAATGGAACTGGCTTGGCCGTAACCTCCAGATTTACATCTTTTATCTGTACATGATGTTTACTCATGCTTACCACATTTTGAGCAACTGAAAAATAATTCAGGAAGGAAGTATTAATTTCCAATATTTTAAGAATTGTTATGCTTTTGGTTTAAGAACAAATTATCCTGAATATTTTTAATTTTCTTTAATATTAAAGGGTCTAATTTTAAAAATTTGGCGGGCGGTGATTCCAAGTGATAATGGTCTTGCTACCAAAGTAGAATATATAATTTGGGGGGTCAGGGGGAAGGAGGACCAGATCTCATTCTGTCACTGAAGCTGGAATGCAGTGATGTGATCATAGCTCACTGTAACCTCAAACTCCTGGGCTCAAGAGATCCTCCCACCTCAGCTTCCAGAATAGCTATGATTACAGGTGCATGCCACCACGCCTAGCTAATTTTTTTAACTTTTTGTAGAGACGAGCTCTCACTTTGTTACCCAGGCTGCTCTGGAACTCCTGGACTCAAGCAATCCTCCTGCATCGGACTCCCAGACAAAGTTCTGGTATTATCAGGATGAGCCACTGCTCTTGGTCCCAAAGTAGAATATATTAATGTCAAAGTATATCAGCAAAATCACAATGTAGAAGTTCTCAAGTTCTAGATTCTTCTCATAAGATGAATCTTTTCTCTTATCTCTTAAGAGATAAGCCTAACAATCTTCCAGAATTCATATATTACTTCAGCTCAGCCACATACCCTTCCTTCCACTATTAACAATTACCAGAGGATTCCCCTAGTACATTAATGCACAGCCAGAAAGTGTCCCATGTTCAGTAAGCTGGGAAAACTTTCATGGCTAAGTGTCATTTGTACAATTAGTCTTGATTTTACTTAACCTTATCATTTGTTACTCCTTAATATGTTACAAGCACTAGAGCAATATATATTCATTTGCTCTGTCTTCTCAAGGATTACATGTTAAAGACTACATAGGCTGGAACATCAAAGAGTGAGTCTTTTTTTTGGTCATACTTAATGACGAATTCCACTTTTGCAAAAATGCTCTTGAAATCATTCTTTAAAAAGTTGATAGTCCTGCTATATTGATCACAAAGCTGTCAAGTCTAATTTACCTGTGCAAATGGGAGAGGTTTAGTAAAATGCTAAAAATCACTAGCACTCCAAAAGGCAACTCTATGTCAATTAAAAATGTGAGTGGGCATTTATTTTTAATTGTGTGGCATGAGTTTATAATACTGCAGTTGTTGATATTTGGGGCTGCTATTCCAATGTATCATGAAAATAAGTGACATTCACTCTCTGTCTTATAAAACTTCACATGTGTTTATGACAACCAGACCAGATGGCACCACACCACAGCTGGAGGAAGAGAAAAAAGGGCCAGAAGGCAGGGCCTTGGCCATGTGGGAATTCAACTCACTGTACCAAAATATGACTCTATAACTTGGATGATGGTTTTTTGTTTTTTTGTGTTTTTGTGTTTTTTTGCTAATGACAACAGACAATAACAGAAAATATCAATGAGTAATACTCAGATGATCCTCTTTCCCTCCCACTCTTCCACAAACCCCCAACATCTGGTGATCTGATACAGCTGAGAGGGACCGCTTGTGTCTCAATTGTTGTGACTCTGACAATCAAGAGCCAACTCCTACTTAATTGTGTTTCAAACCTACTGCTGTCCCAGGAGATTGGGAGCTCAGAGCCACGTCAAGCGTAGAAGCAATGATGTAGGTGCTTTTAGAGAATTCCATTTCCAACATTCCCAGGAAATTGCTGTGCAGAAATCCTGCCTCCCAAATCCTCATTTATATCTATCTTTTAGTTATATCCCGATTACCAGTCGCCAGTATGAGTCCTGGACTCCTCTTCTACCTGTAGCAGTAGCTCCAGGGTGAAGGAAAACACACTGGCGATGCATGTCTTCTACGCACAGATACTGTCCTGCTGGAATGCCTTTCAACATTTATTTTCAGGCTACAGTGGTGCACCAGTTTTGAGGAAACATGGGTTATAGACTGTCAGAATATGAGCACTGGAAGGGCTGGGAACACCATCTGGTCCCTCACCACATAACTTAAATAAAAGAACAAAGGCCTGGGCTGGTGGCCTACCGAGAGAAATATTGGCCCAGTGGAAGTACATGGACTCTCAGGGTTTGGCTCTAAGCTCTGCAACTAACCGTATAGACTTTAAGCAAGTTAATTATCTTCTTTAAGCTTCTGTATCCTTATCTGAAAAATTTCTAACATGTAGCAAAAACTAACATCCATTAAGTTTGTATTAAGTGTCCAACATTGTGCTAAGTATTTTATCAACATTTCTCATTTAATACTCAAAGCAGCCTCATGAAGTAGGTACTACCATGAAGCACCTGTATAAAACCCTGAGGTTTATAAAGAACCTATCCCAAATCATGCTTCTAGGAAGGGACAAGGCTGGCACTCAAAGCCAGATCCTCCCCACTCAGGAACCCCCAGCTCTGAACAGGGGCCCTCACCATGGCAGACTTAGCAAACATTAGGTTTCATTCCAAATCTCTAGCTCCCAGGCTCTTCTCATTCGTTGGCTATGTTCCCTTAGGTAAATCACTTAAACATCCTCAGAATCTGTTTTCTTGGCTCTGGCATGTCTATATTTAAAGTACACAATAATAACTATCCTATCCTCCTATATTTATGGAATTGTGTGAGTATAAAATGTGATAATGTCTCTGAGAACTGTACAGCTCTACTACCTTGAAATATTACTATCATTATTTGGAGGTAGCATGTGGAGTAGAAAGAGGCTGGTATTGGACATCATCATAGCACCTGGATTAAGTCCCACAGTCATGGCTTTCTGAATACAAGATCATATTCAAGGCACTTGTCTCAGAGTCAGTTTTCTCATCTGTAAAATGGGAATAATCATACCTGCCTCAGAACGTCACTATGAGGATAAGAAATAATATAAGTGAAGTAATATTAGCGAAGTAATAGCTAAATGTCTATGAAAGTGCTTTCCAAATAACATGGTCATATTTTTTAACATTAGTCATACCTTCTTCTTTTTCAAAGGTGATAAGTGCTTGTCCTTTTTGTATCTCATAAGGAACTTTCGAGCTCACTTGAAACGAACAGGAGATATTTGACAACTGGCTGTCATTCTCAGGAGTTTCAACTGATAAGAATTTCATCTTTGTTTCAGGAATATCCTCTTTAATCTAATCCAAATGAAAATGTTTGATTAAAATCAAGACGAGAAATAACTTAAGTCCTTCCAATGATAATGTAATTTGGTCATCCAATAATTCATTCCCCACTAATTTTAGAACCTTGTAGAATATTGAGTATGGTCTTATTTAACATTTTTAGTAATTGCTTTTTCCCATGTAAGTACTCAGTAATCAAATGCTGATCTTTTAATATCATTTCACAGATGAAATTAAAAATATATAATCCTCTCACTTTTTTCTAATCAATGTTTAAACTGTCAATATTGTATGGTGTTCAGTTCTAAAGCCTACATCATTCATGTGAATAAGGACTTTTTAAACAAGTGCCAATAATAGACTATCTCAAAAGGAAATCATTAGATAGTATGTTTAATTTTGCTGCAAAGTATGAAATATAGTGTTGGGTATAATATGGTATTTCAAATCCAGATAATTTCATCCAAAAAGAAAGACTCTAGAATTAGATAATTTTATTTATTTATTTATTTATTTTGAGACAGAGTCTCACTCTGTTGCCAGGCTGGAGTACAGTGGTGTGATCTCGGCTCACTGCAACCTCCACCTCCCGGGTTCAAACAATTCTCCTGCCTCAGTCTCCCGCGTAGCTGGAACTACAGGCATGCGCTACCACACCGAGCTAATTTCTGTATTTTGTATTTTTAGCAAAGACAGGGTTTCACCACGTTGGCCAGGATGGTCTCTTGACCTCATGATCTGCCTGCCTTGGTCTCCCAAAGCGCTGGGATTACAGGCGTGAGCCACCACACCTGGCCCAGAATTAGATGATGTTAAATTTATCAAATTTAAAAATTCCACCTTCCCCAACACCTGCCCATCAACTTTTTAACCATTACCACAACTTAGGTTTATAAAAAATGAGAAGGGACAGTATCAACAGAAATTGTAAGCTGAGGCTACACAGGTGGCTCACACTCGTAATCCCAGCACTTTGGGAGGCCAAAGCAGGCAGATCACCTGAGGTCAGGAGTTTGAGACCAGCCTGGCCAACATGGTAAAACCCATCTCTACTAAAAATACAAAAATTAGCTGGGCGTGGTGGCAAACGCCTGTAATCCTGGCTATTCAGGAGGCTGAGGCAGGAGAATCGCTTGAACCAGGGAGGCGGATGTTGTAGTGAACCGAGATCGCACCATTGCATTCCAGCCTGGGCAACAAGAACAAAACTCTGTTTCAAAAAAAAAAATTGTAACCTGAAAGATAAAGGTAGGTGGTTATACTTAGCTGCTTAGAATTATTGGGATTAACAGATTCATATAACTACACATAAATGCACAAATGAGATAGATGCTTGCATTTCTATTGCCCATGGTTATTTTACATGCTGAAAATAACACAGAGATTAGAAATATTCAGTGAGTCATTCAATTTAATCTTACATTTATTCTTTGCCTTTATGCATAACTCCAGTGGAACTTCTGATTACGGTAAGGCTGACATCAAAACAGTCTACAATGTCTGAGTAAAGGCAGAGTGTTACCCAATAATGCAGAAATACCCAGTATATGCTGAGGAGCAAGGGCTTTCTGAAATTAGAGTGAGAAAGCTTGATTCTATTTCTGACCACACTGCGACAGACAGCAAATTTACTTAAGCTCTCTGATCACAGGTTTGGTCCTCTGCAAAGTGGGTCGACTAGGGCTGGCCGGTTTCTAAAGGCTCTTTGAGTTATAAGACTGCATGATTCTAGCTCCAGTCTGAGAAGTAACCAGAATCTTAACAGAGTCTTCTGCACAAAGTCACCCATCTCATAAACACAGAAAACCTCACTTCCTGATATTCAATATCCTATCTCCCACTTCAGAAACAAGAAGTGTCAATGCTTTAATTTTTTTTTTTTTAGGCGGCGCCTCGCTCTGTCGCCCAGGCTGGAGCACAGTGGTGTGATCTCAGCTCATCGCGACCTCCGCCTCCCAGGTTCAAGCAATTCTCTGCCTCAGCCTCCCAAGTAGCTGGGATACAGGCACCCGCCACCATGCCTGGCTAATTTTTCTTTTTTAGTAGAGACAGGGTTTCACCATCTTAGCCAGGCTGGTCGTGAATTCCTGACCCCATGATCCACCCGCCTCAGCCTCCCAAAGTGCTGGGATTACAGGCATGAGCCACCGCGCCCAGCCTCAATGCTTTAATTTTTTAACATCTGAGTTGTTAAGAAAAAAAATGGGTGAAAATTATGTACAATTAAAATACAGGAAAATTTAGGAGAGAATTTAAATGGTGAGGATTAATATATGTCCAATTTTTTGAACCGTGAAACTCATCTAAATTACCAAAGCACCTTGGATGAGAAGAATTATAAAAGAACTCAGTGAGAAAAGCCAGAATTTGATCCAACAGTAATTTGCTAATGACCATCTTTTTTTGGTAAATTTTATTAATTTTTTGTTTTTGTAAATTTATTAAAGTGTACGTAAATAATAGAAAAATGCATGTATCATTAAGTACAGCAAGATGAAATTTTACAAAGCTAACACACGTGATTGGCACGCAGATGATAGGCAGGACATGACAACACCCCAGAAACCCCCTTGGGTTCCCTTCTGGGTCTTACCTGCTTCCAAAATAACCACTGTTTTAACTTCAAACATCCTGCTTTTGCTTAATTTAAAGGGAAGCATATGGTATGCCCTCTTCTGTCTTTTTTGTGTTAACATTGTGTTTATGAAACTCATTTGTGTTGCTGCATGTCATTATGATCTGTTCATTCTCATTGCTGTGTAGTTTTCTATCATATGACTATACCCCAATTCACTAATTCGTTCTACTATGAAGGAATCATTGGGTTGTTTTCCATTTTGAACTATTACAAATGGTGGTGCCATGGATGATGATAAGGTTTTAAAAATGAATTTTGTGTAATTAAAATGCTTTTTCCAAAAACCATGCATCCATCAAAAATGTAGTATATAAAATAATTAAGAGAGTACCTGGAATTCTTTGGTAGCCTCTTGTAACTCCGTTTCAAGCTTTTGGATCTCCTTCTTTAGTTGAATATTTTTCTTTGTAATTTCATCAATTAGTCCCTTAAAAATATCAAATGGTACCAAAGAAAGTAAATAGCCCCTGAACTCATTTTTCCGAATGAACTAAAGACTATAAATTTCTCTCATCCTGACCAAAGAAAGACATTAGACAGTCTCAGAATAAATATGACTATGTGAATAATGCATTTGTTGAATATTTTACATCATCACCTGTCTATTCTAACATTGCCAAGTAGTACTATCTCCATTATATAAATCAGGAAACCACCTTTTACACTAGACCGAAGTCACAGAAAGTTGTATAGTAAGGCAAAGATTGAGATCAGATCTTCTGAATATTACTTCAGTGCTGCATCAACTCCTTTCCTAGCTATTTGTGAGCATGATAAGACTTTTAAATTGCACTGTAATAGCGGACATATTCTGGGGCAGTTTGTTGTTGGTGTTGTTGTTGTTTTTGTTCTTAATTATCTGTGATTCCCATAGTATCGCATAGTACACAGTTACCTTAATGAGCCAGACATATGACCTTGGGGAAGTGGTTTAAGCTACCTGGGCCTCCGTTCCCTCTTGGGGTCTAATGAGATAATTGCTGACTATGCTCTTAACTTGTTGATGCAAATCCAAGAAATGAGGGTGTGAGTGAGAAAGCAGCTAGTGTTGTAAGCCTTATAAGAGAAAGAATAAAAATATGACACTTCTTGTAAGGCTTAAATAACATAATGGAAGTTAAAAATTTTTTTAAAGCCTAACGGCCTCCCAAATTCAAGGTAATGTTGGACAAAGACATACAAAACATGCCTTACTGCAAAACTAATAGATATAAAATAATTTTTAATAATACCCAGTAATTTCCTTTTTACCTTATTTTGTTCATCTTTTATAAATTCATCTGGCGAATGCTCCTTAAGAATTTGTTGTGTGTCATCTTTATCAGCTTCCATGATCCCCTAATATTATAAAAAATAAATATTATAAGCATAGCATATATACACAAATTTAAGAACAAAGAAATAAGAACTTTTACCCTTTTATGGAAGAAACATCTCTTCTTTGCTATATCTTTTTTTCCCATCATCAAAGGCTTTATTATCATATGGCTTATATCCAAACAAAGTCTGTATTTTAATAACTCCTTTTTTTTTTCTTTTTTTGAGACAGAGTCTCTCTCTGTCGCCCAGGCTGGAGGGCAATGGTGCGATCTTGGCTCACTGCAACCTCTGCCTCCCAGGTTCAAGTGATTCCCCTGTCTCAAGCCTCCCAAGTAGTTGGGATTACAGGTACCTGCCACCATGCCCGGCTAATTTTTGTATTTTTAGTAGAGATGGGGTTTCACCATGTCGGTCAGGCTGGTCTTGAACTCTTGTCAAGTGATGCACCCCCCTCGGCCTCCCAAAGTGCTGGGATTACAGGCGTGAGCCACAGCACCTGGCCAATATTTCAAATAACTTTCACACCTATAATATATAAAAAGATTCTAAAAATCCTTTGCTTTTCAACAAAATAATATATAGAAAGTAATGAACATTAATGTTCCTTTGTAGTTCACATTCCAACCATAATATCATGCTCCATTTTAAATGAATACTATTTTGGTTTTCCAACGTTTTTCAAAGTTTTTGATTAAAATATTTAATTCTCCCTATTGTTCTCCCCAAATGTAAACAAAGTCAAGAGGCCTCCAACATATGCTTTCTCTACGCAGGTGTTCTTACCTGAAGCTTTCACTAACTCTCCTGCTGGGTCCATAAACATGGATTGGGAAGAAATTATATGTTTATTTCTAATAACCTCTAATTGAAGCTTAGCATTCTCTTCAATTATGAATATGGTAACAAACTACAGTAGTATTCACAGCACCTGTGATAGTCACCAATAGAAAGCACAGATAGTTTCATAGAATATTGTTGCAGATATGCTAAAATAGTTTGTGTTTAACATTGCTTCTACATTAGTTACTAACCTCACCACTAGGTCTTGTAATATATTGTAATACATTGATATATATCACTATATCAAACATTTGCTTTTTAAATATTCTGATAACCATATTTCAATACAATTGATTTCTGGCCGGGCGCGGTGGCTCATGTCTGTAATCCCAGCACTTTGGGAGGCCAAGGCGGGTGGATCACAAGGTTAAGAGTTTGAGACCAGCCTGGCCAACATGGTGAAACCCCGTCTCTACTAAAAATACAAAAAAAATTAGCTGGGCGTGGTGCCAGGTGCCTATAATCCCAGTCATATTTCAATACAATTGATTTACTTTGTAATTCTATGTATTTTATTTTATGCATTTAATTTTTTTTTTAGATAGGGTCTCACTTTGTTGCCCAGGCTGGAGTGCAGTGGGGCATGAACACGGCTCACTGCAGCCTCAACATCCCTGACTCAAGTGATCCTCCCACCTCAGCCCCCCAAGTAGTTGGGACTACAGGTATGTGCCACCATGCCCAGCTAATTTTTGTATTTTTTGTAGAGATGTGTTTTCGCCAAGTTGCCTAGACTGTCTCGAACTCCTGGGCTCAAACAATCCGCCCCCCTTGGACTCCCAAAGTGCTGGGATAAGCCACCATGCCTGTCCCCACAGGCATTGACTAAATGTTTTTTTTTTGGAGAAAGGCCCATAGGATTTGCCAAGCTGGCAAAGGAATCCATGGTACACAAAATTTAAGAACTCTTGCCTACATATGAATTTACTGAGATGAAAAACTCTCAGATCAAAAATGGGACAAAGGATATCATGATTCTATGTTTTTAGATACACATTAATAAACAGTCTGCCATATAATTTTCCAAGATTTCAAGTGGCTAAATTCTCAATATTCTTGAAAAAGAAATAAAAGACATCTATTCCTCCTTAAAAATAAAATAGAAGACTAGCAAAAACTTAGCTATGTCTTAGTTTAATGAACACAGGAGTGTCAAAAAAAGAGGAGAGTCGCATAACACCCAGATCTTGGTTTCTAATAATATTCTTCAATAAAAGAAACCAGGGCTCATTGGAGCAATGGCTGATTCTAGGTCTGGGGTATAAAATATACAAAATAAGCCTGGAATATCTTGTAGTGCCAGAAAAGTAAAAAGCACTAAAACACATGCACAAACACATACAATATGATGGGAGTATGTGAAAGGGACATGGGGACCCAACTGAAAGGGCTCCAGTGGCCAAAAGTACATACACAGAATTGATCAAGTAAGTAAATATATGGAGGATAATAGGAGCCAAGTTTTTCACCGTCAGAGAAGATAATTATAAATATGGAAATGGAGAAAACAAGAATAAATACTGTTGATTGGAACTAGATTTCAATGTAATCCTGCAGCTGTGGTTTCTGATTGATGATTGAGATAGATAGATAGATAGATAGATAGATAGATAGATAGATAGATAGATAAATAGACAGACAGATAGAAATACCTATGTGTGATTACCCAGGCATGGTGGCATGCACCTGTAATCCTAGCTACTCGGGAGGCTGAGGCAGGAGAATCGCTTGAAGCCGGGAGGCAGAGGTTGCAGTGAGTCAAGACTGCGTCACAGCACTCCAGCCTGAGCGACAGAGTGAGACTCCATCTCAGAAAAAAAAAAAAAAAAAGCAATGCCTATGTGTGTATCTTGTGTATATACAAATACATATATACCCTAGCTCTGTCTGCTGAGAAGGCCTGGGAGAGCAGATACAACCACAATGAGCAATGAGCACACTCAGCACCCAGACTTTGGTTTCTAATACTATTCTCCACCAAAAGGAACCAGGACTCTTTAGAGAAATGGTTGATCCCAAAACCAGGATAGAAAAACTGCAAGATGAGCCTGGGACATCTTATGATGCCAAAAAGCAAGGAAATGCTTAAAGAATGATGATGACATGTTGAAACGACACAGAATCCACCTTGAGATGGTTTTCGGTGGCCAAATCTGGGGATAAATTAAAGATTAAAATACATAATGGTAGTAATGATTAAATCTGTTGATTAAAGTAAAAAACTGAGTCCAGATAAATTAGAAATTTTGATGAAGAAAGGAATTTTTAGTTAGCTTCAAAATAGTTCCCCACAAAATGTTTATTAATTTCAAAGAAGAAAAGAGTAACTTTATACTGGAGAAGTCTGGCAGACATCAACATAATGAGATAATCAAAGTAAATAATGGAATAAATCAAAATAATGTAACATATTACAAGGTGCACTGAGAACACAATGTAACTTCGACGACAGTCCTGCCAAAGATGCATAATCTGAATCTAAGCATGAGGAAACATCAGACAAACTCAAATTGAGGGGTTCTACAATACAACTGCCCTGTTCTCTTCAAAAGTTTCAAGTTCAGAAGGCCAAGGAAAGACTAAGAAATGTCCATACTGAAGGAGACTAAAGAGACCTCACAACTAAGTAGAAAGCATGATCCTCAACTGGATCCTTTTGCTATCACTGGGGCTCAGAAACTGATACCCGGAAGTATGGCATTTTGACATGGTGAACTGAAGATGGCTCAAGGTCTCTCTGACCTCCCCCTCCTCCTCCTCTGTCTCTCCCAAAGCACAGGATGAAGGTGCACTGATGTTCTCCTATCTGCCTAAATGTGGGACCTGCCAGAAAACAGAACAATTACCTCTAGTCCCTTCCCTGAGTTTTTAATTCTGAATTCATATCACAGAAAGAAGACTGAAGTCTGTCAACAAACCTGGGTTACAACCACTGTCTGTTCTGCAAGCCCAACAGGCTTTGTCCAAGGCCATTGTATGTTCTTCGAGTCCCTTGAATTCCTTTAAAAATCATTTACTAACCCCCTATAATCATCCACACTTCCACATCTCCCTTTCCCCTAAAAAGTAGGGAATATAACCATCTGTACCCCATTGTGCAGTATCATCACTATGTGATTTTTTTCCCCTGTGCACATTAATAAATTTGTATGCCATTTCTCCTTTTTAATCTGCCTTTGCCCTTCAGAGAGCAAAGAGGAAGTTTTCCCTTGACCCCTACACTATCCAAGACACTATCAGGACAACTGGTGAAATTCACATTGGATCTGATTATTAAATTGTAGTAACGTAGCACTCCACATTCCTGATTTTGATGACTGTATTGTGGTTATGTCGGAGCACATCTTTTTTGTAGGAAATATATACTCAAGTATATAATGAAAGATGATAGGTCACCAGATTGGAAATTTATTCTTAAATAATTTAGGAAAAGGAAAAGTTGTTTTACTGTACTTGCAACTTTTCTGTAAGTTTGAGATGCCTTGAGACGATATATATATATAAGTATATATATATTTAAACCACATCTCTCTCTCTCTCTCTCACACACATACACACACACACACACACACGCATACATATATACATATATATCGCTATTGTATCAACAACTGCAAAATCTTCTTAATGGTCAGCCATGGTCTGATACATTCTAACTCCAACTCACTTTCCCGTCCTATTTAGTCAATTCCTCAACCCAGTTCCCTAACCACACTGAACACTTGGATAGTTCCTTTTCTTTCCTCTGTCCCTCAAACTGTCACATCCTTCCTCCTCTCCCAAACTTAATCTCCATCTAATGAAATCTTACTGTTCTTCAAGGTCCATTCCAAATTTTCCCCAAGCTCCCGAAGCCTTTTCTGATTCCCCCAAAGGATGTTACTCCCCCTCCTTTATCTCCTTTGCGGCGCTTTAATTACGTGTGTACCTATGTCATTTTCCGTGACACATCAGTAAACATGTTGAGGGCTGGGACCATGTCTACTCCTCCCTGCAGACATTCAGAGCACTTTCTCAGTATAAGCTTACACACTGAAAACACTCCATTTAGAGAATTATGTGGTATCTTGACTTAAGTATTTGTTGTACTCAGGACATCACATGTATATGAAGTCCTCTTATTACATTTCAGAAGACAGAAACTGCAATGTTATTTAATTGCTTTTTATTTTTATTATTGTGACAATGCCAATATTCCAAGAGCCTGTAATAAAGGCTCTCAGCATAAATGGTCTACTATCTAACACCACCAGAACCCTTTTGGCATCTTTTGCATCTGGATACTTTTGCTCTATGCATGAGTGGGATGTATGGTCATTCCTTTTATGCAATCATGTAGTAGGCAAAACAATGGCTCCCTCAAAGATGTCCACATCTTAATCCCAAGAATCTGTGATTATGTTAGTTTATATTGCAAAGGAGAATTAAGGCTGCAGATTGAATTAAGGTTGCTAATCAGCTTGCTTTTAAATATGGAGAGCATCCTGGATTATCTGTGGGAGCCCAGTGTAATCATGAGGCTACTTAAAAGTGAAAGCGGAAGACAGAAGAAGAGTCAAGAGTGAAATGTGACCCCGGAAGAACTTTCAGAGGCGCAATGTTGCTGGCCCTGAAGATGGAGGAAGGGCTGCTGAGCCAAATAAGGTAGGTGGCCTCCGGAAGATGGAAAGAGGATTCACCCCAAGAGCTTCCAGAAAGGAAGGCAACCCTGCCAACACTTTGATTTTAACCCAGTGAGACCTCAGTAGGACTGCTACAGAATCCTAAGATAGTAAATTGTGTATGTGAGTGTGTGTGTGTGTGTGTGTGTGCGCGCGCGCGCGCGTTCCTATGTGTTTAAGCCACTAAAGCCATGTAATTTGTTATGGCAGCGAATTAAAAAAACTGATACAAATCAACATCACCGTATTTCCGTAATACAATCATATAACTGCGGTGCCAGGCCGTGTAGAATCGAATCTTCCTATATGCATGCGTGGCAGCAAAAAGAAAGGCAATAGAACGTCTGCCTGTTGTACAGACTGGAAACACAGTATTCTCCTTCGGATGTCTCCTTCAAGAAAAACCTTGCCTATTCTGACACGCCAGCCATGACTGCACAACACTGCCCCTACCAAGAATCGTTTTCTTAAGAAATCCGTTTTCCTAAGGACTATCTCCAGAGACACTCGGAGAAAACAGCGAGGGCCGGGCGCGGTGGCTCACGCCTGTAATCCCAGCACTTTGGGAGGCCGAGGCGTGCGGATCACGAGGTCAGGAGATCGTATCCATCCTGGTTAACACGGTGAAACCCCGTCTCTACTAAAAATACAAAAAAAAAAATTAGCCAGGCGTGGTGGCGGGCGCCTGTAGTCCCAGCTACTCTACTCGGGAGGCTGAGGCTGGAGAATGGCGTGAACCCGGGAGGCGGAGCTTGCAGTGAGCCGAGATCGCGCCACTGCACTCCAGCCTGAGCGACAGAGCGAGACTCCGTCTCAAAAAAAAAAAAAAAAAAAAAAAAGAGAGAAAACAGCGAGGAAACACAAATAACTTTATGTTTCAATTTCCTCAATGAAGCAAAGCAAACAAGTGACAAGGCTCGAAGCCCTGACGGCCCAGAGACTGCACAGCGGGCCCAGGAGCAGGTGCGCCCCCTCGAAGGCGGCGTGGCCTCCGCGACTCGGCTGCGGGCAGCTCCCGGGGAGCAGGGTCTCAACTCCGGCGCTGTCCCACTTCCGTCGGCGCTGAGGGCTCCCACCTCCCTTTCCACCCCCGGCTCTCCAGCCCGGGACTGCCAGCGGCGGGAGTGGCAGCCGGGGAAGGGACTCCCCACTCACCCGCGTCCGCCCGCCGAGCGCAGCTCCCCAAGGCCCAGCGCGCCTGCCCTTCCCGGAAAACAGCAGCGCCTGAAACGCCGGAACCCCGGGAGGCACTGGGAGGGGAAGGCCCGGGTTCTCGAAACTGTCGCTGCCTCCTGCAGAAGCGCCGCGGGAGAGCTGCGGGGTCTTCCTGAGGAGGTGGCCCTCGCAGGAACAGCTGGGTTCCCCGCGAAAAGAAAAAGACAGTGAAAAAGAAAACTGCTTTAACGGCGATTTTTCTTTAGCATTTAACCAATGCTCAAATACTAAACATGGTTGTCTCCAATGATTAGTCACTAACAGAAAAAAAAACTAATTTCACTTTCGATTTTTAAAAAGGGGTGGTTTTGCGGAGGAAAGCAGAAGTATACCTGAAGTTTCCGTACACACTAATTTTAGGGAACGCTTTCTAAAACCAGTTTTTTGCATGTATTTTATAAGGTATGTTGGAAAAGTGGATAGAAACCAAATAAAGTCAAAGCAGGAATCGCTCTTCATCAGATTGTAACTCTTTTGTAATTTCTTAGTCATTGTAACACTAGTTGACAAATGTTTACAGTCAGCACAAGATCGGCGTTTCTGTGTCTTTTGTAACATCCCCCGGGGCCATGAAGTTGGGAAAGCTGTGGTGTTCCTGTTGGTTTCTGTGACCCATGTCCCTTGAAAGTTTTCTTATAATCTCTTGTTTTGTTGTGGAGCTTGTAAATAAATACTTCACTAGGTGTGAACTTTTCCTTTGAAAATTCAAACATCTGGTTTATTTCAAGAACTGCAGTGTCTCTTAATCCCACACAAAGAACCACCCCACAGCTGCCCCGGCTCATAAATACAGATGTGGGAAGAAAATGAGTCAAAATTATTTCAAGGCATAAATTATAGGTTATCATGCTACCTAGTCACATATAATAACTGATACAGTGGTCTAAAATAGTTTAACAAAAGTAAAATTTCTTTGTATCAAAAAGGTTGATGGGAACCAGTTTAAAGTGGTGACATTTCTCTTTTTTTTTTTTTTTTTTGAGATGAGTCTTGCTCTGTTGCCCAGTCTCCAACTCCTGAGCTCAAGCAGTCCTTCCACCTCCACTCCCAAGTAGCTGGGATTACAGGAATTCACGACCGCACCCAGATTTTTTGTACTTTTAATTTGGGTGCTGGGGGCAGGTATCTAACTGTTTCCCAGGCTGATCTTGAGCTCTGGCCCAAGTGATCCCACCACCTCAGCCTCCTGTAAAATGGCATTTCTAAGTAAAAAAAACGACTTCTTTGTGCTTATCAGACCAGTTAGAAAATACAAAAACTCCTTCTGCTGCAACTTGAGAAAGAATTACTTTAGTTTTACCTTGAAATTTTAGAGGGAATATGAACTCTCGAGGTTATTTAGTTGAACCTCATTTCTTCTTATTTTTATTTTTTACAAGAAGATACTAAAGGACAGGACCATGGCCAGAACAGGACTAACTTAATATATTGACTCAGATTCTGTTTAAAAGGCAAATGATACAGGTGGAGGGGAAGTCTTTTTGGACACCTACATTCTAAAGCTGAGACATGTACTAACAGTCTGAATTTAACTCAGCTTCAAATCTGGTATTCTGCAAAGTGTTAGAGATCTGAAGATGAAGAGTTGGCTCCTGGACATACTATTAATAATTGTAATTGCTAACATCTACTAAGAACTCCTGGACATTTTATAAACCTTTTTGTTTTGCCAACAACAATATTAGATATAGGTATTATTCCCATTTCTTTTCACCTGTCTGAAGCAGGCAGGAAGGTATTATCCCCATTTTGCAGTTGAGGAAACTAAGGCATAAAGAGGTGACCCAAAATCAAGCAGTTAATATATGGTGACAATGATATCATACTCTACTCTCAACAATATCTCCAAACTGTGTCCTAGGGTACATGGAGAACATGGAATTTTATGGCCCAATACAATTAGGAAATGCTGCATTCTGAATCCACTTTTGGAAATTCACAATGCACATTGGCACATTAAGAGTTCCAAGAAGTATTGCAGGGAAAAATTAAAAATTTGTGCATATTAAAAATTTTAACTTTATTCAACCTTGAACTTATCAAATCAATTTGAGCGATATATTCTTTTTTTCAAGGAACAGTTATTAAAATCTTGGGGAGTTTCTGATGGGACCTTTCGAGGAATGCTCTAGTAAATTACGCCCTCTCCTAATATAAAAGTTATTTATTGATGTTATCATGCACTCAATAAATATGTTGCACATGAGCTGCAGCACTCTGTGCCTTGGATATCTCATGTAAATCTACACAGATGTGAGGTGAATATTATGTTACACATTTGTCTCCCTGACTACATGGCAATGAACTCCTCCCAGGCTTTCTATAAAGACACACACACACACACACACCAGTATTACATACAGTCTAATGTGTGTTGGAAGGGGTAGGATACCAGAAGTAGTAAAAAACAAAGGAGAGCGTAGTCCCCTCTACCTGAGGAGGTCAGGGAAGTTTCCTTCACAGAAGAGGTGAAAATTGAGTTGATTCATTAAGGTAGAGAAAGTAGACTGAGAAGAAAGATCGGGTGAAAAATCTCAGAGGGATGTGCAATGGACTAAATGTTTGTGTTCCTCCAAAATTCGTATGTTGAAATCCTAACCCCCAAGGTGACAGTATTAGGGCTGGGGCCTTTGGGAGATGATTAGGTCATAAAGGGTGGAGCCTAAATGAATGAGATTAATGCCCTTATCAAAGAGGTCCAAAGGAGTTTGTTGACCTCTTCTGCCATGTGAGGACACAGACAGAAGGTAATCTATGAATCAATAAGCTGGCTCTCACCAGACACTAGATCTGCAGGACCCTGGATCTTAGACTTGCAGCTTCCAGAACTGTGAAAAATAAATTCTGTTGTTTATAAACTACCAGTTTATGATGTTTTATTATAACAGTCCAAAAGGACTAATATAGCATAAAACAAATGGGAGGCACCAAGAGTTTAGTGATTATGCAAACTATGAGAAAGCTACCTGATATCTATTACATGATGATTCTCTTTTAAGAAAAGGCTACTACACCAAGCTTATGCTGCTGTTGCTAAGATTGTGTTGATCTGGTTTGCAGTTCATCCTTGGGGAAACTGGAACACTTATGCCCAGTATTGTGCAAGATCCTGGGGGGATACAAATGAATTCTGTAACTTCCTTCTAGTTTTCAAGAGTGTTCCCATTGGACTACATAAGTGGTAAAGGAAAATACTTACTCTTTTATCAGGCAAGCAGTACTGTATAGTTAAAAGCATGATTTTGGCCAGACATGGTGGCTCATGACTATAAACCCAGCATTTGTGGAAACTGAGGCAGAAGAATCACTTGAGTCCAGGAGTTCAAGGCTGCAGTGAGCTGTGACTGCACCACTGTACTTCAACCTGGGCAATAGCACGAGACCCTGTCAAAAAGTAAATAAATAAATAAAGCATGGTTTTGGTGTCAGAAATGGGTTTGAATTTCAATTTTTAGTTACTGAAGTTTCTCAGCTTCAATTTTCTCATCTATAAAATAAAGGTGTGGTGCATGAGATAGAGATGCATTTCAAGGACTAAACACAGTGCTCTGCCCATGGAAAGCACTCACTAAATTGTACTTGTTTCATCTTATACTACGGTGAGATTTTTTTTCAATTTTTCTCTTACATTTTCTTTATCTTTGTTCTTCCTCCCTAGAAAAGTACTTTTAAGAAATAAGGTCATTTAAAAATTTATTTTATGTTACCTGCAGTAACTGTACCTAGTGCACACTGTATAAATAGTTATTTCTAACTAGTCATTAAATACTAGAGTAGGAGTAAAATACTCTGGACCCAATGTTATAACAACCCCTTTGTATAGCTTTTCATACTCATGTGTGTGAATAAGTTTTTATAAGTGAATAAAATATTATGAGGTAGATCAAATACTTAGAAATAGAAATAAATTCAAGCAAAATAATAATAATAAAATTAAAGAATAAAGGACTTTATCTTGTCAAATCTGCCTGGACCACTGATTTATCATATAAACATAAACAATCACTTAGAAAATTTTGTTGTGTTAAATAAAGTACATAGAGAATAAAGTTGGTATCCTTGACAATGCTATAAAGAAGAACAATTAGTGTTTTGCTTATAAACTAAAGGCTCAAAAATAAACATTTATCTGTAGTATTCAAGGCTGTAAGATAGCAGTAAATCTCAATATTATATTAAGGAAATTTCTTAAAGAAAGTCTGAGAATACTGCTGATGTTTTCCTGCTTTGCTTTTCTCAATTATAAACCAAAAATGGCTTCTGACAGAACTCTCATAGGATGAACTGATGGTCGGATAAACCCAACTGTTTGCTTTGAACCTAAAATCACAAAGGAGAAAAAGCCCAGTGAATCTTGAGGTTTTCAGAGACCCAAAGAGAACATAGCCTTGGAATGCTGGAAAAATAAAAATATTAACTTTTATCGCCAAAAATCTCAAATGAGAAAGAATTGAGCAAAGCATCCAAATATGTCAATTCAGCTTCTCAGGGAGCTCAGTTTTTAAGAAAACATGCATAAACATAGTGAAAACAGCTAAGGAAATACTAAAAGACATGTATTTTGCTTGACTATATTTTTGTTTATTTTTGTTTTTGTTTTGTTTGTTTGTTTTTGAGATGGAGTCTGGCTCTGTCGCCAAGGCTAGAGTGCAGTGGCACGATCTCGGCTCACTGCAAGCTCCACCTCCCGGGTTCACGCCATTTTCCAGCCTTAGCCTCCTTAGTAGCTGGAACTACAGGCGCCCGCCACCACACCCGGCTAATTGTTTTTTGTTTGTTTGTTTGTTTGTTTTATTTGTTTGTTTTTTAGTAGAGACAGGGTTTCACCGTGTTAGCCAGGATGGTCTCGGTCTCCTGACCTCGTGATCCACCTGCCTCAGCTTCCCAAAGTGCTGGGATTACAGGCGTGAGCCACCGCACCCAGCCTTGACTATGTTTTTTAATTTGGGAATTTGTAGTCTGTTTTGCCTGATGGGGCTGCCAGAGGCATTCTAGAAATTGTCAAGCAGCAAGATTTGGATTGGTGTTTGAATATGTTGTTTCTGATTATTTTCCTGTCTGAAATAGTACTTTACAAGAGGTATCAAATGATTGCAACAAAGAAACTCACTAGTCACTAACCTATCCAGAATTTTAAAAAACGTAAGAGGTGGCCGGGCGCGGTGGCTCACACCTGTAATCCCAGCACTTTGGGAGGCCGAGGTGGGCGGATCACGAGGTCAGGAGATCGAGACCATCCTGGCTAACACAGTGAAACCCCGTCTCTACTAAAAATGCAAAAAAATTAGCAGGGCGTGGTGGCGGGCACCTGTAGTCCCAGCTACTCGGGAGGCTGAGGCAGGAGAATCGCTTGAACCTGGGAGGCAGAGCTTGCAGTGAGCCGAGATCGCGCCACTGCACTCCAGCCTGGGTGACAGAGCGAGACTCCGTCTCAAAAAAAAAAAAAAAAAAAAAAAGTAAGAGGCAAAGGAGCTCAACTTTTTGTACTACGTTAAATTTGTCTTCTGGTTGGTCTTAGTGAGCCTAAGTATAGGAATGTAATTCCCTCCCGCCGCCCCCCCCCCCCACACACACATATATATATTTTGAGAAAGGGTCTCACTCACCTATGCTGGAGTGTTGTGGCGTGATCTTGGCTCACTACAACCTCTGCCTTGGGGCTCAAGAGATCCTCCCACCTCAGCCTCCCCAGTAGCTGAAACCAGAGGTGCACGCCACCACGCCCAGCCGGCTAATTTTTTATGTGTATATTTTTTATAGAGATTGGGGTTTCGCCACATTTCCCAGGCTGGTCTCGAACTCTTGGACTCAAGCAATCCACCAGCCTCAGCCTCCCAAAGTGCTGGGATTACAGGCATGAGCCACCACCTAATTAATCTATCAAAATAGATTAATATGTATCTACGAAGATATATATTCGCCCAGCCTAATATATATCTTGATATAATAAATTATTTCTGTGGATCTCCCTTGAAATGTGTGGCATAGTTACAAGATAGGGAAAAATATGTTTTTGGGCAAGAAGACTTTCTGTACACCAGTGTTTGACAAACTTCCATGTCCATATAAATCAGCTGAAGATCATGTTAAAATATACATTCTGATTCTGTAGGATTAGGGTGGATATTTTGCATTCCAAAAGCTCCTAGATGATGCTGATGGTGCTGTTTCTTGTAAGAGGTGACAGCGTGCTGGCAGTCCTCGCAGCCCTCCCTCGCTCTCGGCGCCTCCTCTGCCTGGGCTCCCACTTTGGCGGCACTTGAGGAGCCCTTTGGCCCCGCCACTGCACTATGGAAGCCCCTTTCTGGGCTGGCCAAGGCCGGAGCCGGCTCCCTCAGCTTGCGAGGAGATGTGGAGGGAGAGGCGCGGGGGGAATCGGGGCTGCGCGCGGTGCTTGCAGGACAGCGCGAGTTACGGGTGGGCGTGGGCTTGGCGGGCCCCGCACTGAGAGCGGCGGGCGGCCCCGGGCAGTGAGGGGCTTAGCACCTGGGCCAGCAGCTGCTGTGCTCAATTTCTCGCCGGGCCTTAGCTGCCTTCCCACGGGGCACGGCCCGGGACCTGCAGCCCGCCATGCCTGAGCCTCCCCCGCGCCTCCGTGGGTTCCTGTGGGGCCCGAGCCTCCCCGACGAGCGCCGCCCCCTGCTCCACGCACCCAGTCCCATGGACCACCCAAGGGCTGAGGAGTGCGGGCGCACGGCACCGGACTGGCAGGCAGCTCCACCTGCGGCCCCCGTGCAGGATCCAGCTGGGCTCCTGAGTCTGGTGGGGACTTGGAAAACCTTTATATCTAGCTAAGGGGTTGTAAATACACCAATCAGCACTCTGTATCTAGCTCAAGGTTTGTAAACACACCAATCCGCACCCTGTGTCTAGCTCAGGGTTTGTGAATGCACCAATGGACACTCTGTATCTAGCTACTCTGGTGGGGACTTGGAGAACCTTTATGTCTAGCTAAGAGATTGTAAATACACCAATCGGCACTCTGTATCTAGCTCAAGGTTTGTAAACACACCAATCAGCACCCTGTGTCTAGCTCAGGGTTTGTGAATGCACCAGTCAACACTCTGTAGCTACTCTGGTGGGGACTTGGAGAAACTTTGTGTGGACACTCTGTATCTAGCTAATCTAGTGGCGACATGGAGAATTTTTGTGTCTAGCTCAGGGATTGTAAACGCACCAGTAAGCACCCTGTTGGACCAATCAGCTCTCTGTAAAATGGACCAATCGGCTCTCTGTAAAATGGACCAATCAGCAGGGTGTGTGGGTGGGGCCAGATAAGAGAATAAAAGCAGGTTGTCGGAGCAAGGAGTGGCAACCTGCTTGGGTTCCCTTCCGTAGCGTGGAAGCTTTGTTCTTTCGCTCTTTGTAATAAATCTTGCTGTTGCGCACTTTTTGGGTCCACACTGCCTTTATGAGATGTAACACTCACTAAGAAGGTCTGCAGCTTCACTCCTGAAGCCAGTGAGACCACGAACCCACCGGGAGGAACGAACAACTCCAGATGCGCCGCCTTAAGAGCTGTAACGCTCACCGCAAAGGTCTGCAGCTTCACTCCTGAGCCAGTGAGACCACGAACCCACCAGAAGGAAGAAACTCCAAACACATCCGAACATCAGAAGGAACAAACTCAGGACATGCCGCCTTTAAGAGCTGTAACACTCACTGCGAGGGTCCGCAGCTTCGTTCTTGAAGTCAGTGAGACCAAGAACCCACCAATTCCGGACACGCTTGGGCTACACTTTGAGTGACAAGGCTGTACACTAACTGGTTCACTAAAATCATGACCAGAGATTGTCATTCTGGTCGACGGGTTTTATGTGCCACCTGGCTATTACGAAGCGCAGAACCCTCTTACTGTTTCCAGCCTGGAGGCCGAGTCCATAGACGGAAAGTGAGGTATTTCTAGGTGTCCCTGTGTTTCATGAAGGGGCGGTATATGCAAAGCAGCCCCCAAATGCCAAAGGAGTTGAGCTACCAAAGAACAAGGCAGACAAATCCAGTTCGTCAGTAAGGAGTGTTTTAATGGAAAGTTAAGATGGAAATGTGGCGGCAAGGCAGATCTCTGCACTGTTGCTTCCCAGACCCAGGGCTTATATACCACAGGGAAAGGGTATACGTGCTCCAGCAAGACAATTAAAAGCAACCCTCCAAAACAGGCAAGAATGCCATATGCATTATAGCCTATAGTTTGTCTGATAATATCAGGTTTGACATGTTCTTACACTAAGGACAGTAAATAAATGAGGAATTAGGAGGCATTCATGGGACTGGGGCTAATCAGGACTCAATATGGCAGATCAGCATCCAAAATGGAGTCCTTTTGTCTCCACACCCTGGTGTGCTTTTCCTGAGGAAAGAGCAAGAGCTGTTCCTATCTTTCGTGCCATCTCCTTCAGAGAGCATTGGCTTCTTGCTTGTAGCTAGGCTGCCATTATAGCTACTCTGAGGGAAAGGAAGGAATAAACAGTGAGGGGAAATGAGTCAAAATGACACTAAAGAGTGGAAAGAGGAAGTAAGAGAAGCCAAGAAAAAAGAACAGGGCAAGTGTATATGGGAACTTGAAAGAGGTATTCTCTTCTCTTTCATTAATTATTCATTTCAATTTATTCTAAATAGTTTGCCCTAGTGTACAATGTAACAAGATAGAATGATCTCACACACAGGACTCATTTTAATAACATAATATCTGCATGGGGATGTTTGATAATGTTTAATATACAAAGGCAGAGTTAATTCATCCTTCTCAGGGCTTAAACCCGTCCAGGGAAATTGTAAATAAAAACAAGCTTCATCTCCGATAAAAATAAAACAGTGTCCTTCAGATCTTACTGCTTCGCGACTTTATGAATTGGAATGGAAACGTTGTTGCCTTTTGGGAGATTGACCTCAGCTGTTTTTCAACTTTTTGAAGAATAAGAACTCTAATTTTGGTGCCAATACTCAAATAGAAGTTTTCTCAGGTGGACAAACAACACCTGGTAGGCTGGTTTGTCATGGAAATTGCACCACCTTAAAATCACCAGGAGAACCAAGCTGAGTCTTTGCTTTGACCCTGACTAGCTCTGTGAACTTGGGCATATGTAAAGGATCTGGTATATAATAGGTGCTCAAAAAAATGTTACTACTGATCGCATTTCCCTTTAGCTTTCCGAGGGTCCATTTCTCAGTTTCTCAAATGTAAAAATGATGACAATAATGTTACCTACCAATTATAGGGTGTTTGGTGAGGATTAATTTAGCTAATGTACATAAAAATACTTTTTGAACAGTAAATGCAAAATTAAATAATATTATTAATATTAATATTGTCCTCTGATTTTAAGCTATAATTAGAAGAGTTGAAAGGGATGACTGTTGCATAGAGAAAATAATTTGATAGGTTAAAATATAAAATGCAAGACCTGAATACAGTCACCAAGACAACTGCATAAAATGACACTGGATGGGCACCACACAATGCCTCCTCATGTCCCCTCGAATTGTGCAGTGTGTGCCAGGAACGGATTCTGGGCTGCCAAGACTTAGTTGTTTGCTGATCTAGATTTAGATAGAACACATAAAAACAAGTCAGTCAGATAGTAAGTCTAAGATCTTTCTCTCTCACTCATTCTGTTTCTCTTATTTTTGCCATATTCTTTTTTTTTTTTTTTTTTTTTTTTTTGAGACGGAGTCTCGCTCTGTCACCCAGGCTGGAGTGCAGTGGCGCGATCTTGGCTCACTGCAAGCTCCGCCTCCCGGGTTCACGCCATTCTCCTGCCTCAGCCTCCCGAGTAGGTGGGGCTACAGGCGCCCACTACCACACTCGGCTAATTTTTTTGTATTTTTAGTAGAGACGGGGTTTCACTGTGTTAGCCAGGGTGGTCTCGATCTCTTGACCTCGTGATCCGCCCGTCTCCGCCTCCCAAAGTGCTGGGATTACAGGCGTGAGCCACCGTGCCTGGCCATTTTTGCCATATTCTTTAATGAACTGTACACGTAAGAAAGATGGGTAATATTGAGTGGGTTTTTTGTGATGTAGTCTCTGAAGATATACCAAGCAGCAATTGTTTTCTCTGCTGCTCATACAGCCCCTTTTATGTGGCCACAAACCTAATCTGGCCTCCTGCAAAGGGCAATGTGATCAGATGGCACAGATTTCTTAAAACTTGATTTCAAAAATTCTGCCCAGTTTCATTTCTCATGCCACAGCCAGTGTCTCTTTTTCCCCATACTCTCTTGCATGAAAATTCATAGTTGAATTTCCCGCAGGACTTTTCATGGGGCTAATCTACATCTGGAATTTACCCTGCTAATGATTCTCTTTCCTTTCATCCTGTATACTCGTGCCAGATTATTCTTCTAAAAGGGTCAGTATCATCATGTCATTCGACATGTTAAGCGCTTGCAGATGACATCCCATATATACAATCCAAATTCCAGAGTGTAAGATGTACACTCCCTCCCGTCACTCCCAATACCAAACTTTCCACCACAGGCTGGCTACAGTTTATCGGTAACTTCATCAGCCATTACTCCCTTCCACATCCCACTGAATTAGTCAGCTATCCAACTCCAGAACATACTAGGCCTCCTCTCTCTTACTATTTTCCTCCCCTAAGTTGTTTCCTCTTTTCTTTCTATTATTTCAGTCATACAGTCAGACAAGTGAACTTTCAACAAACCCACACACACACTATACATGCAGTGGTGATAGTGAAAACACAACTGCTCAGCATGGACATTGAACCATGAGAATGGCTCTCACCAGAGTGCTGGAGCAGTGTCCCAGAGAATTCTTTCTAGGCTGGCCATTAATCCCTCAGTTGCTAGATCTTAGGAAGTTCAGGGGAAGAGAAGTTGGGAATTCCTGGTGGAGGAACAGGTATGGCCAGCTTGGTGAAGGCGCTAGGATGGAGATGGGGGAAGACTGCTACTACTTACTAAATGACACAAAAATATTTCATTATTTAACAACTGGTCTAAACCTCTAGAGCATGCTGACTGAACACCAGTGTCAGGCTTTGCTGATGCATCTTCAGCCTCAATTTAAGCTCCTTTTCCAGCAACCCAAGGGCCACTAGTGATCCCTCCATTCTCTAAATTATTTTAGCACATTTTGTCCATACCACTTACTGGGCACATTTACAGCCTTGCATTGCTGTCTTTGGGGAACGATTATACAATTCATTCTCCCAAAGATGGTAATCTTTTCCAAAATAAGAGTTGTGCTGTATCTGTGTTTCTCCCAAAAATGTCTAACATAGTGCCTGTGGTTATTAATTTTATGGGTCAGTTTGACTGGGCTGTGGGATGCTCAGAGAGCTGGGAAAACATTATTTCTGGGCATGTCTGTGAAGGTGTTTCCAGAAGAGAGTAGCTTTTGAATTGGTGGAGTGAGTAAAGGAGATCTGCTCTTTCCAATGTGGGCAGGCATCATCCAATCTATTGAAGGCCTAAATAGAACAAAAAGGCAAAGGAAAGGTGAATTTATTCTGTCTGCTTGAGCTGAGACATCCATCTACTTCTGTCCTTGGACACCAGAGCTCCTGGTTCTCAGGGCTTTGGGCTTGGACTGTAACTACTCTACTGGTTTTCCTGGGGCTCCAGCTTGCAGATGGCAGATTGTGGGGCTTCTCAACCTTCACAATCACATGAGGCAATCTCTTACAATCAATCTCTTTCCATATATCTATAAATATCCTATTGGTTCTGTTTCTCTTGAGAACCCTCACTAATACGGTGCCCTTCTCAGGCAATCTTTTATCCTATGTGTATTAA
This sequence comes from Homo sapiens, assembly GCF_000001405.40. Lineage (NCBI taxonomy): Eukaryota > Metazoa > Chordata > Mammalia > Primates > Hominidae > Homo > Homo sapiens. The sequence goes on from NC_000002.12 coordinate 151,301,410, forward strand.
TAAAGGTTAATTGACTAAATGATTGGGAACTATTATACATATATCACACTGCAATCCCCCAAATCACTTCGAGAGTGAGGGAGGGACAGATATATTTGAGACTCTGATGAGAGCTAGGAATTCTTCTCCCAGAAGCATTCCTACATACACAAAACCTGCATGAAATTTCAGATGTTTCACTTACCACCTAAGCCATTCATAGACTCCTGGGAGTCCACGGAACCTAGGTTAAGGGCTCTAGTTTAAATGAAATTTTACAGAGCTAAAATATTAACCTAAAGAATTATCTTTAGAAATAAGCCGGGCACAGAAAGACAAATATTGCAGGTTCTCACTCATACATGGAGCTAAAAGCGTTGATCTCACAGGGGTAGAGAGTGGAATGGTAGTTACCACAGGCTGAGAAGAGTGTGGCAGGGATGGAAAGAGGTTAGTTAATGGGTACAAATATACAGTTAGATAGAAAAAATAAGTTCTAATGTTCTATAGCAGAATAGGTGACTACAGTTAACATTGTATTGTATATTTCAAATTAGCTAGAAGAGAGGACTTGAAATGTTCCCAGTACAAAGAAATACAAATAAATAAATACTGGAAAGAAATGTTCTCAGTACAAAAATATAAATACCCTAAATACCCTGACTTGATTATTATACATTCTATGCCTGTAACAAAATATATGAACCCTATAAAAAGGTACAAATATTATATATCAATTAGAAATTTTTAAATTAACTTTAATGTTATTCTAGTAGTCCAGTAAGGAAGCAACTTTAGGGAAGCCCATACTTTATTAGCCCTAGATCATTGCATCTATGTGGCCATCTCCTAGCCTTTAGGTGGGAGGCAGAAAGCAGCAGGGCGTGCATGCTAGCTGTGATGGTCCCATCTCCTGGAATATTGTGCTGCTGACTGAGGATTTCAGATAAAGCCTGCTCATTACCAGTTGTACCCACAGATGTCAAATAACAAGTGCCAGTAACAATCTGGCATGGGACTGTCTTCAACTGGTTGAATTAATTAATAACTACTACATACCAAAATATGAAGAGTGTGATTCATGTCCAACTGGGAGGAAAAAAGGACACACGAAAAGGCAAGAACAACTTTGTCACAGACGGGACATTTTTCATCAGGGAAAGGAACTTTTTTACATAAACTAAAGTGTAGACATGAGGTATAAAATAGTGAGATCATCGCCACCAAAACTCCGTGTGGAACTGACTCCCACTGAGTTACACACCCCAGGCAAAGAGATGGGACTTTCATCAACTCCCAGGACTAGTTAATAAGCCTCCTTGCAATAAACTTCTTTTTGGAAAAAAAAGATAACTCATTTACAAGGGAACCCCCCTGCTGTGGTACAGACATAAACGTCTAGAAAAATTACACTTTCTTATATTTCATTCAGATTAGCTTCACTTTTTGGGAAAAAAAGTAGAAAATCTTTTATATGCTATTAATCTTTAGATCTGTTTCTGCTGTCTGAAACTTTTTCTTGGGGCACACTGCTATGACAAAAAAATTAGATATGGTTACTGAAGAAAACCCTAGGAAAAAAATAAGAAAAATATTGTTCAGTGAGGGCTAATTAAGATTACAGCCAACCTATGCTTTTATGAGCATAAACCAAAGTAACATTACTGGGAGATACACAGAAAGAATCACGTTTTCCTGAGAAATCTCTTAAGAAATTACATCAGTTCTCTGGACACATGGAGGAGAGGGGGTGTGCCATTGTGGAGGCTGTGACTCAGCGGCAACCTGATTTTTCATCTGCTTTGACAACAGTGATAACATAAAATGTGTCTGGAAAGGGAAAATTCATTCTCTCTACATCATTCTGCATAGCACCATGCTCTGCACCACATGTGGTGAGGTCCTTACCAGAAATACTGAAAATACAGGGGGGCTTGCAAGGTGTAGGAGAAACGTCTTCCCTGGTCTTCTTTTGCAGCTAATTTACAACATGGCCTCAAAACCAAGCCACCGGAAGGAGGTAGTTGGGGTAAGGAGGGTGAGTTGTGAAGGGAAGATGGGAGGCAGAGTCTCTTGTCCATCTTCTGCTGTTTCTTTTTTTTTTTTTTGAGATGGAGTCTCACTCTGTCACCCAGGCTGGAGTACAGCGGCACAATCTCGGCTCACTGCAACCTCTGCCTCCCAGGTTCAAGCGATTCTCCTGCCTCAGCCTCCTGAGTAGCTGGAACTATAGGCACGCGCCACCACGCCCAGGTAGTTTTTGTATTTTTAGTAGAGATGGGGGTTTCACCATGTTGGCCAGGATGGTCTTGATCTCTTGACCTCATGATCTGCCCACCTTGGCTTCCCAAAGTGCTGAGATTACAGGCGTGAGCCACCGCGTCCAGTATCTTCTGCTGTTTCTTGACTTGTGGAAATGCCTGCATGTGTGTGAAAAGCACAACTTCTCTGTAAGAGTCTATCTTGGTTATTAAGCCCAGAGTCTAAGTAGTGTCAAGCCCATTGATTTACAAATTATATCACTCTGTCCACCCAAAGGCCACCTGGCCATTGTGATATAGAGTAGCTACCAAAGCAACTAAGGTGGTGTTTTCCAAAAAGAGTGACCTGTGAATACTTGTTGAATAAGGTAATATTAACCTACTTGTGGCCTTGATCTTACCCTTCTTCCTATTTAACCACAGCCCTGGCCCTAAGATACCCTGATCCCTGAAAGAACAGCAGCTATGTCTGAGAATAAAAAGCATCTCAAAGAATTCTAGGCTGTCAAACAAAATCAGGAAATGTTGGGAAACTTTTAAGTGATACAGTGGTGACTTTTGCAGGCCCAAAAGAAGTCTGTGGCCTTAATGGATCTATGGGCTACAGGATTCTTATCAAAATAATTTTAGTTAGATGAGTCAATAAATAAAATGTGCCATATAGATGCAATGGAGTATTATTTGGCCTTAAAAAGGAAGGAAAGTCTGGTATAGAATAGATTATGTATGAACCTTGAGGACATTATGCTAAGTGAAATAAGTCATCTACAAAAGGACAAGTATTGTGTGGTTCCATTTATATAAGGAACCTAGAATAATCCAATTTACAGAGGAAATAGAATGGTGGTTGCCAGGGGATGAGGGAAGGAGTGAATGGGGAGTTATTGTTTAATGAGCATAGAGTTTCAGTTTGTTTGTTTTTTGTTTGTTTTTGTTTTTATTTTTGTTTTTTGAGACAAAGTCTTGCTCTTGTCCCCCAGGCTGGAGTGCAACGGCGCCATCTCGGCTCACTGCAACCTCCACCTCCTGGGTTCAAGCGATTCTCCTGTCTCAGCCTCCCAAGTAGCTGGGATTACAGGCGCCTGCCACCAGACCCAGCTAATTTTTTTTGTATGTTCAGTAGAGACGGGGTTTCACCATGTTGGCCAGGCTGGTCTCGAACTCCTGACCTCAGGTGATCTGCCCACCTCAGCCTCCCAAAGTGCTGGGATTACAGGCGTGAGCCACAGCATTCGGCCAAGTTTCAGTTTTGCAAAATGAAAAGAGTTCTGGAGATGGATGGTAGTGATGGTTGTTCAACAATGTGAATGTACTTAATACCACTGAAATGTACACTTAAAAATGGTTGATGATAAATTTTGTTATGTGTATTTTACCATAATTAAAAAATAAAAAGTAAAAATTGTAGTGAGTCCTATTTGCATGCAAGTCTTTGTATACTATTGTAAGACGATGTAGGTAAAACTAGTCCCTGTCTTTATGGAGATTTACTGTTTTCAGATTTATAGGAAAAGAGAGGACAGATTTGTGTATCTGGCATAGAACTTTCCTTCATTATATGGGAAGTGAGCTCAAGTTACTTCATATGGGAATTCAAGGAAGAGGAGGCCCATAAAAGTGAGAGAATTTGATATTCATTTTCTATAAAAGTTAGAAAAGAGGAAGATGAAAAGAGAGGAGAGGAAGGGAGAAGAAGAAAGAAGAAGAAAAAAGAAGAAGAGGAAGAAGAGGAGGAAGAAGAAGAAAAAGGAGGAGGAGGAGGGGAAGGGGGAGGGGAAGGGGAAGGGGAAGGAGAAGGGGAAGCAGAAGATTCCTGATCTTGTCACTCTTCTTTGATGTGCATTTGCTCCCAACATGCATCTACATGCCCAGCTGGAGAGCCAAGATGTAAATGCAACCAGGCCATAATCCACCTTTCCAACCTAATTTCCCAGAACTCCCTTATACCAGTAATTCAGTCTTTTCAGTCCAATTAGCCTTACAAATTCCTATCTCCTGTCTCCATTCACAGAATCTCAGAGTTGGAGAAATCAGAGGTCATCTTGTCCAACCACTCACCAGATGCCTAAGTCCTTAAGTTGGGCTGACATCTTACTTAGTTGAACTTCCATTCATTTTCTCAGTTGGGCTCATAGAATAATGTTCTATGTTATAAAAGGTATAAAAAGAAATACTGTCAAAGAAAAGAGAAAAAGAAGAAGCAGCACACTCTGAACTCAAAGTTAAGTTCCCACTTATTAATTATATTACTTATATTTTAAAAGAATATTTAAATCCAATTGCAAAACATTAAGTCTACAGTGATCCCATTTTTGTCACCCCCACAAAATGTGTGTGTGTGTGTGTGTGTGTGTGTGTGTGTGTATGCGTATATATACATAGAAAAAAGTCCCTGTGTAAATCTTTAAAGTTTCTTTGAAGGCAAAGTTATGGGTACCCTTTATTTCTACACTTGTTTATTTGTATTCATAATTTTTATTCAATTAAATTTTATTTTCTTTAACAAATGAAGAAAATTTGTATATAGTATGTTTGTACATATAAGTAAATATAACTGAGGTGGCAATTAGTTATCAAGTGACACAAAAATTTGCAACAGAACAAAAAATAAAAATTATTTTGTAAATGTACATTGGAAAATTGGGTTTAGCATATTTAATCAAACATGTGGAAGGCTGGACATGGTGGCTTATGCTTGTAATCCCAGCACTTTGAGAGGCCAAGACAGGCAGATTGCTTGAATCCAGGAGTTTGAGACTAGCCAAGCTGGGTATTTTTCTGTCTCTACAAAAAAAATACAAAAATTAGCCAGACACAGTGGTGCACACTTGTGGTCCCAGCTACTTGGGAGGCCAAGGATGGAGGATCGCTTGAGCTCGGGAGGTTGCAGTGAGCTGAATCATGCCACTGCACTCTAGCCTGGGTGATAGAGTGAGACCCTGTCTCAAAAAAAAAAAAAAAAAAAAACGGAACAAAGGAATTGATTATGATCGAATGTTTCCCAAGAAAGAGAAATTAGCCTTAATGGGATCATAGCCAAACCACAAAACATAAATTTGATATTGAGGTTACAGCATACAAAGGGCTGGACTATCCTCTGGGACAATTATCATTTTTCCCTTTGCTTAAATCTTCACTCAGCTCTTGCAATGTATTATGTCATGCATTCTGCTAATCCTTGGGTGGGAATTCAAAGATGACTAAGACGGGGCCCGAGCCCTTAGGACACTCACACATTTCCTATTTGGCTAGAAAAGCAGCCAAAGCTCCAGTAGGCAGCCTGATGGTCTCCTAGAAGGCATTTTTGAAAAAGACTTCAGTTAACCATGTTCCATTGTCTCTCCACATCTCACATTCACTGACACACCTAAAAGAAAGGCCCAAGAGGTCCTTTTGTGTTGGCATCTTCAACTTCTGATATTGTTGGCACCTCAGTAGATGCTATGCGTCTCTTGCTGGTTGGTTTTGGTATCTTGCGAGGGCATATTAAATATTGTTAGCCAAAGAACTCCCCTCCTCAAGAAAATGCTTAGTATCCCCAAGGTCAGCCTCTGTCCAAAAACAAGTCTTCTTTACCTTTCCACTTGACCCAATAGCCATCGGCAAGGATGTGCAAAAGGATTCCACACTCTTTTCTCTTTTGACTAATACTTAGTGCTAAATTCCTGGTCACAAAGGTGAATAAAATCCTTAGTACTAAATTCCTGGTAACAAAAGTGAATAAAGGATTTGCATTCATCAAACTATCTTTGAAAGCTCTTACCCCCTCTTGCTACTCATCCAACTCAAGAGCAAACCTCCAAAATGTCCCTGAACCAGTACACTTCTTTCCCTTCTCCATTGTTGCCATCACCATCCAAGCCACCATCCCATCAACTCTCCCTGGACAACTGCAGTAGCCTCCTGAGATGACTCCCTGCTCCCCCTCTTAATCCACTATAAGTTCTCCTCTGATGAGACACCAGAGTGATCTTTTTAAAACATAAATTAAATCATGTTGTCACCTGCTGAAAAACCTCCTACTGCATATAAATTCAACTCCATATGCCCAACCTGGCTTACGCAGCCCCACAGTACCTGCCACTGCCTACCTTTCCCCTCACAGTAAGTTCCCCCTTTCATTAAGCTCTTTCATCACCTTGCTCTCCCTTTTGTTTTTGGAGAATTGGTCAAGTTCATTCTTGCCACAGGGCTTTTGCTCCAGCCTTCCCATCTGTCTGGCATGGCTGGCTCCTTCAGGTCATTCAGATCTAAGCTTCAATGTCACCTCCTCAGAGAGGCCTTTCCTGACCCTCTTTTCTATCATGTCAGCCTATGCTGAGTCTTTCAAAGCACTCATCATTATCTGATAATTTCCTTGTTTACTTATTGCTCCATTTTTTCTCTGTCACTGCTGCTAGAATGTAAGCTCCATGAAAGCAGTAACTTTGTGTGTCTTGCTCATTGGCTGTACTGGATTGATGCCTGGCATAAAGTAGACATGAAACAAATAATTGCCAAATAAATGTGTTAAATGAGTAAAAGAAGATGGTTGTCACTCCATAGTTAAGTGACTGAATCTTGTATTCACTACATTCATTCATTCACTAACTCATTGAGTTTTTATTATATGCTTGGTACTATTTTTAAAAATAAACAGGCCAGGTGCTGTGGCTTACATCTATAATCCCAGCACTTTGGGAGGCCAAGGTGGGTGGATCACCTGAGGTCAGGAGTTCGAGACCAGCCTGGGCAACATGGTGAAACCTTGTCTCTACTAAAAATACAAAAATTAGCTGGGTGTGGTGGCACACACCTGTAGTTCCAGCTACTCGGGAGGCTGAGGCAGGAGAATTGCTTGAACCCAGGAGGTGCAGGTTGAAGTGAGCCGAGATCACGCCACTGCACTCCAGCCTAGGTGACAAAGTGAGACTCTGTCTCAAAAACAAAAACAAACAAACAAAATAAATGCAGCTAATTGCTATCCTCATGAAACTGAGGTTTCCTATACTCAAAGGAGAGAAATATATCAAATAAAACTTTCTAACGTGATATGCTAAGTGATATGCTAGAGATGTGCAAAAGATGGTTGGAGGTGTTCTCACAGGGAATGTGAGGCTTTACCTGTATTTTTAAGAATGAATTCACCAATGCATTTTAGAGAGAAGGGACAAGAGAGACTTGAGAACATCATGGCAGATGGGAGGCAGGACAGTTTGCAGCTCCCACTTGGACAGACAGAGCAGTGTGTGGACACTCTCATCATGAACTTTTGCTCCAGAACTACTGCAGGAATAAATCAGGAAAGCCAAGAAAACCCACAGACCCTCTGAAGGAAGAGGATTGCTCCTGCAGGACCTGGGAGACACCCCAAACACAGTGATTGCCCAAGCTGTGGAACTGGGAAAGGGGGATTGTCTGCCCCAGAACACACACCCTTGTAAGGCCTCTGAGCCCAAGCTAAGCCACCATATCCCCAGTGACCTGCACATATACATCCAGATGGCCTGAAGCAACTGAAGTTCCACAGAAGTGAAAATAGCTTAACTGATGACATTCCACCATTGTGATTTGTTTCTGCCCCACGCTTTGTAATTTCTTAAGAAATTACAAAGAAATTTCTTTGTAATTCTCCCCACCTTTGAGAATGTACTTTGTGAGATCCAACCCCTGCTCCCAAAACATTGCTCTTAACTCCACCACCTATCCCAAAACCTATAAGAACTAATGATAATCCCACCACCCTTGCTGACTCTGTTTTCGGACTCAGCCCACCTGCACCCAGGTGAAATAAACAGCCTTGTTGCTCACACAAAGCCTGTTTGGTGGTCTCTTCACACAGACACATGAGACATTTGGTGCCGAAGACCCGGGTCAGCGGGACTCCTTTGGGAGACCAGTCCCCTGTCCTCACCCTTACTCTGTGAAGAGATCCACCTACGACCTCAGGTCCTCAGACCAACCAGCCCAAGGAACAGCTCACTGATTTTAAATCGGGTAAGCAGCCTCTTTTTACTCTCTTCTCCAATCTCTCTCACTATCCCTCAACCTCTTTCTCCTTTCAATCTTGGCACCACCCTTCAATCTCTCCCTTCTCTTAATTTCAATTCCTTTCATTTTCTGGTAGAGACAAAAGAGACACATTTTATCCGTAGACCCAAAACTCTGGCGCCGGTCACAGACTCGGGAAGGCAACCTTCCCTTGGTGTTTAATCATTGCGGGGATGCCTCCCTGATTATTCACCCATGTTCCATTGGTGTCTGATCTCCGCGGGGACACCTGCCTTGGTCATTCACTCACGTTCCCTTGGTGGCAAGTCAATTGCAGGGACGCCTGCTTTGGCTGCTCACCCACGTTGCAGCCCAGGGCTGCTTCCCACCCCGCTTGTCCGTGTCTCTACCTTTCTCTTTGAACTTGCCTCCTTCACTATGGGCAACCTTCCACCCTCCACTCCTCCTTCTTCTCCCTTAGCCTGTGTTCTCAAGAACTTAAAACCTCGTCAACTCTCGCCTGACCTAAAATCTAAGTGTCTTATTTTCTTCTGCAATACTGCTTAGCCCCAATACAAACTCGATAGTAGTTCCAAGTGGCCAGAGAATGGCACTTTCGATTTGTCTGTCCTACAAGATCTAGATAATTTTTGTGGTAAAATGGGCAAATGGTCTCAGGTGCCTGACGTCTAGGCATTCTTTTACACATTGGTCCCTCCCTAGTCTCTGCTCCCAATGAGACTTGTCCCAAATCTTTCTTCTTTCTCTCCTGTCTGTTCCTTCAGTCTCCACCCCAAGCTCTGAGTCCTTTGAATCCTCCTTTTCTACAGACTCATCTGACCTCCCTTTCTCCCCAGGCTGCTCCTCGCCAGGCCAAGCCAGGTCCCAATTCTTCCTCAGCCTCTGCGCACCCACCCCACAATCTTTTTATCACCTCCCCTCCTCACCCGGTCTGGCTTACAGTTTTGTTCCGCGACTAGCCCTCCCCCACCTGCCCAGCAATTTCCTCTGAGAGAGGTGGCTGGAGCTAAAGGCATAGTCAAGGTTAATGCTCCTTTTCTCTTTATCCGACCTCTCCCAAATCAGCTAGGATTTAGGCTCTTTTTCATCAAATATAAAAACCCAGCCCAGTCCATGGCCCATTTGGCAACAACCCTTAGACATTTTACTGCCCTAGACCCATAGGGGTCAGAAGGCCGTCTTATTCTCAGTATGCATTTTATTTTATTACCCAATCTGCTCCCGACATTAACTAAAGCTCCCAAAATTAAATTCCGGCCCTCAGACCCCACAACGGGACTTAATTAACCTCACCTCCAAGGTGTACAATAATAGAGTAGAGGCAGCCAAGTAGCAATGTATTTCTAAGTTGCAATTCCTTGCCTCCACTGTGAGACAAACCCCAGCCACAGCTCCAGCACACAAGAACTCCAAACGCCTGAACCACAGCTGCCAGGGGTTCCTCCAGAACCCCCTCCCCCAGAAGCAAGTGCTGGAAATCTGGCCACTGGGCCAAGGAATGCCCGCAGCCCAGAATTCCTCGTAAGCCATGTCCCATCTGTGTGGGACCCCACAGAAAATTGGACTGTTCAACTCGCCTGGCAGCCATTCTTCCGGGAACTCTGGCCCAAGGTTCTCTGACTGACTCCTTCCCGGATCTTCTCATCTTAGCGGCTGAAGACTGATGCTGCCTGATTGCCTCAGAAGCCTCCGGGACCATCGTGGATGCCGAGCTTCTGGTAACTCTTACAGTGGAGGGTAAGTCCGTCCCCTTCTTAATCAACATGGAGGCTACTCACTCCACATTACCTTATTTTCAAGGGCCTGTTTCCCTGGCCTCCAAAACTGTTGTAAGTATTGACGGCCAGACTCCTAAACCTCTTAAAACTCCCCAACTCTGGTGCCAACTTGGACAATATTCTTTTATACACTCCTTTTAGTTATCCCCACCTGCCCAGTTCCCTTATTAGGCTGAGACATTTTAACCAAATTATCTGCTTCCCTGATTATTCCTGGGCTACAGCCACACCTCAATTGCCATCTTTTGCCCCAATTCAAAGCCTCCTTCACATCCTCTCCTTATATCTCCCCACCTTAATCCACAAGTACAGGATACCTCTACTCCCTCCTTGGTGACAGATGATGCACCCCTTACCGTCCCATTAAAACCTAATCACCCTTACCCCACTCAATGCCAATATCCCATCCCACAGCACACTTTAAAAGGATTAAAGCCTGTTATCACTTGCCTATTACAGCATGGCCTTTTAAAGCCTATAAACTCTCCTTACAATTCCCCCATTTTACCTGTCCAAAAACCGGACAAGCCTTACAGATTAGTACAGGATCTGCACCTTAACAACCAAATTGTCTTGCCTATCACCCCATGGTGCCAAAGCCATATACTCTCCTATCCTCAATACCTCCCTCCACAACCCCTCCATAACCCATTATTCTGTTCTGGATCTCAAACATGCTTTCTTTAGTATTCCTTTGCACCCTTCATCCCAGCCTCTTTTTGCTTTCACTTGGACTGACCCTGACACCCATCAGGCTCAGCAAATTACCTGGGCTGTACTGCTGCAAGGCTTCACGGACAGCCCCCATTACTTCAGTCAAGCCCAAATTTCTTCCTCATCCATTACCTATCTCAACATAATTCTGCATGAAAACACACGTGCTCTCCCTGCTGATTGTGTCCGGCTAATCTCCCAAACCCCAACCCCTTCTACAAAACAACTCCTCTCCTTCCTGGGCATGGTTAGGTACTTCCGCGTTTGGATACCTAGTTTTACCATCCTGACTGAACCATTATATAAACTCACAAAAGCAAACCTAGTTGACCACACAGATCCTAAATCCTTTCCCCACTCCCCTTTCCATTCCTTAAAAAACAGCCCTAAAAGTTGCTCCCACACTGGCTCTCCCTAACTCATCACTCCGTTTTCATTACACACAGCTGAAGTGCAGGGCTGTGCGGTCGGAGTTCTTACACAAGAGCCAGGACCGCTCCCTGTAGGCTTTCTGTCCAAACAACTTGACCTTACTGTTTTAGCCTAGCCCTCATGTCTGCGTGTGGCAGCTGCCACTGCCTTAATACTTTTGGAGGCCCTCCAAATCACAAACCGTGCTCAACTCACTCTCTACAGCTCTCATAACTTTCAAAATCTATTTTCTTCCTCACACCTGACACATATACTTTCTGCTCCCCAATTCCTTCAGCTATACTCACTCTTTGTTGAGTCTCCCACAATTACCATTGTTCCTGGCCTGGACTTCAATCTGGCCTTCCACATTATTCTGGATACCACACCTGACCCCCATGACTGTATCTCTCTGATCCACCTGACATTCACTCCATTTCTCCTTATTTCCTTCTTTCGTGTTCGTTACCCTGATCACACTTGGCTTATTGATGGCAGTTCCATCAAGCCTAATCACCACTCACCAGCAAAGGCAGGCTATGCTATAGTATCTTCCACATCTATCATTGAGGCTACTGCTCTGCCCCCCTCCACTACCTCTCAGCAAGTCAAACTCATTGCCTTAATTCGGGTCCTCACTCTTGTAAAGGGACTACTCATCAATATTTATGCTGACCCCATATCCTGCACCACCATGCTGCTTTATGAGCTGAAAGTTTTCCTCACTACACAAGGGTCCTCCATCATTAATGCCTCTTTAATAAAAACTCTTCTCAAGGCTGCTTTACTTCCAAAGACAGCTAGAATTATTCACTGCAAAGGCCATCAAAAGGCATCAGATCCCATCACTCAGGACAATGCTTATGCTCATAAGGTAGCTAAAAAAGCAGCTAGCGTTCCAACTTCTATCCCTCACGGCAGTTTTTCTCCTCATCTAGTCACTCCCACCTACTCCCCAACTGAAACTTCCACCTATCAATCTCTTCCCACACAAAGCAAATGGTTCTTGTACCAAGGAAAATATCTCCTTCCAGCCTCACAGGCCCATTCTATTCTGTCATTTCATAACCTCTTCCATGTAGGTTACAAGCCGCTGGTCCGCCTCTTAGAACCTCTCATTTCCTTTCCATCGTGGAAATCTATCCTCAAGGAAATCACTTCTCAGTGTTCCATCTGCTATTCTACTACTCAGGGATTGTTCAGGCCCCCTCTCTTCCCTACACATCAAGCTTGGGGATTTGCCCCCACCCAGGACTGGCAAATTGACTTTACTCAACATGCCTCGAGTCAGGAAATTAAAATACCTCTTGGTATGGGTAGACACTTTCACTGGGTGGGTAGAGGCCTTTCTCACAGGGTCTGAGAAGGCCACCATGGTCATTTCCTCCCTTCTGTCAGACATAATTCCTCGGTTTGGCCTTCCCACCTCAGTTTCTGAGGCTCTTGGTATTTAGTGGCTCCTGGTTTTACCTCAAATCGCCACCCTTAAGTCTATCTAGAAGTGGATAGAAGATCTTCAGTGATAAAGTACCCTCCAATACTTTCACCCTGATGAAGTCCTATTCTTTACTTTTATACTTACTCTTATTCTCGTTCCCATTCTTATGCCACCCTCTACCTCTCCCCAGCTATCTCCACCACACTATCAATCTCAGTCACTCTCTCCTAGCCCTTTCTAATCCTTCTTTAACAAACAATTGCTGGCTTTGCATTTCTCTTTCCTCCAAATTCGAGGAGGCCCTAACTTACTCACTGCTAAAAAAAAAAAAAAAAAAAAAAAAAGGTAGGGGGGACTCTGTATATTTTTAAATGAAGAAGGTTGTTTTTACCTAAATCAATCTGGCCTGGTCTATGACAACATAAAAAAACTCAAGGATAGAGCCCAAAAACATGCCAACCAAGCAAATAATTATGCCGAACCCCCTTTGACACTCTGTAATTGGTTGTCCTGGGTACTCCCAATTCTTAGTCCTTTCATACCTGTTTTTCTCCTTCTTTTATTCGGACCTTGTGTCTTCCAAATAAGAGAATAACAATGCTCCTTCTAACAACCCCACAATATCACTCCTTACCCCAAAATCCTTCTTCAGTTGAATATCTCCCCCTGTAAGTTCCCACGCCACCCCAATCCCGCTCGAAGCAGCCCTGAGAAACATCACCCATTATCTCTCCATACCACCCCCAAAAATTTTCACCGCCCTAACACTTTACCACTATTTTGTTTTATTTTTCTTATTAATATAAGAAGACAGGAATGTCAGGCCTCTGAGCCCAAGCTAAGCCATCATATCCCCAGTAACCTGCATATATACATCCAGATGTCCTGAAGCAACTGAAGTTCCACAGAAGTGAAAATAGCTTAACTGATGACATTCCACCATTGTGATTTGTTTCTGCCCCACCCTAACTGATCAATGTTCTTTATAATCTCCCCCACTCTTAAGAAATTTCTTTGTAATTCTCCCCACCCTTGAGAATGTACTTTGTGAGATCCACCCCCTGCTCCCAAAACATTGCTCTTAACTCCACCGCCTATCCCAAAACCTATAAGAACTAATGATAATCCCACCACCCTTGCTGACTCTCCTTCGGACTCAGCCCACCTGCACCCCGGTGAAATAAACAGCCTTGTTGCTCACACAAAGCCTGTTTGGTGGTCTCTTCACACAGACTTGCGTGAGACAACCCTCACAGGGGAACCTGAAGGTCTAGATCACAGGAGGAGATTCTGACATTAACTGCAGCTGAGTCAATTTAGAGAGCTGAGTGAAATACAGGGGTAGAGGAAGCAGCGGGATAAGCCCTGTGGGCTCTCTGGGTCTCCGGGGAAGCCATTTCTGCCTTGCCTCACAGGAGTCCTTGGGGAGGGCTGCCAGAGGAACTGGGAAAAGACCACAGGGAAAAGGAAACCTCCAGCTGAACTGTGTAACAATTCCAACAGAATGCAAAATCTCCTGGCCAGAACTCCGGGGAGGGAGTGATTCTGGTGTGCAGACTCCAAAAGCAGGCAGACACGAAAGCCCTGCTTGCTTTTGCAGCTGGGAGACTGGTAGCCTGCAGCAAGTTCTCAGCCCTGCTCGCCCACTGCTGGAAACAGACTTGGTGCTGTTGGGAGTCGGGGGAAAGGTGGGAGTGAGACCAGCCTTTTGGGTTGCATGGGAGCTGGGTGAGGCCTGTGACTGCCAGCTTTCTCCCACTTCCCTGACAACCGGCATGACACAGCAGAGGCAGACATAATCCTCCTGGGAACATTACTCCATTGACTTGGGAACCACACTCCCATCCCCCAAAGCAGCCGCAGCCAAGACCTGCCCAAAGACAGTCTGAACTCAGACACTTCTAGCCCTTCCCCGACCTGATGGTCCTTCCCTATGTACCCTGCTAGCTGAAGACAAAGGGCATATACTCTTGGGAGTTCTAGGCCCCTACCCACCACCTGATCCTCCCTATAATACCACAGCTGATGCTCTCTTGAAAGCACCACCTCCCGGCAGGAGACCAACCAACACAAAAATAGAGCATTAAACAACCAAAAATAAGGACCCTCACAGAGTCCATTTCACTCCCCTGCCACCTCCACCAGAACAGGTGCTGGTATCCACGGCTGAGAGACCCACAGACGGTTCACATCACAGGACTCTGTGCAGACAACCCCCAGTACCAGCCCAGAGCCTGGCAGACCTGCTGAAGAGCTAGATCCAGAAGAGAGATAATAATCATTACAGCTCAGCTTTCAGGAAGCCATATCCATAGGAAAAGGGCAAGTACTACATTAAGGGAACACCCCATGGGACAAAAGAATCTGAACAGCAGCTTTGAGCCCTAGACCTTTCCTCTGACATAGACTATCCAAATGAGAAGGAACCAGAAAAACAATTCTGGTAATATGACAAAGCAAGGCTCTTTAACAGCCCCAAAAAATGACACTAGCTCACCAGCAATGAATCCAAACCAAGAAGAAATCTATGATTTGCCTAAAAAAGAATTCAGAAAATCAGTCATTAAACTAATCAAGGAGGCACCAGAGAAAGATGAAGTCCAAGTTAAGGGAATTTAAAAAATGAGGCCAGGTGCGGTGGCTCACACTTGTAATCCCAGCAATTTGGGAAGCCAAGGCGGTCGGATCACCTGAGGTCAGGAGTTCAAGACCAGCCTGGCCAACATGGTGGTGAAACCCCGTCTCTACTAAAAATACAAAAATTAGCCCAGCGCTGTGACAGGCACCTATAATCCCAGCTACTCAGGAGGCTGAGGCAGGAGAATCACTCGAACCCAGGAGGCAGAGGTTGCAGTGAGCCAAGATTATCCCATTGCACTCCAGCCTGGGGGGACAAGAGCAAGACTTTGTCTCAAAAAAAAATAAAAAAATTAAACAATACAAAGCTGGGCACGGTGGCTCACTCCTGTAATGCCAGCACTTTGGGAGGCCGAGGCGGGTGGATCACCCAAGGTCAGACATTCGGGACCAGCCTGGCCAACATGGTGAAACTTTGTCTCTACTAAAAATACAAAAAAATTAGCCAGCCATGGGGGGCAGGTGCCTGTTATCCCAGCTACTTGGGAGGCTGAGGCAGGAGAATTGCTTGAACCTGGGAGGTGGAGACTGCAGTGAGCCAGGATCACACCACTGCACTCCAGCCTGGGCAACAACAGTGAAACTTTGTCTCGAAAAAAAAATATATATAAAAAAGCATACACGAAATGAGGGGAGAAATCGTCAGTGAAATAGATAACATAAATAAAAAATAATAAAAGCTTCAGGAAATAATGGACGCACTTAGAGAAATGCAAAATGTTCTGGAAAGTCTCAGCAATAGAATTGAACAAGCAGAAGAAAGAACTTCAGAGCCCAAATATAAGATTTTCAAATTACCCCAATCCAACAAAGACAAAGAAAAAAGAAGAAGAAAAAATGAACAAAGCCTCCAAGAAATTTGGGATTATGTTAAGTGACCAAACCTAAGAATAATTGGCATTCCCGAGGAAGAAGAGAAATCTAAAAGTTTGGAAAACATATTTGGGGGATTGAGGAAAACTTCCCTGGCCTTGCTAGAGACCTAGACATCCAAATACAAGAAGGTCAAAGAACATCTGGGAAATTCATTGCAAAAAGATCATCACCTAGGCACGTTGTCATTAGGTTATCTAAAGTTAAGACGAAGGAAAGAATCTTAAGACCTGTGAAACAGAAACACCAGGTAACCTATAAAGAAACACCTATCAGATGAACAGCACATTTCTCAGCAGAAACCCTACAAGCTAGAAGGAACTGGGGCTCTATCTTCAGCCTCCTTAAATAAAACAATTATCAGCCAAGAATTTTGTATCCAGTGAAACTAAGCTTCATAGATTAAGGAAAGATAGTCTTTTTCAGACAAACAAACGCTGAGAGAATTCGCCACTATTAAGCTAGCACTACAAAAACTGCTAAAAGGAGCTCTAAATCTTGAAACAAATCCTGGAAATACATCAAAACAGAACCTCTTATAGCGTAAGTCCCATAGGATCTATAAAACAAAAATACAATTAAAAAAGAGGCATACAGGAAACAAGTAGCACAATGAATGGAATAGTACCTCACATCTCAATACTAACACTGAATGTAAATGGCCTAAATGCTCCACTTAAAAGATACAGAATTGCAGAATGGATAAGAATTCACCAACCAACTATCTGCTACCTTCATGAAACTCACCTAACACAGAAGTATTCACATAAACTTAAGGTAAAGGAGTGGAAAAAGACATTCCATGCAAATGGACACCAAAAGCAAGCAGAAGTAGCTATTCTTATATCAGACAAAACAAAGTTTAAAGCAACAGCAGTTAAAAGACAAAGAGGGACATTATATAATGATAAAACGCCTTGTCAAACAGGAAAATATCACAATCCTAAACATATATGCACCTAACACTGGAGCTCCCAAATTTATAAAACAATTACTACTAGATCTAAGAAATGAGATGGACAGCAACACAATAATAGTGGGGGACTTCAATACTCCACTGACAACACTAGACAGGTCATCAAGACAGAAAGTCAACAAAGAAGCAATGGATTTAAACCCTTAAACAAATGGACTTAACAGCTATTTACAGAACATTCTACCCAACAACCGCAAAGTATACATTCTATTCATCAGCACATGGAACTTTCTTCAAGATAAACCATATGATAAGCCATAAAACAAGTCTCAATAAATTTAAGTAAATTGAAATTATATCAAGTACTCTCTCAGACCACAGTGAGATAAAACTGGAAATCAACTCCAAAAGGAACATTCAAAACCATGCAAATCCATGGAAATTAAATAACCTGCTCCTGAATGATCACTGGGTCAACAATGAAATCAAGAAGGAAATTAAAAAATTATTCTAACTGCACAACAGTGGTGACACAACATATCAAAACCTCTGGGAAACAGCAAAGGCAGTGCTAACAGGAAAGTTCATAGCCCTAAATGCCTACATCAAAAAGTCTGAAAGAGCACAAATAGACTACCTAAGGTCACACCTCAAGAAACTAGAGAAACAAGAACAAACCAAACCCAAACCCAGCAGAAGAAAGGAAATAACCAAGATCAGAGCAGAACTAAATGAAACTGAAACAACAACAACAAAATACAAAAGATAAATGAAACACAAAGCTGGTTCTTTGAAAATATAAGTAAAATTGGTAGACCATTAACAAGATTAACCAAGAAAAGAGGAGAGAAAATCCAAATAAGCTCAATTAGAAACAAAATGGGAGATATTACAACTGACACCACTGAAATACAAAAGATCATTCAAAGCTACTATGAAGACATTTATGTGCATAAACTAGAAAACCTAGAGGAGATAGATAAATTCCTGGAAAGATACAACCCTCCTAATTTAAATCAGGAAGAATTAGATACCCTGAACAGACCAATAACAAGCAATGAGATTGAACTGGTAATAAAAAAAGATACCAAAAAAAAAGTGCAAGACCAGATAGAGTCATAGCTGAATTCTACCAGACATTCAAAGAAGAACTGGTAACAACCCTATTGACACTATTGCACAAGACAGAGAAAGAGGGAATCCTCTCTAAATCATTCTATGAAGCCAGTCTCACCCTAATACCAAAACCAGGAAACGATATAACCAAAAAAGAAAATTACAAACCAATATTCCTGATGAACATAGATACAAAAATCTTAACAAAATACTAGCTAACCGAATCCAACAACATATCAAAAAGATAATCCACCATGATCAAGTGGGTTTCATACCAAGGATGCAGGGATGGTTTGACATACACAAGTCAATAAATATGATACAACACATAAACAGAATTTAAAACAAAAATAACATGATCATCTCAATAGATGCAGAAAAAGTATTTGATAAAATCCAGCATCACTTTATGATTAAAACTCTCAGCAAAATTGGGCATACAAGGGGCATACCTCAATGTAATAAAAGCTATCTATGACAAAACCACCGCCAACATAATACTAAATGGAGAAAAGTTGAAAGCCTTCCCTCTGAGAACTGGAATGAGACAAGGATGCCCACTCTCACCACTCCCCTTTAACATAGTACTGGAAATCCTAGCCAGAGCAATCAGACAAGAGAAAGAAATAAAAGGCATCCAAATCCA
Organism: Homo sapiens; assembly: GCF_000001405.40. Lineage (NCBI taxonomy): Eukaryota > Metazoa > Chordata > Mammalia > Primates > Hominidae > Homo > Homo sapiens. The sequence goes on from NC_000002.12 coordinate 151,320,170, forward strand.
TAAAGAGAAACTCAAACTGTCACTGTTGGCTGATGATATGATTGTATACCTAGAAAACTCTAAAGACTCCTCCAAAAAGCTCCAAGAACTGATAAAAGAATTCAGCAAAGTTTCAGGATACAAAATTAATATACAAATCAGTAGCTCTCTTATACACCAACAGAAACCAAGCTGAGAATCAAATAAAGAACTCAATTCTTTTTAAAACAGTTACAAAAAATTAAAATACTTAGGAATATACCTAACCAAAAAGGTGAAAGAACTCTGCAGGGAAAACTACAAAACACTGCTGAAAGAAATCATAGACAACACAAACAAATAGAAACACATCCCACGCTCATGGATGGGTAGAATCAATATTCTGAAAATAACCACACTGCCAAAAGCAATCTACATACAAATTCAATGCAATTCCCATCAAAATACCACCATCATTCTTCACAGAACCAGAAAAACGATCCTAAAATTCATATGAAAACAAAAAAGCACCTGCATAGCCAAAACAAGACTAAGCAAAAAGAACAAATCTGGAGGCATCATATTACCTGACTTCAAACTATATTATAAGGTCATAGTCACCAAAACAGCATGGTACTGGTATAAAAATAGGCACATAGACCAATGAAACAGAATACAGAACCCAGAAATAAACCCAAATACTTACAGCCAACTGATCTTCAACAAAGCAAACAAAAACATAAAGTGGGGAAAGCACCATTCAACAAATGGTGCTGGGATAACTAGCTAGCCACATGTAGGAGAAAGAAACTGGATCCTCATCTCTCACCTTATGCAAAAATCAACTCAAGATGGATCAAAAACTTAAATCTAAGACCTAAAACTATAAAAATTCTAGGGCCGGGCATGGTGGCTCACGCCTATAATCCCAGCACTTTGGGAGGCCGAGACAGGCAGATCACAAGGTCAGAAGTTTGAGACCAGCCTGACCAACATGGAGAAACCCCATCTCTACTAAAAATACAAAAATTAGGTGGGCATGGTGGCAAGTGCCTGTAGTCCCAGTTATTCAGGAGGCTGAGGCAGGAGAATCGCTTGAACCCAGGAGGCAGAGGTTGTGGTGAGCCGAGATCATGCCACTGCACTCCAGCCTGGGCAACAGAGCAAGACTCCATCTCAAAAAAAAAAAAAAAAAAAAAAAAAAAATTCTAGAAGATAACATTGGAAAAACCCTTCTAGACATTGGCTTAGGCAAGGATTTTGTGACCAAGAAAACAAAAGCAAATGCAGTAAAAACAAAGATAAATAGCTAGGACCTAATTAAACTAAAGAGCTTTTGCATGGCAGAAGGAACAGTCATCAGACTAAACAGACAACCCACAGTGTGAGAGAAAATCTTCACAATCATGATACATCCGACAAAGGACTAATATCCAGAATCTACAAAGAACTCAGACAAATTAGCAAGAAAAAAAAAAATCCCATCAAAAAGTGGGCTAAGGACATGAATAGACAAATTCTCAAAAGAAGATAGATCAATGGCCAATAAACATATGAAAAAATGCTCAACATCACTAATGATCAGGGAAATGCAAATCAAAACCACAGTGTGATACCACCTTACTCCTGCAAAAATGGCCATAATTTAAAAATAAAAAAAAATAGATGTTGGCATGGATGCGGTAAAAAGGGAACACTTTCACACTGCTGGTGGAAATGTAAACTAGTGCAAGCATTATGGAAAACAGTGTGGAGATTCCTTAAAGAACTAAAAGTAGAACTACCATTTGACCCAGCAATCCCAATACTGGGTATCTACCCAGAGGAAAAGAAGTCATTATATGAAAAAGATACTTACACACACAAGTTTATGGCAGCACAATTTGCAATTGCAAAAATATGGAACCAACCAGTATGCCCATCAATCAACGAGTGGATAAAGAAACTGTGGTGTATATATATAATAGAATACTACTCAGCCATAAAAAGGAATGAATTAATGGCTTTTGCAGCAACCTGGATGGGATTGGAGACTATTATTCTAAGTGAGGTAACTCAGGAATGGAAAACCAAATACCATACGTTCTCCCTCAAAAGTGGGAGCTAAACTATGAGGATGCAAAGGCATAAGAATGACACAGTGGACTTTGGGAACTCAAGTGGAAGGGGTGGGACAGGGTGAGGGATAAAAGACTACAAATTGGGTTCAGTGTATACTTCTTGGGTGATGGGTGCACCAAAATCTCACAAATCGCCACTAAAGAACTTACTTATGTAACCAAATACCACCTGTTCCCCAAAAACTGATGGAAATAATTTTTTTTAAAAAAAATCATTCTTGTAGAGTAATAAATGAGCCAGGGGGAAAATAAATGCAGAATAATCAGATGATGACAACTGAATTAAGGTAAGGGCTAAGGAAACAAAGAAGAAAGGGTAAATTCCAGAAATATTTAGGGAGTTGAATTAGTAGGACTTAGTAATCAATTGGAGCTTGTCAGGCTATGAGTTCTGTTAAGGACATAGGATTGATATCTTGTCACAGTTATATCTTCCAGTACAATATATCCAGGTTTATGATTAATTAATGGATAAATGAAAAAAAAAAGAAGTCCAAGGTTACTTCCAGTTTTTAGTGTGGACATCTAATGTTACTGATACTCTTACTACTGTATGGACATGAGCAGAGGAGCAGGCTTGGAAAGAGAAAGATAAGTTCTATTTAGCAAATAGTGAATTTGTGGCATCTGCTGGATAGCCAAGTGGAGATGTCTAATAGGCTTGGATTATGAGTCCAAAACTTGACAAAAGAGGTTGTATACAAGTGTCAGTTAATACTCTACAAAATAACTTAAAAAATTAGAGACTCCAGGCCGGGCACAGTGGCTCACGCCTGTAATTCCAGCACTTTGGGAGGCTGAGGCAGGCAGATCACGAGGTCAGGAGTTCGAGACCAACCTGACCAACATGGTGAAACCCTGTCTCTACTAAAAATACAAAACTTAGCTGAGCGTGGTGGTGTGTGTCTGTAATCCCAGCTACTCAAGAGGCTGAGGCAGGAGAATCACCTGAACCCAGGAGGCGGAGGTTGCAGTGAACCGAGATCACGCCACTGCACTCCAGCCTGGGCGACAGAGCGAGACTCCCATCTCAAAAAAAAAAAAAAATTAGAGACTCCATTTCCCTGATTCTCATAGGAAAAAAAAAAAAAATCAGTGAGACTATGTAGAAGGGCAAGAAAAGTGACTCATGAACACAATCCCGGAGAATATGAATGTTATTGAGTAAATAGAGATAGAAGAGCCCTAAAAGAAGACTAAGAAATAACAAACAGGGGCCAGGCGCGGTGGCTCATGCCTGTAATCCCAGCACTTTGGGAGGCCGAGGTGGGTGGATACCTGAGGTCGGGAGTTCGAGACCAGCCTGACCAACATGGCAAAACCCCATCTCTACTAAAAATACAAAATTAACCGGGCGTGGGGGCACATGCCTGTAATCCCAGCTGCTCAGGAGGCTGAGGCAAGAGAATCGCTTGAACCTGGGAGGCAGAGGTTGTGGTGAGCTGAGATCCCGCCATTGCACTCCAGCCTGGGCAACAAGAGCAAAACTCCAACTCAAAAAAAAAAGAAAGAAAAGAAGTAAGGAACAGGTAGGAAGAGAATTAGGCACCACCACCACCACTACTAGTACAAATAGTAGTAATGCTAATTATAATAGCAACAATAATCACAACAGTAACAGCAGCAGTAACAATGATGGTAGCTGTGGTTAAGATGAATAACTATATACCAGAAAATACACCAAGGACTTGACAATGATTATCTGATTTGTTCCTGAAAACCATGATGTAAAGTAGATTTTCTTATCTTCATTTCACGGATAGGAAAAGTAAGGGATGGTGAGTACATTGCCCCATGTTGTATAATCAGTAAGTGGCAGAGCTTGGATTCCAAACTCTGAAATCCAAGTAACTACTATATTGTGGTGTCATTTATTCTTTGGAGATGATGAATTCTAAGGCTCTTATTCTTCTTTCAAAATAAGGTCTTATTATTAGATCTTACACCGAATACTCTGATGATGAAATGCACCTACTGAATATCTAGGTAAACGTAAAATGCCACTTTAAATACATTGCCATTATTTTTGCTATAAATTATATGTATATGCCACAATACATTGCTATTCTTTTGGCTTCAAATATATTTAAGTATAGGTAAAATATGTTTAATGCAAAAGAATAACAACATATTATAGAAGTAGCATATATGGCAACAAGAACACAAAAGACCAGAGTAAATGGAGTTATATGGTTATATAAGGCTTACATTATTTACTTAATAGTAAAACAGTATTTGTAGTTTGTGATAAGTTAAAGATCAACATTGTAATCTCTAGAATACCCACTAAAAAATAACACTAAATAGGTGTAGCTAAAAATGTCCATAGATGAGATAGAATGGCATATTTTAAATTAATATATATTACCCAAAAGAAGGCAAGAAAACTGAAACAGAGAAACAAAGAACAAATAGAAAATAAATAATGAAATAGGACACTGACCAAAATTTGAAAACAGGCTGGGTGCGGTGGCTCATGCCTGTAATCCCAGCACTTTGGGAGGATAAGGCGGGTGGATGACAAGATCAGGAGTTCGAGACCAGCCTGGCCAATATGGTGAAACCCCGTCTCTATGAAAAATACAAAAATTAGCTGGGCGTGGTGGTGTGCACCTGTAGTCCCAGCTACTCGGGAGGCTGAGGCAGGAGAATCGCCCGAACCCGGGAGGTGGAGGCTGCAGTGAGCCAAGATCGCACCACTGCACTCCAGACTGGGTGACAGGGTGAGACTCCATCACAAAAAAAAAAAAAAAAAAAAAAAATTAAAAACAACCAAATGTCTGTTATAATAGCTATCCACTGCTGCATCACAAATTACCCAAAAAGTAAAGGGAAACAACGTTTATTATCTCAGTTTCTGCGGGTCAAAAATCTCATCAAAAAAGCAGCAGTATCTTCTCTCATAAGGTTCCAGTAAACGTGCTGATTGGATTTGGAGATCATCTCAAGGCTCTGCTTGGAGAAGGATTTACTTCCAAGTCTACTTACATGGCTGTTGGAAAGACTCAATTTTTCACAGACTGTTAGACTGATGGCCTGAGTTCTTCACTGACTGTTGGCCAGAGGTCTTCAGCTCCTTGACATGTGGACCCCATGACAGCTTGCTTTATCACAACAAGCAGGCCAGAAGAACCACAGAGAAGAAGAGACATGGAAGTCAAATGTTTTATATCCAAATCTTGGAAGTGACACGCCATGGCGTTTGCCATATTCTATTTATTAGAAAAGAGTTGCTAGGTTGAACCCATCCTCATAGGGAGGAGATTACACAAGGATGTGAATGAATACCAGGAGGTGAGGATCACTGGAAGCCATGAAAGAGGATACCTATTGCATCTGTCAGCAAGAAAATGGATTTTAAAAGTGTAATATTTTTATACAATGGAATCAGTTTTAAAAAAAAAAAAAAGCCACCAATACCCACAGCAACATAGATTAACCTCAAAAAATTTTACTCAATTATGTTGAGCAAAATATGAATTTCCAAAACAGGCAAAATTAATCTGCAATAACAGAAATCGGAACATTGCTTAACTCTGAGGGTTTGAAAGATGTCTTAATTTGTTTGTACTGTTGTAATAGAATACCGCAGACTGAGTAATTTATAATGAACAGAAACTTATTGGCTCACAGTTCTGGGGGCTCAGAAGTCCAATATCAAGGTGCCAACATCTGGCAAGGACCTTCTTGCTGCATCATCACATGACGGAAGAGCAAAAGGGCAAGAGAGGGAGAGAGTGCAAGACAGCATCAATCCATTCGTGTCTTAATCACCTCTTAAAGGTCCCACTTCTTAATACTGTTACAAGAGCAGGTACTTTTTTCTTTTTTGAGACAGAGTCTCACACTGTCACCTGGGCTGGTGTACAGTGGCACCATCTCGGCTCACTGCAATCTCCACCTCGTGGATTCATGTGATTCTTGGGCCTCAGCCTCCTGAGTAGCCATGATTACAGGCATGCGCCACCATGCCCAGCTAATTTTTTGTATTTTTAGTAGAGACTGGGTTTCACTATGTTGGCCTGGTTAGTCTCGAAATCCTGACCTCGTGATCCGCCCACCTCGGCCTCTCAAAGTGCTGGGATTACAAACATGAGCCACCGCACCCAGCCGGGCAAGTACATTTCTACATGAGTTTTGGAGGGAGCAAATATTCAAACCATAGCAAAGAATATTGCCTGGGAAGAAGCATGAGGAAAAGTTCTTAGGTGCTATAAGTATTCTGTCTTATTTTGTCTAAACTCATTGAACTGAACATGTAATGTTTGTGCATTTTATTGTATGTAAACTATATGCCCATAAATATAATAATAAAGAAAAATAAAAATAGATATTTAAAGAGTAATCTGGTTTTATTTCTTAAAAATAAAAGTAATATCAACATTCTGAACTTTTTTGGTCAATGTTAAATAAAACATATCAGCCTAATATCATCTTCTCCCAACACAAGAATCTAGACACGGTGAAGGAATAAATGAGAAAGACACTGAATCACCAGAAAACAACTATTAAAAATGGAATCAGTTTGCATGACATAATGTCTGACTAAAATATAGAAATAGAAGAAAGGCATCCCATTTTTCACTAATAATAAAATAAACCTAAGATTAGTCAACTACCAAGTATTACATGATGCTATTTTTCTCCAACCTTTTCTTATTTAAAAAAAAATCAAAGTACATGGTACACAGAAGCTCTTTGTAGAAAAGATGCCAAAAGCAGGAAGAGAATTTTTTATTCTCTAAATCTTAAAGGAATAATGTTTTATTCTTTTGTTTTTGTTTTATTTTAAAATTCTTAAATATTTATTATTAACCATTTTTCTTTTCTTTCTTCCTTTTTCATCCTTCCTCTTTATCACTTTACCACATGTCATAATTCTTGACTTCCTCAACATAAAATATTGTTTATTAATTAAAATATTTACTTGGTGGAAGAAAAACAACATGAACAAATAAAAAGCAATAGGAGAGGGTTGTACAAAATAGAAGTTATAGTTAATGTCTCTCTTACACAGCATTCCAAGCACAAGGGAGCGGCAGTTTCACAGTGTCAAGAATCCAGATTTTTCTGTCTTGCTCTGTAGTGTTATCTCTAGGGTTGCTATTCAAGATTGTTTTCTATCTTGTTGCTTTATATTCCAGATCACAGAATTGGCAAGAAATTAGTCACATATACCTAATGCATGCAGGGTTTAAAACCTAGATGACAGGTTGATAGATGCAGCAAACCACCATGGCATATGTATACCTATGTAATAAGTACCTATATAAAAAACCGGCACATTCTGCACATGTATCCCGGAACTTAAAGTAAAATGAAAAAAAAAAAAAAAAGAAAGAAATTAGTCCCATAGACACCCCTAGATTTGGCTGTGAAATCTACCACTTGGCAAGCCTTGTATACAGAGATATGGTCCTTAAGCAGGCAGTCTTAGGCCCATGTGAAAATTCCTACTAAAGAAGAATAGAACATACAGTGGACAGTGCTGGCATTATTTTCTTACTCCCTGAGTACGCGGATACTCCATAAGACTTACCCTTTGGAAGCAACCACCGTTTATATTAGAATGCAAGAAGTTTGCAGATCAGGTGCAATGGCTCAAGCCTGTAATCTCAGCACTTTGAGAGGCAGAGGTAGGCGGATCACTTGAGCCCAGGAATTGGAGACCAGCCTAGGCAACATGGCAAAACTCAATCTCTACAACATAATACAAAAATTAGCCAGGCATGGTGGCGTGTGCCTGCAGTCCTAGCTACTAGGGAAGCTTAGGAGGGGGGATCACTTGATCCCGTGAGGCAGAAGTTACAGTGAGCATAGATCACACCACTGCACTCCAGTCTAGGCAACAGAGTGAAACCCTGTCTAAAAAAAGAAAAAAAATTTAGACTGCCATTCAAATACGGCAAAGTAAAACACCTGTTCACCCTCACTGCCACCCAAAATCTCACCAAATTGTTGGTAAAGAAATGTAAAATGGAGGCCGGGTGCAGTGGTTCATGCCTGTTATCCCAATATTTTGGGAGGCTGAGGCAGGAGGATAACTTGAGGCCAGGAGTTGGAGACCAACCTGGGCATCACTGTGAGACTCTGTCTCTACCAAAAAAAAAAAAAAATTAATTAATTAATTAATTAGCAAGGCATGGTTCCAGCTACTCAGGAGGCAGAGGTAGAAGGATCACTTGAGCCCAGGAGTTCAAGGCTGCAGTGAACTATGCAAACTATGATCACATCATTGCACTCCAGCCTGAGTAACAGAGCAAGACCTTGTATAAAAAAAAAAAAAAGAAAGAAAGAAAAGTTCAAAAATTAGGCCAGGCGCGGTGGCTCATGCCTGGAATCCCAGTATTTTGGGAGGCTGAGGCAGGTGGATCATCTGAGGTCAGGAGCTCGAGACCAGCCTGGCCAACATGTGAAAACCCATCTCTACTAAAAACAAAAATTAGCCGGGCATGGTGGCAGGTGCCTGTAATCCCAGCTATTTGGGAGGCTGAGGCAGGAGAATCGCTTGAACCTAGGAGGCGGAGGTTGCAGTGAGCCGAGATCACACCACTGCACTCCAGTATGGCAACAGAGCGGGACTCGTCCTAAAAAAAAAAAAAAAAAAGAGAAAAAGAAAACTTCAAAAAGTAATAGGCACAGAGAGAATGGGAGAAGAAATAATAGCCACCAAGAGATGTCAACAAAACAGACTTATGATAACTGATTTAGCAGACTAGCGGAAGCTGAAACTAAATGATTGCAGTAGGGGTGAGGATGAGGGATGCCAAGAAGCACATAGATTGGGCTACCAAGTCCTTCAAAGGCCCAGAAATTAGAGCCACAAGTTGTCTCTGAATATGGGAAGCAGATGAGGCTAAAATCGGGAGGACTGGCTGATGTCTTGCATAAAAGCAGTTCAACCAGTACATCTCCTCATAACCTGCACAGCCAGGCAACTGACCCTCCTTCTTCTGCAGAAGGCTTGACATTATTTTCAGGGGAGGTTAAACCAGAAAAATCTCTAGACTCAAGGATAGCAGGTATGCAGGCATGATTGAGGTAACTTACTGGCAACACAGAGATCAAGTACAAATCTGCATTCTGAACAATGAGACTTACCAACCTCAGCACCCAGATCATTCCATCACCACCATCCTGAGATGAAAGTGGAGGATTCCTTTCTGGAGAGAGTGACCAGCCCCAGAAAAGAAGGCCAACAGCTACTGCCCAGAAAAAAAAAAAAAACAGATACCTGAACAATCACTCTGCTATAAACTCCCTACTTGTCAGACCTCATACATACAGAGCTTCCAGTTGTCAAGGATCATCCAACATTTGATAAAAGCTTCTTGCTTGGAAGAGGGAGATAAACAAATATGTGGGTGCACAATAACGCAAGGAACGGATGAATATGTTTTTAAAACTTATAATTAATATTCTAACAAGGATAAGAGAATATATATAGCATTTAAGAACAAAGGAACAAGAAACTATTAAACTGGAGGCTGAATATTAACTATTAAACTGGAAACTATTAAACTGGAGGCTCAAAAAAAAAGAAGAAAGAAAAGGAAGGAAGGAAGGAAGGAAGGAAGGAAGGAAGGGATCCAAAAAGCTTCCAGAGAAAGAGACAAAAAAATAGGTCACATACAAAATATTACAGACCATAAAGACAACAGTCTTTTCAATGAAATTGGATGTTGGAATAAGCTTTTACAGTTTTAAGGAAAAATGATTAACAATATAGAATTGTATTCTCATGCAAACCAATCAAGTTCAAATATTGAATGCAGTTTTATAATTCTGTAAACAGTTTGGAGCTGAATTAGGAACAAGTGCATAGAAAACTAAGTAAATAGGAGGGAAAAGGCAATTATCACTTCCAGAGAAAAACAAAGACTTGTGCAAGAATTAATATTTAATCATAGTACACTCGGCTAAGAATAATATTTGCATAGTCATGATAATATAAGCACTTAATATTCTTTACATTTCTGATAGAACCATATTGGGAGGATGGGAGTAGGAAAGTATAGAGATGGTAGGCAGGAGATAAGAGAGCTAAATCCTCATCTTTTATGATACACAAAATAGTTGAAAATGAATGGTGTCTAAAATGAAAAAATAAGAAATAGCACTATAAGCATATTATTATAGAAAAACAGAGCCAAATACCTGAAGAAACTTCTGAAATAATGTAAAATGTTTGACTTTGAAAGTGGAAATTATGAGGCAGCAGTTGAGAAGTCTAGCAAGTTACCATATTTTCAGTCTTCTAGAACTATCTGACTTTTTAAACTCTGATAAGTATAAAAATTAAATTTTAAAAAGCCAAGGCTGTTTAAAAAGGTGTTTCCTTTCTAAGAAGGAACATTTTTTGATATAGAGTTGACTTGAAGATATCTACCATAATTTTTTAATTATTGATTTTTCTGTTAGGTATTAAACGAAATTCCTAAGCCTCTTTGTGCCTGTTGTTTTTTGTTCTTTAATTAAACTTTTAAATTTTGAAATAATTATAGATTCACATGCAATTGAAAGAAATTGTTCTGAGTTCCTATGTGCCCTTTACCCAGTTTCCTCAATGGTAACACTTCACCACAAGGATCCTTGCCAGACTGTTTTTCAGAGTGACTTCACCATTTGACATTCTCATCACCAGTGGATGAAGTTTCCAACTTCTCCATATTCTCACCAGCACTTGTTATTATCTGATTTTTTATTCTATCAATCCTAGTGGGCATGAACTACTTTTGATTTGCATTTCCCTGATGACCAATGGTGTTGAGTATCTTTTCACACACTCATTGACCATCTGAATATCTTCTTTGTAGAAATGTCTATTCAGATCCTGTGCCAATTTTTCAATTTTTATTATGAGTCCTTTATATTCTGGATACTAGACCCTTATCAGATACATGGTTTGTAAGTTTTTTCTCCCATTCTAAGAACTGTCTTTTGCCTCTTTAGTTTAGGAAACTGCCAAACTGTTTTTTTAGAATTGACTAACCATTTGATACTCCCTCCAGCAGTATATGAGTGATTCAGTTTATCCGCATTCTCATCTGCATTTGTTATTGTCATTGTTTTTAATTTTAGCCCTTCTGATAGTGATATCTCATCATGATTTTAATTTTGCATTTCTCTAATGGCTAATGATGTTGAATATCTTTTCATTTGCTGTCTGTACACCTCTTTAGTGTATACAGTCTATGGGTTTTGCCCATTTTCTGATTGGATTGTTTGTTATTTTGCTGTTGCATTTTGAGTATTCTTTATGTATTCCAGATACTAGTCCTTTGTTAACTATATGGATTTCAAAGCTTTCTCCTAGTCTGTAGCTTGTCTTTTCATCCTGTTAACAGGATCTTTCAGAGAGCAAAGGTTTTAAAACTTTCGATGAGGTCCAATTTATTAATTTTTCCCTTTATGAATAGTGTTTTTGGTACCATCTAAGCACTCTTTACCTAGCCATAGATCCTTAATATTTTCTTCTTTTTTCCCTAACTTCTATAATTTTACATTTTACCTTTGAGTTCATAATCTGTTTTGAGTTAATGTTTGAATAAGGTGTGAGGTTTAGGTCCTGACTCATTTTTTTGCTTATGGATGCCTAATTTTTCCAGCATCATTTGTTGAATGTCTGTTCCTCCTGAAATGTTTCACCTGTGTCAAAAATTAGTTGAGCATATTTGTGTGGATCTATTTCTGGATTTTAAAATCTATTCTATTGATCTGTGTCTATCCCTCTGCCAGGACACATTGTCTTCATTACTATCGCCATATAGTATGCCTTAATATCAGGTAGAGTGATTCTTCTTTCTCTGTTCTTTCAAGATTGTGCTGCCTATTTTAGAACTCGTGCCTTTCCATATCAATGTTAGCATAAACTTGCGTAGGTCTACAAACACTCTAATTTTTAAATTAATTAAAATGTATATAATGGCTGTACACAGTGGCTTATGCCTGTAATCCTAGCACTTTTGGAGGCTGATGTAGGAGGATCGTGCCACTGTACTCTGGCCTGGGCAACAGAATGAGACCCTATCTCTTAAAAAAAAAAAAAAGTATAACATTTAAAAGAGCTATCTAGCGAATATAACTTCAGTAATTTATTTGTCTTTTTAAATTATTTTTGAGATATACAGTATAAGTCAGTTTAATGCACGTGATTGGCATTGATATACTTCTTGGCAAGCAACTTAAAAAGTTCAGCAAGTCAGTAAGTATTTATATTGCTTCAGATAAGTCAATTAAGGCAAAATGGAGGTGAAATTGTCATTTGCTTTTAAAGTTCTGCATATCATGAAAGTGTTTTATGCCAGGCATGGTGGCTCATGCCTGTAATCCCAGCACTTTGGAAGTCTGAGGCGGGTGGATCACAAGGTCAGGAGTTCAAGGCCAACCTAGCCAACATAGTGAAACCCCATCTCTACTAAAAATACAAAAAATCGGCTGGGCGTGGTGGCTCACACCTGTAATCCCAGCACTTTGGGAGGCCGAGGCAGGTGGATCACAAGTTCAGGAGATCCAGACCATCCTGGCTAACATGGTGAAACCCCATCTCTACTAAAAATACAAAAAATTAGCCAGGTGTGGTGGTGGGCACCTGTAGTCCCAGCTACTCGGGAGGCTGAGGCAGGAGAATGGTGTGAACCCAGAAAGCGAAGCTTGCAGTGAGCCGAGATCGCGCCACTGCACTCCAGCCTGGGCTCCGTCTCAAAAAAAAAAAAAAAAGTACAAAAAATTAGACGGGCATAGTGGTGGACACCTGTAATCCCAGCTACTCAGGAGGCTGAGGCAGAAGAATCGCTTGAACCCGGGAAGCAGAGGTTGCAGTGAGCCGAGATCACGCTGTTGCACTCCAGCTTGGGTGACAGTGCGAGACTCAGACTCAAAAAAAAAAAGTAAGTGTTTTACTATGAAAATACTACTCAGGCAAACAGTAAGAAAGGTATAATCAATCTACTAGAAAAGTCAACAAATAGTATGAGCAGGTAATTTCACAACAAAGGTATAAAGGAAGATGCTGGAACTCCCTAGTAAGCATAGAAATGCAAATTAAAACCACAGGAGACTATTTGATGGGGGGCAGGATCTTTGAAAATGTTAAACATGCACAGCTTTAACCTACAACTCTACTTCTAGGAATAATTTACTATACCAAAACACTTATGTGCATATAGGCATTTAATATATAACACAGAATATCCATGTTAGCGTTGTTTATAATAGAGAAAAAAATGCAAACGACTTAAGTTCAGAAATATGGTACTCACCAAGTTAATTGTGGTTAAGTCATATTATATAATACAGTATAGTCTTTTAAAAAATGAAGGGAGTCTTACATGTATTGATTTGAAAAGATCTCTAAAATATATTGGATAAATAAAAAAGCATGCCTCAAAGTAACATGATTAAGACTAAAAATATGTAAAAAGGCACATCTACAAATGTGTGTATAGATATGTAGAAAGAAAAAGTAACAGCCAGGTCTGGAAGGACACACAAATCTAACTGTTAACAGAGGTTATCTATGGTGAGGGAATGAGATTGGGGGTAGATTGGGGAGAGTGAGGATTAAAAAAGAGGCTTTTTCAAGTTTTACTTTAAATATATCTGTGCTGTTTTAAAATTATTTTTACAATAAGATTTTTTCATTTATTTCTTTTGTACTTAAAATATCTTAAGGTGTGTGTGTGTGTCAGATTAGATTGCTGTCAATCGAGTAACTGTTACTATTACTCCGTAAATCAAATTGAACTCATTTGATTTAACTGAGTATATAAGAGTGACATAATATTGGTAGCCCAAAAATCAATTGAATTTCCCATTTAATTTATTGAACTATTTTAGATTGGTGCTATTTATGAGGGATTCCTCCCAAATATTACTAAACAACTCCCTTGGCATTTCAGACAAGGCAAATCTGGTCCTCATTAGTGAGTCATTCTCTTTGGCTCTGGTAAAACAAACATGGGATTTCAGAGGCACAGAAGTGGGCCATTGACATCCTCTTAGATTGTAAGAAAAAAAATTGTGAAAGTCCACCATTGTTTTCATAGGCAGGGAATACTGGCAATCCATTCCTAAAGGGGCAAGTATTTTAAATTTATTTACTGAAGGCCTGGTGGATTCGTTTCTCTTCCATCCCAGCCTCCCAGCCTCCTGTGGCACTTGCACATTCATTTCCTGTGGTTGCAGTGTTTTTATCAGGGCTTTTGTTTGCAACTGAAACATGGCTTGCTATCTTAAGTAAAAGAGAAATTTATTAGAAGGTCATCAAGGCTGACTAAATTAATGAGTGGCCAGATGAGCAGGCTTGAAAACTGAGAATAATCTCAGGGAGGACTGTGTGACCAGGTCAAACAACAGAAACCCAGGCAACTGTCCTCCAACAGGACAACAAGGCCTCTGCCTCTGTGACAGATAGGGCCTCCATCTGTTCCCACGGCCTTCTATCCGTGAATGAAAAAGTGCAGGAGAGAATGTCCAATAGGATGATCCAAGGCCACATGTCCCCTGAATCTGCCAAGGCCAAGGTGGCTACTACCTCCTCCTGAGAACATATGTATTGAGAGATTTTTCAAAAGACAGAAGAAGGTGCTAAAACAAAATGCCACGGTTTCATGGTGGCCGTGGCCAAGGGCAAAAATTACCTGGCCCTAATAGGGACATATTAAGTTGTTAAAATGGTGCTCTAACAATACTCAGAGCACAGTTCTTGAGTCACCCTTGCTTTTTTCATAAGATTGCTCATTTCTGGCCGGGCGTGGTGGCTCACGCCTGTAATCCCAACACTCAGGGAGGCTGAGGCGGGCAGATCACGAGGTCAGGAGATCAAGACCATCCTGGCTAATATGGTGAAACCCCATCTCTACTGAAAATACAAAAAATTAGCCAGGCGTGGTGGCAGGCAACTGTAGTCCCAGCTACTCGGGAGGCTGGGGCAGGAGAATGGCGTGAACCCGGGAGGCGGAGCTTGCAGTGAGCAGAGATCACGCCACTGCACTCCAGCCTGGGCGATAGAGCGAGACGCGTCTCAAAAAAAAAAAAAAAAAAAAAAAAAAAAAAGATTGTTCATTTCCATGTAAGAAGAATATATCTTACCAGTCGCAACAAATTATCAAGTGGTCTTGTTTCATTAGCGATCAATAAACAGCCAAATATTGGGGAAGCAAGTGCTTTAAAGTATATAGAAGGCAAAGAACCGGCTATTATAGATTACTCTTTTCAGCTGTGAGAAGTTATAATCAGCTTTAAGTAGGTAAAGATGGTGAATTTAACAAAAGCATCAATATTCTCTCCATCCTAAAATCCTGCTAAAATGACACTAAAAGGTTATATTTTTTAAAAATCTCTAATATAAAGATTTTGGAAGCTAGAAAGCATATGAGAGGGGCAACTACCTTAGCAGTAAAGATAGTTAAATCCTATTCCAGTAGTGAGGCATTCTAAGAACATTAACTGGTTTATATTATAGAGAAAAAGAAAAAAGCCTCAGGAATTGGTAGTGCCATATACTTAGAAAAGTCGAAAAAATGTGAAGGTTGGTTGAAAGTCTGTTGTGAAATCATCATAACTCCCAGATCCATGCCCCAACCCTGATCAGCTTGGCCACCGCCCTTCTCCTTTCCCTGTGGAAGACTGGAGGGTCTTCGTCCTTGAAGGCAGTAAAATAGAGGGTCTCTGGACAGGGCAAAATCAGTTACAATGGAGAATAAATGTGATATACTAAAAACAGAATGATTAAGCGAATATTTGCATAATGAATGATGAGACCCTGGCGTTCGTCCCCCACACCACTCCTGCAACCTGACAGCCAGGACCAGTCCAAGGGTTCAGACCCAAAGATACTGACATTGAGGGTTTTTCAACAATATAGCCCAGCCAGATCACCCTAGAATGAATGTCATAGTCAAGAAGACTCACCCGTGCACTCAGGACACTATTCATTATTTTACTCCCAATTCTTAAATATGAGCAAACACTCATGGGTTATCAGAATTGCAGAAACATTTAATATAAAAAATGATGAAAACAAAAGAACAAAAGGAGTTTGGAGGAAACAGAGTCTAAGAAGGAAGAAGTAAACTTCAAAAACCAACATAACCACTATCCTTATATAGTCAAAAGGAGATATTACACTCATGAAAGAAAAATATCTACTTTTAAATGGCTTATTCAAGGAGCAGAAAACAGATCTGGGAAATAAAAGAAGGGTGATGGCAGAAATGAAAAACTCAATAGAAGCATTGGAAGATAAAGTTAGGCAAACCTCTCAGAAAGTAAATAAAAAAGACAAAAAGTATAAAAGAACAGTGAAAAGATCTGGAAAACTAGAGGGTAAAACTAGAAGTTCCAACATCTATTATATAGAAACATGAATCCTAGAAACAGAAAACTTGGAAAAAAAGAAAGGAGAAAATCAGTAGCAAAATCATCATGAAAAATTCCCAGTACTCAAGGACATATGCATTCAGATTTTAAGAACTCATTGTCCAACACAGTGGTAGAAAAAGTCTTTCAAAAAGATGCAACTTTGTGGCATTTCAGAACACCAGAGACAAAAAGATTTTTACAAGATTTTAGGGTTGGGGAGACAGAAATTCAGGAATCAAAATATCGACTTTTCAACAGCAATACCGGAAGTCAGAAGCAATAAGCAATGTCATTAAAATTCTGAGAGGGGTTATTTCTAACTAAGAATTCTACATTCAGCCAAACTATCAATCAAGCATATCTGCCAGGATCCTGGCAGAAAAGAGATGGAGCACTCCAGGAGGATAACAGAGGAGGCTTAATAAAGACACTGGTTATAAAGATTTGGGCAGAACACCATTACCACTCCCAGGCAGGAAGGGAGAAATGATTTATCAGCACCCAGATGGTAGCTGTATGTAGGCGGCCACAAGGGCTCCATGCTCTAGCAGGGATGCAGACAACTGCCTCAATCTGGCAGGAAGGGGGTCAGGAAACACATATCCCAACCTGACCCTCCTCCTTCCTTCCTCCAATCTCATGCCAGTGCCTCCCATCAGCCATACACTCCTGAAGGTCAGATGGCAAGTGACCCTGATGATGCTGTCTACAAATCTCAGCCTCCCAGGAAACCAAGTAGGGTGGAGAAGGTAGAAATCATTATAAAGACTAAATTTGTTAAAATGTGTAAAGCCTTGGCCAGGCACGGTGGCTCACGCCTGTAATCCCAGCACTTTGGGAAGCTAAGATGGGCAGATCACCTGAGGTCAGGAGTTTGAGACTAACCTGGCCAGGCATGGTGGAGGGCACCTGTAATCCCAGCTACTCAGGAGGCTGAGGCAGGAGAATCGCTTGAACCCGGGAGGCGGAGGTTGCAGTGAGCTGTGATCACGCCATTGTACTCCAGCCTGGGCAACAAGAGCAAAACTCTGTCTCAGGAAAAAAAAAAAAACTATTTTCTGCTGACTCCCAGGGAATTTTCAAATTTTCTCCAGATTTATTAGCAAACACGTCATTTGGAATAAATTTTTATTGGACTTACTAGTAGTGATGTGTAATTCAGAAGTAGTGTGACTGGGCAGAAATAACTATTAAGAAATGGCTCAGCACTACAATTTTCCAGGAACATATTATAGCTTTAATACTATATTCTGATGAAATAACTTAATCATATTACCACAGTGCAATATTTTGCAAGATAAGTACACTACCATATAATCCCCAGAGTGACAAATAGGAAGGAGTAATAGGTTGGGGGGAGGTCAGCCACATCATAATAATAGAATTGAACTGAACTCAAAACATGGTCAGTTTAAAACACAAACAGTCATTACTATACAAATCATATTGTTTAATGTTTCATCACAAAAGTAATCAAAGAGATGTAAGTTGTTAGCAAAGAGTTTTAGAATTATGCTATCCAATGTTTGTTGGAGTGGAGGAGAAAAGGTACTCAACTAGAGGGCAAGTTGTCCTTATGTATTAAAAGTGCTTAAAACTGGTGTGGCTTGGTGTGGTGACTCATGCCTGTAATCCCAACACTTTGGGAGGCCAACATGGGAGGATCGCTTAAGACCAGGAGTCTGAGATCAGCTTGGGTAACATAGCAAAGCTCCATGTCTACAAAAATAAAAATAAAAGTGCTTAAAACATTTATTCACCTCACAGCCAATGTTGGGGAGACGGATATGCAAAAAGATACACTACGCATAGTAGAGATATGTCCTTTGTGCTATGGGAACACAGAGAAGGAAATGATTCAAGTGATTAATTGCTCAAGAGAAGCAAAGAACACTTCACAAAGGAGATGGTATTTGGATAGAACTTTGGAAAAGCAGTAAAAGTTCGCTTGACAGTAAAATTTCAGCCATAGTCCCAATACTCCTATAGTGAGACTTTTGATGTGGCTGGAGGGGTGGGAGATAGTATCTAGAGAGAGGGACAGTATTTGAAAACCAATTGACAATGATGAGAAAAACATTTGCTTTTTAGTTAGATGAACATTACTTTTAAAAATCATATTGTAGAGAAAAGCTAAGCCATGTATATCTGCAGCACTTCTTCCCCCAACCACCAAAAACCTCTAATCTGGAAAAATAAGATAAAATAAGTCTGACATAGAGAAATATTCAGGAAGCTAAGGAGGAATTTGTCCCACAGAAAAAGGCAGCCAGGTTAGCAAGGGGTGGGTGAGACAGTCAGGGGCAAGTAGCCTGAGACGCCACACAACATATAATTATATTAAGTATTTCAACAGTACGATAATTATATTTATTTTCATAATAATTAGTTGTGTTGAATCTTTCGAGAAAAAATTTGATCTTAATAGAGAAGTAATATTTACCATTTTTACAAATAAACTTCTATAACCATTCATCTACAAGCACACCAAGAAGAGTGACAGAAATGAGGCAAATTTGGGATGGATTTTTAAATACCCAGCAAGATGTGAATGCAGCAGATTGTTGGCAGTAATTCGTATTAACGAAGCGGAAGAAGAACAGCAGTGTTTGCTTGCATTCTGAGTCTCCTCTCTTCCTCTTCCCTGGTGTAAAGTGACTTTCTCTCTCCTCCCTCAAAAATCTCTTCTTCCATCTCTTCTCATTTGAGAAGTTCCCTGACATCGAAAGAACCAGCCCGCGCTCAGAGCAGAGAGATCTTCACATCCTGCTGTGCACCTTTTTCTGACCTGCTGGGAGGGACAAAACCAAGAAAGGAAAGGAAGAGAGGAAATTCCACTTGGAAAATCCTAAAAGCATCACTGTCTCCTGGAATGTTTTTCTGTTTCAGAAAACTGTGTGCCTCTGTGCACACAGGCACTCAGGCAGCCTGTGTGCATGTGCACATGCGTGTGTGTGTGTGTGTGTGTGTGTGTGTGTGTGTGTGTGTGTGTGACAGAGAGAGTGTTGAAAGTTATTCAGCTGCCAATTGGTTTGCAATTCCACTGCCATTGATACTGCTCTTTTGGTAAGATGGAGAGAAATGAGGATAATGACGACTGAAATGGAAGACCTTTTTTTAAATGGATTTATGTTTTATTCTAACTTGCGAATGAAATATTCCAGACCAGTTGTGGTGTACTCAAAACTAATTTTCCAAAATTAAAAACATTATCTGTATTATGATAATCCAATTAAATACTTGATGAGGACTTCTTTGAGAAATGCACGATAAAGTCACAAGGGAATGAGTTTTCATTGAGTGCCGACTGTGCATCAGGTATCGCAAGCCCTTTTCATAGATTAGCTTCCTTAAATCTCAGAGGAGCACTGCAAAGCATATATGTACCCACATCTTACAGACAAGTAAACTGAAGTTCAGCGAGAAAGTAATATGCTTAAGGTCACAAAGGTAATTCACCTGAATTCAAATCTGCGTTCTTCCTAGTACCAGGCTGTATGGTTCTTACAAATTACCATTCTGATGCTGATTGGTATGCTCCTTAGGTTGCAGGTGCTATTTTTTAAGCCACACCTATACATTCAGTGAAATAACTGCTATGTTTGTGGCGTGCCTTTTCCAGAACAGGAGTGTTTTCAAAGAATACATTTGTTGGCCGGGCACAGTGGCTCAAGCCTGTAATCCCAGCACTTTGGGAGGCCGAGGCGGGCAGATCACATGGTCAGGAGATCAAGACCATCCTGGCTAACACGGTGAAACCCCGTCTCTAGTAAAAACACAAAAAATCAGCCGGGCCTGGTGGCGGGCGCCTGTAGTCCCAGCTACTCGGGAGGCTGAGGCAGGAGAATGGCGTGAACCAGGGAGGCGGAGCTTGCAGTAAGCCGAGATCGCGCCACTGCACTCCAGCCTGGGCGACAGAGCAAGACTCCGTCTCAAAAAAAAAAAGAATACATTTGTTTATGCGCTCAACAAATCTTACCATGTGTCAATGTTATGTCCTGACCTCTTTTTTTTTTTTTTTTTTGAGATAGTGTCTCACTCCTATCGCCCAGGCTGGAGTGCAGTGGTGAGGTCACAGCTCGCTGCACTCTTGACTTCCCAGGCTCAGGTGATCCTCCCACCTAAGCCTCCCAAGTAGCTTGAACCACAGGTACACACCACCATGCCTAGCTAATTTTTTGTATTTTTTGTAAAGATGAGATTTCACCATGTTGCCAAGGCTGGCCTTATACTCCCAGGCACAAGTTATCCAACTGCCTCAGCCTCCCAAAGTATTAGGATTACAGGAGTGAACCACCATGCCCGGCCCTGACCTCATTTTTATTTTATTTTATTTTTCCATAAGCTATTGGGGTACAGGTGGTATTTGGTTACATGAGTAAGTTCTTTAGTAGTGATCTGTGAGATTTTGGTGCACCCATCATCCAAGCAGTATACACTGCACCACATGTGTTGTATTTTATCCCTCGCCCGCTTCCCACTCTTCCCCCCAAGTCCCCAAAGTCCATTGCATCGTTTTTATGCCTTTGCATCCTCATAGCTTAGCTCCCGTATATCGATGAGAACATACGATGTTTGGTTTTCCATTCCTGAGTTACTTCACTTACAATAATAGTCTCCCATCTCATCCAGGCCATTGGAAATGCTGTTAATTCATTCCTTTTTATGGCTGAGTAGTATTCCATCATATATATATATACCACAGATTTTTTTATCCACTCGTTGATTGATGGGCTTTTGGGTTGGTTCCACATTTTTGCAACTGGGAATTGTTCTGCTGTAAACATGCATTTGCAAGTATCTTTTTCAAATAATGACTTCTCTTCCTCTGGGTAGATACCCAGTAGTGGGATTGTTGGATCAAATCGTAGTTTTACTTTTAGTTCTTTAGGGGATCTCCACACTGTTTTCTATAGTGGTTGTACCAGTTTATATTCCCACCAGCAATGTAGAAGTGTTCCCTGATCACCTCATCCATGTGAACATCTACTGTTTTTTTGATTTTTTGATTATGGCCATTCTTGCAGGAGTAAGGTAGTATCACATTGTGGTTTTGATCTGCACTTCCCTGATCATTTATGATGTTGAGCATTTTTTCATATGTTTGTTGGCCATTTGTATATCTTCTTTTGAGAATTGTCTATTCATGTCCTTAGCCCACTTTTTGATGGGATTGTTTGTTTTATTCTTACTGATTTGTTTGAGTTCGTTGTAGATTCTGGTTATTAGTCCTTTGTCAGATGTATAGATTGTGAAGATTTTCTCCCACTCTGTGGGTTGTCTGTTTAATCTGCTGACTGTTCCTTTTGCTGTGCAAATGCTCTTTAGGTTAATTAGGTCCCAGCTATTTATCTTTGTTTTTATTGCATTTGCTTTTGGGTTTTTGGTCATGAAATCCTTGTCTAAGCCAATGCCTGACCTCACTTTTGACTCAGAAAATATTGTTATCATAAGAATGAACTCTTCTTAAGACAGTCTAAGATAAGGCCAGGTATGGTGGCTCATGCCTGCAATCCCAACACTTTGGGAGGCTGAGGCAGAAGGATTGCTTGAGGCTAAGAGTTCAAGATCAGCCTAGCCAACATCACAAGACTCCAAGACCCCATGTCTACAAAAAAATTTCTTTTAAAAACATCTGACTGAAATGTATTCTACCTGTGGAGGATAAAGGAGTTTCATAAGGGAATAGGAAACAGAATTTTGAATAATAATAGTTTCTTTTGCAGTGGAAGGAAGGGAAACATAGATGTTATATTGAATGCTTAGAAATGGCAAATGTTGGCTGGGCGCGGTGACTCACGCCTGTAATCCAGCACTTTGGGAGGCCAAGGTGGGCGGATCACGAGGTCAGGAGATCAGGGCCATCCTGGCTAACACGGTGAAACCCTGTCTCTACTAAAAATACAAAAAATTAGCTGGGGGTGGTGGTGGGCACCTGTAGTCCCAGCTATTCGGGAGGCTGAGGCAGGAGAATGGCAGGAACCTGGGAGGCAGAGCTTGCAGTAAGCCGAGATAGCACCCCTGCACGCCAGCTTGGGTGACAGAGCAAGACTCCGTCTTAAAAAAAAAAAGGAATGGCAAATGTCACCAGGCGCAGTGGCTCACACCTGTAATCCCAGCACTTTGGGAGGTTGAGGCAGGTGGATTACCTGAGGTCAGGAGTTCGAGACCAGCCTGACCAACTTGGTGAAACTTCGTCTCTACTAAAAATACAAAAATTAGCTGGGCATAGTGGCGGGTGCCTGTAATCCCAGCTACTCGGGAGGCTGAGGCAGGAGAATCGCTTGAACCCAGGAGGTGGAAGTTGCAGTGAGCCGAGACCAGGCCATTTCACTCCAGCCTGGGCAACAAGAGTGAAACTCCATCTCAAAAAAAAAAAAAAAAAAAGGCAAATGTCAACACTTAATGAAAAAATAGGCAAAGATCGTATGAGAAGCAAGGTGCAGGCCTTTAGCACTGAAACTCTGAGTACATCCAATGGCAAAGCAAAAATAAAACATGAAAGTATACCATTGTGACACTGGAAATCCCTTTTGTGATCATAAGTTAAAGTCGTGAGTGCTAACATTTTTTAAAAATTTTATTAAGGAATGGGGTCTTGCTCTATTGCCCAGGCTGGAGTGTAATGGTGCAATCACCGTTCACTGCAGCCTCCACCTCCTAGGCTCAAGCAATTCTCTCACCTCAGCCTCCCAAGTGCCTGGGACTACAGGTGCATGCCACTATACTCAGCTAATGTTTTTGTATTTTTTTGTAGGGATGGAGTATCACTATGTTGCCTAGGTTGATCTTGAACTCCTGGCCTCAGGCCTTCTAAAGTGTTGGGATTACAGACATGAGCCACTGTGCCCACCTGCTAACATTTCTGACTTTCATTACCCACCTCCCCAAACCAAAACAGAATAAAAGACCCATAGTTCTGGGATCTTCTGACCTGAAGGATTCCACTTTCTTAAAGGTAGCAGAGCTAACCAAACCGTAGGTATGCTTTCATGACAAATATGAGATGCACTGGAAAAGAACATACCTGGGGCCAGGCGCAGTGGCAAAGTGCTGTAATCCCAGCACTTTGGGAGTTCAAGGCAGGTGGATCACAAGGTCAGGAGATCGAGACCATCCTGGCTAACACGATGAAACCCTGTCTCTACTAAAAATACAAAAAATTAGCTGGGCGTGGTGGCAGACACCTGTAGTCCCAGCTACTCGGGAGGCTGAGGCAGGAGAATGGCATGAACCCGGTAGGTGGCACTTGCAGTGAGCCGAGATTGCACCACTGCACTCCAGACTGGGCAACAGAGGGAGACTCTGTCTCAAAAAAAAAAGAACATACCTGGAGCATCAGTGTCCTTGTTCTTGCAAAGGTAGTCTCAGCCTAGTCTGAGTCATCATTCTTGCTAATCCTTAAAACTTGACCAGCAGGCCGGGAGCAGCGGCTCATGCCTGTAATCTCAGCACTTTGAGAGGCCAAGGTGGGCAGATCACCTGAGGTCAGAAGTTGGAGATCAGCCTGGCCAACATGGCGAAACCCCATTTCAACTAAAAATACAAAAATTAGCTGAGTGTGGTGGTGCATGCCTGTAATCTCAGCTACTCGGAAGGCTGAATTGCTTGAACCCAGGAGGCAGAAGTTGCAGTGAGCTGAGATTGTGCCACTGCACTCCAGCCTGGGTGACAGTGAGACAGTCTTATTTAAAAATTAAAAAAAAACAACTTAAAAATGTGACTAGCTTCAGTGATTCAGCCTAGCATAAAAAAGAAGTTCCAGGCCAGGCACAGTGACTCATACCTGTAATCCCACAGCTTCGAGAGGCCAAGGCAGGAGGATCACTTGAGCCCGGGATGTCGAGGCTACACTGAGCCATGATTGCACCACTGCACTCCAGCCTGGGTGACAGAGTGAGATCCTGTCTCAAAAAAAAAAGTTCCAGAGCTAGAAATACCAATAATAAACATATGAGAATATATTCAACATCATTATTTTAGGATCTGCCTAGATAGCCTAGATAAATGTGAAAAATGTGGGTCTCTAAGTCTTGTCTCAACATTTCTATCATACTCATCATCTTTCTGTTCTCTTGCATTACGTGCGGGAATTATTCTTCTTTTTAATTTCCCATTTTGTATTCAGTCTTCAATTGTGTCCATTCTGCTCTTCAGGTTACCAGTTGAGTTTTTATTTCAATGATTATATTGCCATCATCATTCATTAGTTCTGTTTCAGAATATTCTATTCTTGTTTCATGATTATAATCTACTCTTGCTTTTTGATATATAAATTCAGCTTCCTTCTGTGTTAGTTCTGTCTGTTGAGTTCGGTGCTTCTCTTTCATGATTTTGCTCTTCATTTAATGGTTGATGATGTTTGGTTTTCAGTTCATATG
Organism: Homo sapiens; assembly: GCF_000001405.40. Lineage (NCBI taxonomy): Eukaryota > Metazoa > Chordata > Mammalia > Primates > Hominidae > Homo > Homo sapiens. Next base: position 151,344,993 of record NC_000002.12, read on the forward strand.
GGTATTTGGGATCCGAGAATTCTGCTTTGTTCAATAGAGTCTGCACCAGTTACTGTGAAGAAGGAGTAGAGTCTGCTGCCCTCTTGGGATGTGACAATAGCTCATCTACTGGAAATACCAGTTTCTCTTCCCTTCTGAGGGTAAAATAGTCCTCCAGGATACTGCCCTTCCTCTGACTGCAGTACTCACCCTCAGTCCTTCCACAAGGAGGGAACAGTTATGCTCTCTTCCACTTGCCAGGACAGGAACCAACTAACCATTCTGGATGCTTCCCCCATCACACTAATGATTGCTAGAGAGACCCCTCTTACTCTTTACATCCATTGCTGTGTTTTTAGAACAATCCTGGAGCCACTTCCACCTTTAGTAGAAGTACTTTCCTGCTTATATATTTTCCTGTGCCCAGCTAATTTTGTTTCTCTTTGGAATTTTTCAAAATGTCTGTTTGATGACAATATTTTTTCTAGTTTTTAGTCCTTTTATGAATGTATTTTTTTAAATTTTTTTATCTTTCATGGCAGCTCTGTAATTTCTCTATAGGAGAGATTTAAGGGCTACAATCTGTTTCTAAGGAGGAGATTTTTAAATCTAAATGGTAGGGCCAGGCGTGGTGGCTCACACCTGTAATCCCAGCACTTTGGGAGGTCGAGGTCAACAGATCACTTGAGGTCAGGAGTTCAAGACCAGCCTGGCCAACATGGTGAAACCCCATCTCCACTAAAAATACAAAATAAAAATTAGCCAGGCGTTGTGGTGGGTGTCTGTCATCACGGCTACTCGGGAGGCTGAGGCAGGAGAATCGCTTGAACCTGGGAGGCGGAGGTTGCAGTGAGCAGAGATCGCGCCATTGCACTCCAGCCTGGGCAACAGAGCAAGACTCCATCTAAGAAAAAAAAATCTAACTGGTATTCATTAGGTGATAGTGAAACAAACATGGACAAATAATTATTTTTTAAAAATTACATGTGGCTGGGAGTGGTGGTTTATGCCTGTAATCCCAGCACTTGGGGAGGCCAAGACAGGAAAATTGCTTGAGCCCAGGAATTTGAGACCAGCCTGGGCAACATGGTGAAATCCAGTCTCTACAAAAAATACAAAAATTAGCTGGGCATGGTAGCACACACCTGTAGTCCCAGCTACTCAGGAGGCTGAGGCGGGAGAATCGCTTGAGCCTGAGAGGGCGAGGCTGCAGTGAGCCGTGATTGTGTCACTCCGCACTCCAGCCTGAGCAGAAATACAGAGTGAGACCCTGTCTTAAAAAAAAAAAGGTATGTGTGTTCTTGTTTATATTTATTTATTTTCCCAATAGCACCTGATGGCAAAGTATACCAAATATATGTTATCTGTGTATCTAGAGAGAGAGAGAGAGAAACATCAGGTTAAAAATATCTTCCTTCCAAACAGATTGGAACCCTTAAAGCTCTTAAATAAATAAAATACACTTAACTGTCCAAGGAGTCAAACAAGTTCATGAATGAGAGGACCTCTGAAAAGAGTCTTGAGGCTTAAGTAATTAAGAAAAGAAACATGTTTTAGAAAGTTTCTTGGCCCCTACAAGTTGTCCCTAGCTTTCAGGATAAAATTCAAACTCCTTACTTTTGCAAAGAAGACTTGGCTGGTGCTTCCTTCAGGCCGCATCTCCTACCACTTCTCTCCATCTCCTACTATGCCCCTTCTTCCCCAGCTATACTGAAGAACTTGCTGTTCTCCAAAGGAGTCATCTGTTTCCATTTCCGAACCTCCATAAATGTGTTTCCCTTCACTTGGAACATTTTGGCCCTGGCAAGACTATCTCATCAAGACACTAACACAGTTTAAAGATAATTTTTTGTTTAAAGAATGCATTTATTGCTATTAGCTACTGTTTCATCTCAATATATGCAGTATTATCTTCTTTTTCAAGGGTGCCACAGCAATGATTTATATGCCAGCCTCCCCCAGTTGATTCTTAGGCTATCGATATCTCTGAGCTTTGGCTGTGCAGTGACAGTGTATTAAATAGCCAGAAAGGCTTTCATTTGGGCCTTCACCACTTTTTCCCTCGCCAGGAGATAGCATGTTGACTTTAGTAATGATTTGTGAACAGGAGTTAACAGACCTGGGTCTTAGTTCAGATTCTGATAAATATGACTTTGACTAGCCAGTTTAATTTCTGTGGGCATCCATTTTTATGTCTGCAAGATGAGGGTATCAGAAAGAGGCTCATGAAACTTTCTCCCAGGTCTCAAGTTAGATAACAGATCAAATCAGTTTTGGCTTTTTTTACATTTCTAGATTAATTTAATTTTAGTTACTCAGTAACTACTTGTCATTTAAAATACTCAAATAATACTGATTAAATAAATGTCCCCCCATGAGTACTGGAATTCTTCCTTCTCATTCTTTACATTGCTGCACAGTATGCTAAATTGGCTAAGAAGAACTAAAACAAAGGTCCCCCATGCACACAGACATTCAGAAGTACCCTTGAGATGGGGGGTAGAGAATGATGACAGAGCATTTTCAATTGGATGCCATAGGAAATCTGAAAACTGCAACCTGAAGCTAAGTGAGCATCAGCTATGGGCAAATGCCTCTCTGGAAAGGATATCAGGGCTGACATGAAGGGTGCTGACTCCTTTGAGGTTCAGGTCAAGGTTGCACACTAAAGGGAGCTTAGAAAGAACAGTAAATCCTTGAGAGAGCTCAGGAATCTCACAGCAGAGTGAGTGTATTAGTCCATTCTCATGCTGCTAGGAAGACCTACCCAAGACTGGGTAATTTATAAAGAAAAGGAGTTTAATTGACTCACAGTTCTCCATGGCTAGGGAGGCCTTAGGAAACTTACAATCAAGGTGGAAGGCAAAACAGGCATGTCTCACATGGCAGCAGGCGAGAGAAGTGAGTGCCGAGGGAAGGAGGATGGACGTCCCTTATAAAACCATCAGATCTCATGAGAACTCACTCACTATCATGAGAACAGCAGCACGGGGGTAACTGCCCCCGTGATTCAATTACCTCCCACAACACCTGGGGATTATGGGAGCTACAATTCAAGACGAGAACCATATCAGTGAGCTTGTCTGCTGAGTCACTGGAGCTGTAAAGACAGGAGACAATAGAGAATCCCTTATCTCACTCCTTAATATAGGACCGTGGGTCTTGTGAAAGAAATTCATGCAATTATTGGCCAGAGCAAGAAGGAACCTGAAAGCTTCCCTTTCCTGCTAGTATGGAGGCTGCCGAGAGAGGTCAGTGACCTGCATGCCTTGAAAAGTTGTCAAGTTGTCTCACTAGTGAGAAAAAAGCCCTGGACCAGTAGAAGGCAGCATGATGGAACAAAACAGCAAAAGGAAGAAGAAGAAGACCAGTCTTACTGAAAACATCAAGCTGGCCAAGGAAGACTGATAAACTAACTTCAAAGGCGATGGTAACTACATGAACTGTAGACTACTGAATGCCAGGCATGATGCTAGGGGCTTTTAGTCAACATCTCCTGTGGTCCTCAAAAGCACTCTAGAAAAGGTTTTATTACACATCCCCTCTGGACATGTGAAGTCATAGAGACCCTCCTACCCTCCCTCCCTGCCTTTCTTCCTTCTCACTTTCCTTCCTTCAAAAATATTTGTTGAGACTCTACAGCATACCAATGGATTCAGAGGTGAGTGAGGAAATAAGATCTCTGTTTAAATGGACATATATTTTAGTAGAAGACAACAATTAAACAAATGAATGAAAAGATACATGAATACATAAAGTAAGAATATTAGATGGTGATAAATTCAATGCAGAGATCTAAAGTAGAGTGATATTGAGGGAACTTTTTGGGGTAACGGAAATACTCTACATCCTGATTGTGACGGTGACAGTTTCACAACTGAATGTGTTTTTTGGAATTCATAGAATGGTATACCTTGTAAAGGATAACTCTTACTGGACATAAATTATACCTCAAAAAACCTGACATTTAAGAAAATAGGGTCCTAATTAGACAGGTATGGTGGTGCATGCCTGTGGTCTCAGCTACTTGGGAGGCTGAGGCAGGAGGATCATTTGCACCCTGGATGCAGAGCTTGCAGTGAGCCAAGATCATGCCACTGCACTCCAGCTTGGGTGACAGAATGAGACCCTGCCTCAAAAAAAAAAAAGAAATAGGGTCCTAAAATACAAGTGACTGAATGCTACTTTAGATTGGGTAACAAGGTCCTCACCTAGGAGGTAGTAATTAAGCTGAGATTGAATGCAAGAAAGAAGACGAAGGGAAGATTTATCACAAAAAAAGGAAACAGTGATTGCAAAATCCCTATAGTGGGAACAAGCTTGGCATGCTCAAGTTAAGACAGGATGGGTGAGGTTTAAGAAGTAGACAAGACCCAGAGCATGGGAAATGGCGGGCAGCTTGGAAGCCAGGATCAAGTGATTGATGTTGTTTTTGGTGCTACAGGAAAACTTGAGGGGTTTTTAAGCAGGGAAGTTACAAGGTCTGATTTCTGCTTTTAAAACAGCATCCAGGTTGCTTTACAGAGAATGACTTCTAGGTAGCAAAAGAGAAAGGGAGGAGATAAGAAGCTATTATAACAGTCTAAGCAAGAGATGGTGGTGTCATGGACTGGGGTGGTAGCATAGAGATGGAAAGAGGCAGACCAATCAGTGGTATTGTTTAGTTAGGGTAACAAGTAAATCCCAATCCCAGTGGCTTAACCGAGTAGAATTTTGTTTGGTGTTCCTGACTGGTGCAATCCCCTCTACCTGGTCACACAGAAAATGAGGCTTTTTCTGTCTTTTGGTTCCACTCTCCTCAAAGTCTCAAAAGTCCTCATTCAGGCATCAGATCGCAAATGAGCAAACGCCTCACGGGCCTGGACAGAAAGTGTTATACTTCATGTTAACTCACATCCTACTAGCTAGAATCTAGCCACTTGACTGCACAAAATGGCAAAGGGCAGGGAAATAGAGTCTGTGACTGTGCCCAGGAAAAAGAGAACCTTTGTGGTAATCTTCCAACAATCTCTGCTACCATTTTGTCTTTGAAGGTAGAGACCACAGGACATGGAAGTGGATTGGATGAGATTGGTGAGAGAAATCAAGAATGAAACCTAGGATTTCTCTCACTCATGCTTCTTGGTAACAGAGGTGAAAGATCTAGGAGATGTGCTTGATTTCTCTCCTTCCCTTCATCCTACCTGTTGTACTGAAAGAAGGGATGATGAGTGGAAGAAGATGCAAAGATCTTGTCCATAGCAATTGAGCAGGACATCAAGGCAGAAAGGAAGTTGTCTCTAAAGGCAGGCTGTTTCCGATGACACAAATTATTTCTTTGAAGAAGGATGCACTCGGCCTACCTAACTATATCTAATACTTCATGGACAAAGCCACTAGCCCTGGTGGCAGCTACTCTTGCCAGCGTTATCAGTACCAAAGATCCTAAGATCAAACATTTTCCTGGTAGATTTTTCCCTTCACTGTGCCAGAGGATGTGGAATGACAATGGACATAGCATTACATTTAACTAAACCCCTTTCCAAAACTTCCAAGTGAATAATCAAATCAACTTGAGAATATTCCAAATAGGAAAGTGTGAACTCTTTGAGATGATATTTTATTAATCTTTATATCCCTACCTACTATATACAGCATAATGCTCAACATAAACAATGCCCTCAGTAAACATTTGCAAAAAATTAAATATCTATTTAGACGCTAAGATATAGACCTCAAGTACACTGGAGTTATCCAAAAGTTGTCTGGGCACAGTGACTCATGCCTGTAATCTCAGCACTTTCGGAGGCTGAGGCGGGAGGATCACTTGATCCCAGGAATTTAAGACCAGCCTGGCCAACATGGCAAAACTCCATCGTTACAGAAAATACAAAAATGAACCTGGGGAGGTTGAGACTGCCATGAGCCATGATCACACTCCAGCTTGGATGACAGAGTGAGACCATGTCTCAAAAAATTAAAATTAAAATTAAAAAAGTAACCTTCTGTGCCATGTAACCTAGCACAAATCTATGAATTATTACTTGGCTTTCATCCTATAATGACTAATCTGTTTTTCTTTGGAAAGACAATAGTTCCTTTTAACCACATACTTGGTTAAAAACACAATACTCCAGTTTCTTAGGAATTTGTAAAATCCTAATACTCTTGTTCTCACAGTTATTTTATTTTATTTTATTTTATTTTTGAGACAAAATCTCACTCTGTCACTCAGGCTGGAGTGCAGTGACATGATCTCAGCTCACTGTAGCCTCTGCCTACATGATGGAAAGGAAAAGTTTATTTTCAAAAATTATATTACCATCCTAGGCCAGGTGTGGTGGCTCATGCCTGTAATCCCAGCACCTGGGAGGCCGAGGAGGGTGGATCACTTGAGGTCAGGAGTTCAAGACCAGCCTGGCCAACATGGTGAAACCCCGTCTCTACTAAAATTACAAAAATTAGCTGAGTGTGGTGGTGGGCATCTGTAATCCCAGCTACTCCAGAGGCTGAGGCAGGAGAATCCCTTGAACCCAGGAGGCAGAGGGTGCAGTGAGCCGAGATCGTGCCATTGCACTCCAGCCTGGGTGACAAGAGCAAAACTCTGTCTCAAAAAAAAATATATATATTACCATCTTCTTGCTTGCTTTTTTTTTTTTTTAGTTTTTTTATTTTTATTTTTTTAATTCCAGCCTGGGTGACAGAGCAAGACTCAAATAAAAAAAGAAACTCAAATAAAAAAATAAAAATAAATAAGCAAATATTCTTTAACAGTCTCATTGCTGTGTCAATTAGGCCAAGACCTTTAAATATATGTACATATATGTCTCAAAAATAAAATAAAAAATAAATATATGTATATGAATTATAACTTTTCTTATTCATTACACAAATGATGCATGTTCATTACACAAATGATATATATTTATTAGACAAAAATTCATTTAATACAAAAAAAAACAAGAGGAAATTAGAAAGCTCCCAATCATCAAAGCATAACTCCACCATGCAGAGATATTTGGCATTTGTGTGTATATCTTTCTGGACTTTCCCTTTACATATATTTACACATATATTTTTCTTTATTTGTTGTTTTTAATTTTTTTCATTTGTTTTTGAGAGACAGAGACAGAGTCTTGCTGTCTTACTCTGTTGTCTAAGCTGGAGTGCCGTGACGCCATCATAGCTCACTATAGCTCGACATCCCAAGCTCAAGCAATCTTCCTGCCTCAGCCTCTCAAATAGTTAGGCACACACCACCATGCCCAGCTAATTTTTAAATTTTTTTTTTGTAAAGACAGGGTCTCAATATGTTGCCCAGACTGGCCTTGAACTTCTAGGCTCAAGATGTACCTTTTATCACATAGGATCACTCTAAACGTAATGTTTTAGAACCTATCTTGTAAAAATATTTAAAAGGGAAATTTTAAGTGAGCATATTTTAAATTTGTTTTCAAATATATGTGCTTGATTCTTTGCTCCGGGCTTCATAGGTCATAGAAATTTTTCCTGAAAGCCGATGGAAGTAAGACTTACTCTGTAGGCCTCAGTTTAAGGATGAGCCAAAGTTTTAAGGATTTCAGGTTACGAAGGTGTGATGATGTTCACTTATAGTTCCAGCCACTCAGGAGGCTGAGGCAGGAGAATCACTTGAGCACAGAAGTTGGAGGTCAGCCTGGGCAACATAGCAAGACCTCACTTCTCAAATAATAAATGAATAAATAAGGGCAGCATAGCAGTGATTTACAACAGGTAGAATTTGAGCCAGCTGATCTCTTGGTTTCTAACACTGAGTTCGGTGATTCCCTGACTAGTTAGAGAAGACAAGAGGCAAGGAAAGAAGACATGTTTTCAAGACTTAGAGGAACAGGAAGCAGTCTGATTGGAATAAATGCATATGGGGGGGGTACTGGTCAATAAATTTGGAGAGGCAAATCATAGATCGAGGAGCTGTGTGTTATTAGGAGTTTGGGAGGTGGGCAGAGGAAGAATATTAAATCCATTAATCACTGTCTTCTTTTCCTCATTCTTATTTCCTCCTCTTCGTATTTCTCCTTCTTGTCTTAGTTTTTGCATCTGAATGTCCTTAGACTGCTAACCTTTTAAACTTACCCTTTGTTTTAATATCTATATTAGCTCACTTCTTCCTACAAATCAGGATAGATTGTTATGCTAGCAGTAATAAATGACCCCAAAATCTCAATAACGTAAAATAACAAAAGTTTATAGTTCATTCATGTTATATAAAATCCAGGGATCAATTGGAATCAGGGTGAAAGAGCAGCTGTCATCACAAATGTTTCCCGCCATGCCAGAAGGAAAGAGTTCTGGAGCATTAGCAATCAAATTCTCACTCTAAGATGACATACATAATTTTTGCTCACATCTCATTAGCCAAAAATAATCACATGGTTCCACCAAACCACAGAGGGACACACATACAATGCTATCATGTTTGCTGGAAGTTGACAAGCTGGAAATATTTGGTGAAGATTACTAACAACTGTCACACTGCATTAACAACTGGAAGTCCGACATCAATTTTGGATCTCTTTCTGACATCTGTTTACCCATAAACTTGAAAGTGCATTATTCCATTCGGTGTTGTACATAGGCTCATATTCACTGTCTCAAAGCTTTTTGATATACAATAATTAAATAGGCTGGGCATGGTGTCTGATGCCTATAATCCCAGCACTTTGGGAGGCCGAGGTGGGCAGATCACTGGAAGTCAGGAGTTCGAGACCAGCCTGGCCAACATGGAGAAACCCCATCTTTACTAAAAATACAAAATTAGCCGGGCATGGTGGCGCATGCCTGTAATCCCAGCTACTCGGGAGGCTGAGGCAGAACTGCTTGAACCTGGGAGGTGGAGGTTGCAGTGAGCCGAGATTGTGATTGCACTCCAGCCTGGGCAACAAGAGCGAAACTCTGTCTCAAAAAAATAAATAAATAAATATTTCACTTTTCCAAAGATTTCCCATTGTTCTAGTTAGGCTCTATCCTGCTCACTGACCCTGTAAAAGTTTGCACTGATTATTGAATGAACGAGTACAATGCCACATGTTTCATTTCTTTAAGTATGTTCTATGTCACACATAAGAATTTCTCTCCAATCATTTTAAGTCACACTCAAGGGGAATGGGTTTTTCTTCATTTATTGCTTTTATTCCTATCCTAGTCCATGTGGAGATTCTGGGATGGGTGGGGCATTCCTGTATTGCAATTTTATGTCCTTATTGGCAGTGTTAAAAATGTCCTGTATTGACATATTTTGTGATTCACGGAGCTCCACCCTTTGCTAATCTCATCTTGGTTTTTTTCCTGCTCTTTCCAAGATTGCAACATATGCTTAATAAAGGATATAATTTATATTTTAATTTTCATACAGTGTATCAAAGAATTGCATTTTTGCACATCTTGCCATTCAAATCCAGTCTTAAGTATAATCAGACATGTTGTCTTAGAACCTGTTTTCCTTCTCTCTTTCTTTTTCTCCTGTCTATATTCACCTGACACTTCTCCATCCCTTTTTCCTGTCAGCTGAGACTCAGCATGTCAAAAGGATATAAAATATTTCCTCTTAACTGCTAATAGATGTTTAAAATTCTACTTTAGCGTCTCTCTTGCTGTTTTTTTTCTTTCGAGACAGCATATCGCTCTGTTGCCCAGGCTATAGTGTAGTGATATGATCATAGTTCACTGAAGCCTCCAACTCCTAGGCTCAAGTGATCCTCCTGCCTCAGCCTCCTGAATAGCTGGGACTGCAAGCACACACCACCACACTGGCTAGTGTCTCATTTTTTCAGTTAACTTTGTGCAATAGTGACATCATTAACTATCGTGGCAGCTTAAGAGATCTTAAGCTTGTTCAGTGCAGCCCTATCCCAATTCAGATATGGAGTTCTCTCCACCATGCCTTTAGGTATCTAATAGCTGCTTAGGCTTACGGGCATTGGAACATTGTAGAAAAGCAACCAAAACAGGAACTCCTCTACAAAAAGCAGTCTTGCTGGGTTTTCAGCTAGTGGTGATATGTGCGAAAGGAGCCACTGCACATCTTGACCCAGAGATAGTGGAAGGGGAGGGCATTCCTCTGAGAAGGCAAAATACTTGACTGGTTAAGTCTTCCAGAACCTTGAAAGGAACTTTTTTTTTCTTTTTTTAAGATGGAGTCTGGCTCTGGCACCCAGGCTGGAGTGCCGTGGCGCGATCTTGGCTCACTGTAACTTCCGCCTCCCGGGTTCAAGCGATTCTCCTGCCTCAGCCTCCTGAGTAGCTGGGATTACAGAAGCAAGCCACCACACCCAGTTAATTTTTGTATTTTTAGTAGAGACGGGGTTTCACCATATTGGTCTGGCTGGTCTCAAACTCCTGACCTCGTGATCCTCCTGCCTCGACCTCCCAAAGTGTTGGAATTACAGGCATGAGCCACTGCATCCGGCCTGAAAGGAACTTTTATCAGTGTATCTTCTCTCAGCTCCTCATGAGGCTTATCCTGGGTGGTGTGTGCTGGAGGCTGGGCAGAGGGTGCTTCTTAGACAACTTCCAAGGTAAGTTCATAGGCAACATTTCCTTTGCTACTCTCTCTTTTCTTCTCTCTCGTCCTCAGGATTACCCTCTGCATCTTTTCCATATGAAAACCCCATTTCCTCTTTCCTTTATTGAATGCCCCTCAAAATCAGAACTTACATCATTAGGCATTATTCTCTATTTCCTTGATGATATGGAGGATGAGATTTTCAGACACTATGCAGAGGTAAGGGGAAATATTTATATTCTGCATGAGAGTTGGGAGAGGGGAGAAAGAAATCCTCCACCCCAGATCGGGTTAATTCATCAAAGCAACTCATTAAATTTTCGTGTTAAAAGAAGTTGAACATTCACACTTCGCTCTACTTGGAGCTTCATTAAAATGCAAATGAACACAGAAGGGTATCTGTTCTTAGTTATCTGGCCTAACTAAAGATTAATTGCAAACCCTTTCCTGAGAGTAATTTTTGATAAATGAGAACTAGGGGGAAATTAGGTGCTTGAGAGAGATGCAGAAAGGGCACAGCTGGAGGATGTGACAAGAAAAGAATTGGAAAGACTATGGGAAGGTTTTGCTGTAGCACTGCACAACTAAAGTTATATTTACTTCCTAAACCACAAACTTAAAATACGCATATAATTATACTTTCCAAAGAAATATCATGGTTTATTCCTTCCAACTACCTATGAATCTTGCTCTCAGTAACCATGCCTGTCTTCTCCATAGTCACACCCACCTGGTCTAAACTATACCTTTCTCTTTTGCAACAAACTTAAATTCACTAACCCTATCTGTGAACTTGGATACAATTCCCTCATCTTTCATGTGCCACCAGTCCAAAATAAAGATTTTCAATGCTAGTAACTTTATGTATACCTCAGTGAGCATCCAATAAATTCTGTACTCTCAGCCTACATCCCCATAACTGCTCTTTTGAGAAGAGATGAGACCAGAACACACCTGAGATGTTCAAAGCAAAGATGTCTAAGGGATTCAAAGCTAACTTCAAACCAGAGCATGTCTAGCAAGTTGGCTTTTTCAAAGAACTCCAACATCATTGGAGGGACTAAGAAAGCATGGGAGAAATGAATGCTATAATAGGAGTGAATGGGAAGCAATTTGAGACCAAAAGTAGAGAATCTAAGTAGCAAAAAATGACCAATTTTGTAAAAAAATCAAAAGTTGCCAATAAATGGCTATCAATGAACAATAGGAAATGCCATTAGCATCAGCGGTAGTGGGAGTATTATCAGATATGTTACCCAAGGATTCTACACAAAGGAAGAGGAAAGTTTGGGATATTTGAAGACATGATGACTTTACTGTAATAATTATTATCTATTACCTTGATCGTCTTCTTCAAAGTTAGAGTGGTCTAGGGAAGCTAGGGACAAGTTTTTATTAACTTTGTTAGTCTACCCACCTTTCTCCCAACACTTCAAGAATTTGTGGCCTGGGAAAACTGTGTTATAATAGGACATCCCAAAGCTGCTGGAACATCCTGACGCTCTGAAATTGAAATACTTTTCTGGGAGCTGATACATTTATTTAGCTGCTGACCATAACACACCAAAGACTGCAACAGACCCCACCCTGGAAGAAAAGCAGGCAGAGAATAAGGAAGTCATATATCACTGGAGAAAAATTAGGATTCTCCAAGCTGTGCATACTTTTTGTTTTAAATTTTTTACACAGGCTTGACAATGTTTAGAAAAGCCAGTCCAACATTACCAATAAAAGATTAGTGTTTAACCCCATATCCCATAATTGACACTGCAAATAAGACATTTAGGATTTATCTTGAAATTCCTACTGAAGTTCGATTTTCTTTTAATCACTGCTAAATCTGCATCAAGTTACACAAACTTTCTAACAGAAAAGTGTTTGTGACTAACAATAAATGAACTCCGTTCTTAGTAAGTTAATTTTAAAACATAGATGATCATTCTATCTCCTTAGTTTTGGTTGCCAATGCAAATGAGTCAGAGGATTTGCTTCAGACACTGAGATAATTGTGTAACTCTACAGCGGAAAATGCCATTGGAGAGTACTTGCTGACCTCACAGTTGAAAAAAACTATTTAAAAGATGTGGAAACCAGATGTTTCAGTCACATTTCAGCCACTGCTCTGAGAATTTGTGAGCAGCCCCTAACAGGCTGTTACTTCACTACAACTGACGATATGATCATCTTAATTTACTTATTTCTCTTGCTATGGGAAGACACTCAAGGATGGGGATTCAAGGATGGAATTTTTCATAACTCCATATGGCTTGGTAAGAACCTTCACTCATGAGCCTCTTGTTGAGAATGTCAATTCTTTAAATCATGGAGAAGGAAATTTAAAGCAGTAACTTTTTCTATTCTGTACAAGGCTGATGTTCTCAAAGAAAATGCTTAGGAAAGATAGCCTTTGGAATACATACGCTTTTTTTTTTTTAAGCGTTCTTGTCCTCTAAAATTTAAAAATAGCATTTTATAAAGTGAATTGTTCAGTAGAAAATAGCAGTTAATATTTATATTCAGTATGAAAATATATTTTTAAACTTTTCAAAGCAGATGTAGTAGTACAGTGAGGAGTATTTCTTTAACCAACTAGAAACTCCAATATAGTCTTCTGTTTTTATGTCAATGCATTTGCAATCAGATTTCAGAATCCTAACAGGTAAATTGGAGTCTACGAAAATTTTATAATAATTGCTTCATGGACTCTGAGCTATAGTCTATATCTTAGTTTTTTCAAACATTTTGACTATTTTGACCAAGCCAGCTTGCAGTACAGAAAAAAGTGAAAAATGTTTCTCCTTCTGAATGCATTCTTACCACTTTGATTCTTTCTGTTTCTACTATCCATATAAATACTTTTCTGACCCTTTTGTTAGACAAGGAAAGTTTCTTTTGTTATTTTGTTTTGTTAAATGTAAGGAATGAGACAGGCCAAACAGTGAAGATAAACAATAGATCAAAAAAGGAAAATGCAGAAAATCCAAAACACCCCTTAGATTACAGTATGCTAAACAATGCTTTAATTCTCATGATACAAATTGATATTGCTCTATGTTCATTATTGTGTTTAATAGTAAAAAAAAATTGAATTTCTTGGGGAAAAATGCATAGATTCTTGCATAGAATAAAGAAATAAAGAGAAGGCGAAATTAACCTAGATTTTGATTTTATGCTTTCTAAACAGCACAGTTGTAGAATATTTTCCCTTTCAGCATGTTTCTCTCTGGTAATAACTGCAACCATGCGGATTTCATTAAAAAGCCTAATTTGTAATGCACAGCCTTGCCGCCTATTTTTTTCAGCTTGAGCCAGTGAACTAATTTCACTGTGATCCATTTGGCCAAGACGGGATCTGAAATTTAGTAGAGGAATGAGCCCATCTCTTTATTTTAGTTGAATACAGTCAAATATAGGAAATACACTCATATTTGTCAGGATTTTTTTTAAATGTCATAAAGCTAGTAAGAATTAAATCCAGGCAGATAAACTTTGAAATATTATCAAACCCTCTAATAATCAAGTAATTTAGAGTTGTCTTTTAAAGTGTTGTCATATGTTACAAAAATATAAACCTGGACAATAGAAGTTTTGCCCCAGAGGTAGAGAGAAGCAAATTCAAACGTCTATTAATGTATGCTACAAATCTGAGGGTCAGGATAATTGCAAATTGCTTCAATCTGGGGCAAATTTTTGACCAGCCAGCCTAGCACAGATGTTTATAGTTGGTTGGATCAATATAATCTTTTTAGAAACCATTTAGGAAGGAAAGATAGTTGGATTAGAAGGGATACATCTGTTAGCAACTATCAAGAACAGGACACTTTAAATCTAGGGTGTCCCATCTTTTGCCTTCCCTGGGCCACATTGGAAGAAGAATTGTCTTGGGCAACTCATAATTTTTTTTTTTTTTTTTTTTGAGGCAGAGTCTCGCTCTGTTGCCCACGCTGGAGTGCAGTGGCACCATCTCGGCTCACTCCAAGCTCCGCCTCCCAGGTTCACGCCATTCTCCTGCCTCAGCCTCCCAAGTAGCTGGGACTACAGGCACCCGCCACCACGCCTGGCTAATTTTTTGTATTTTTAGTAGAGACAGAGTTTCACCATGTTAGCCAGGGTGGTCTCAATCTCCTGACCTCGTGATCCGCCCACCTTGGCCTCCCAAAGTGCTGGGATTATAGGCGTGAGCCACCGCACCTGGCCCAGGGAACTCATAATGTTTTAAGAAAGTTTACAAATTTGTGTTGGGCCACATTCAAAGCCGTCCTGGCAGGCCGCAAGTTGGACAAGTTTACTTTAAATTCTCTAGGTTATGGTTCCAATCTGGTAAAATGATAAGGTTGAAGTAAAGGATCCCTAAGGCTTATTTTAACTCTGGTATCATCTAATTTTTAAAATAGTACTTAAAACAAAAACAAACCACAGTTAAGGACAAGAAATTACAATCATTTTACATGGATCATGAGAATAAAAAATGCACAGATAAGCAATTATTTTTATTGTTGAATCTGAAAAAGAAGGGAAAGGAAGGTGGGATGCAGTGGTTCACACCTGTAATCCTAGCACTGTGGGAGTCTGAGGTGGGCAGATTGCTTGACCCCAGGAATTAAAAAGACCAGCCTGGGCAACATAGAGAAACTCTGTCTCTACCAAAAAAAACACAATTAACTGGGTGTGGTGGTGCATGCCTGTAGTCCTAGCTACTCAGGAGGCTGAAGTGGAAGGATCACTTGAGCCCAAGAGGCAGACGTTGCAGTGAGCCGTGACCTCACCACTGCACTCAAGCCTGGGTGACAGAGTGAGACCTTGTCTCAGAGAAAAAAAAAGAAAGAAAGGAAAAGTGACGTATCTTGAGTTCCTTCTATGGTCCAGAAGCTATCATTAGTCCCATTTGACAAATGAGGAAACTGAGGCTCATCTGGTTATACAACTCCATGGTAGAAACAGCAGTGGAACCAAAGTCCATTTCTACTGCCGCCACTCACTAAAAGGAGAAAACATTTATTAAACAAATTTTCAGTTTTAATAAATGACTATTGACTAGATAAATTAATAAAATATTATTGCTTCTGAAAGGTAAAATTAGGATTCATTGTACAAAGGTCCATCTTAATAGCTCAAAATTCTGAATTGAGAAATATTTTTAATAAAACACCTTATTTAAAATTGTCAGGTACATACTCCAAGAGTTCTCTATTTGTTCATATGGCAACATACTGGGAAGTTTGGCGCTATTAGAGGAACAATGTGGAATGTTAATATTTAATAAATTAAATCAGAAATTATAACAAAAATTTTTTGCTATTTCTGTTATTATGTTATTACTAGACAAGTTTCAGTAGGTACCAAAAGTTTAAGAAAAATTACTGAGGGTGGGAGAAGGGAGAGGAACAGAGGTACTGGGTTTAATTCCTGGGTGATGAAATAATCTGTACAGCAAACCCCTGTGATGTGAGTTTACCTATGTAACAAACCTGCACATGTACCCCCGAATTTAAAATAAAAGATTTTTAAAAAATGAAAAATTACTTGGAGGAAAACTTAAAATTATTATTTTTTTAAATCTGTTAATTTTTTTGTTTTGTTTTGGTTTGGTTTTTTTGTTTTTTGAGATGGAGTCTCACTCTGTCGCCCAGGCTGGGGTGTTGTGGCATGATCTCTGCTCACTGCAACTCTGCCTCCCTGGTTCAAGCAATTCTCCTGCCTCAGCCTTCCAAGTAGCTGGGACTACAGGCGTGCACCACCACACCCGGCTAATCTTTTGTATTTTTAATAGAGATGGGGTTTCACCATGTTGGCCAGGCTGGTCTGGAACTTCTAACCTCAGGTGATCCACCCGCCTCAGCCTCCCAAAGTGCTGGAATTATAGGCATGAGCTACCATGCCCGGCCAAATCTCCGTTCATTTTTTCCGTATACATCACATTTTAATTTTGAAATAAAATATGAAGAAAATCAGTTTGAGAAAACTTTGTATACATTAAAATAATTTTTACAAAATTTGTTTTCAAATACAGGTCTTTTAATCTGTATTCTTAGGAAATATAATTTTTAACATTTTTAATGATTAACAACAATCTCTATTATAATACGTAAGTAAGCTAAACAGGCCTCCTGTCTCTACCAAAAGCTTTAGTGTTCCTCTATTTCAAGATAAAGAAATTCAAAATATTCACTAGTGTCCAAGTTCCTTGAGGATAGAACCTGACCCACAGCACCTAGCAAAATACCCCGTGGTATGATGTTCAAAGTAACTAAATTGAAAACTAGCAAAAGTTTAATGAGGCTTTGCCGTATGAAGGACACTGGGCAGCAGGCATCTTTCAATAGAGAAACAACTTGACTGATGTTCCTGGTATTCTCTGACCTCGAGCATCAGATTGACTAAGGTCCTCTGTGTGTGAGTAATGGGATTTACTATGTAATGTATAAGAGCAGGATCCTTGGAGTTCAGAAAAACAAGCACCCTCTCTTATTGAGCTGTGGCAATGTCAACTTCAGTTTGGGGTGGAAAACAAAGAACTATATTTCTAATTCTCCTGGATTCATTTCTTGGTGCCAAGAAATATGTATGTCCTCACTGCAAATGGTCCTAAGGGTGGCTGATTGCACAGGTCAGAATACAGAGACTTAACCATAATGTCAGACTACATAGAACTATTAGAGCTAACTACAGAGCTAATGTTATGACTATTGTCCTGGGAATCTTTTCACATTGTTTCTATGGTAGAAGGGACTCCAAACTCAAAACAATCCATTTAAACAGTGATCTATTGGAAGACAACTCATGTATGACTTAACACTGCCTAAAATATGTTGGGAAAAATATGTGAACTAAAAAAGACAAATCAGATAAAAAATTGAGGCATTAACTGGTAGTTAGGTGTGTCCAGTTTTTTCTCTGCTGTGTTTGAATCTATTTTTCTTTTCCCTAATTTAGTATTTGCTTTGGATCCCTTCAGATCTTTCCTCAGTTTTTATTTGTCTTACTAAATTCTTTTTTTTTTTTTTTTTTTTTTTTTTTTTTGAGACAGAGTCTCACTGTCGCCCAGGCTGGAGTGCAGTGGCGCAATCTCGGCTCACTGCAAGCTCCGCCTCCCGGGTTCATGTCATTCTCCTGCCTCAGCCTCCCGAGTAGCTGGGACTACAGGTGCCTGCCACCACGCCTGGCTAATTTTTTGTATTTTTAATAGAGACAGGGTTTCACCGTGTTAGCCAGGATGGTCTAGATCTCCTGACCTCGTGATCCGCCCGCCTCGGCCTCCCGAAGTGTTGGGATTATAGGCGTGAGCCACCACGCCCGGCCTAAATTCTTAATTATATTGCATTAGTCATTGCCCTCAATTGGATATTTTAGCTTATTTTTCTACGTCATTGTGAGCCTACATAATGGATCCATCTTCACTAGTTTCTTTTGCCTTCACCTCCTTTTCTTTCCCCTATTGCTTACCTTTGCACGTTTTTATATAGCTTAAATCCAACAGAAAGCCAAAACTTTATCACCTGTGGATAGTGTTGCAATACAATGTTGTATTAAAAACTTTATTTTAGGCCGGACACGGAGTCTCACGTCTGTAATCCTAACACTTTGGGAGGCCGAGGCAGGTGGATCACTTGAGGTCAGGAGTTCAAGACTAGCCTAGCCAACATGATGAAACCTCGTCTCTACTAAAAATACAAAAATTAGCTGATTGTGGTGGCACATGCCTGTAATCCCAGCTACTCGGAAGGCTGAGGCAGGAGAATCGCTTGAACCCAGGAGGCGGAGATTGCAGTGAGCCCAGATTGCACCAGCCTGGGCGACAGAGTGAGACTCCGTCTCACAAAATAAAAATACAAAATTAAAAAAAATGAAAACTTTATTTCAGGCTATCGATCAAAAACACAATTTAGGCCAGGCCCAGTGGCTCATGGCTGTAATCCCAGCACTTTGGGAGGCCGAGGCGGGTGGATCACGAGGTCAGGAGATCAAGACCATCCTGGCTAACACGGTGAAACCCTGTCGCTACTTTAAAAAAAAAAAAAAAAATTAGCCAGGCGTGATGGCGGGCACCTGTAGTCCCAGCTATTCGGGAGGCTGAGGCAGGAGAATGGTGTGAACCCGGGAGGCGGAGCTTGCAGTGAGCTGAGATCGCGCCACTGCACTCCAGCCTGGGAGACAGAGAGACTCCGTCTCAAAAAAACAAAACAAAACAAAAACCAACCAACCAAACAAACAAAAAAACATAATTTAGCCTAAAGTTTCTGTTTATGGCCCCAAATTCCCCTAAAATTCCCCCTCATTCAGATTTTTCCCCAAAGTTTCCTAACAGTGAAAACTTAGCTACCCAAGGCAGCCAACCCAGAAAGCCCTTTGGCAGGAACAATAGCTGTTGTAATCTTCCAGCTGAGGCCACAGAATTTCCCCTGTTCCGTAAGAAGGAACAACAGTGCTTTTATGACATCATCTGATTTTGCAGAACGAGCAGCCGGTGTGTACCACAGAGAAGCACGGTCTGGCAAATACAAGCTCACCTACGCAGAAGCTAAGGCGGTGTGTGAATTTGAAGGCGGCCATCTCGCAACTTACAAGCAGCTAGAGGCAGCCAGAAAAATTGGTAACTGATTTCACAATGATTTTTCTTCTTTTTTATCCTTGGAGGAAAAAAATCCATCTTTCCTAAGCCCTAGTAAGACTTCTTTCTCCAACCCCCTTCTGATATATCACTAAGCCCCTAGGACATTTCTGCTCTCTGACTTCTCCTATCCATCTGCCTAGAGTTGGCAGACAGTTCCTAGTACCACCAACTTATGTGGAGTCTTAACCCAGTGTGACCTAATAAAATACAAGTCAAAAGAAAATGAAAACCTCATTATTTCAATATTATTTAAATTTCTCATTAATTTCAATGCCATTGCTATTCTTTTTAGTATTGTTCTATCTCTTTGACTTCTCAGTATGGTGGCTGTTAAATGATGCTATAGTACTATATTGAGTCTTACAAGGAAATTTACTTGGTAGAGAAATATTGAATTTAGTGGCTTTTTTCCCCAATTTTTTTCCATTAAGTGGGAGAATGTATTTGTACTTCAGGATCAAAAGCTATAAGGAAAAGGAGGACAGGAAGGTCGTGAGATAGAAGCAGAAAGAAACTGGGAAGATGGTATCAGAAGACCTGGTGAAAATCCCAGCAATCAACTGGTGTTACATGCTTCTTTATACAAAAGTGGATTGCTACCATCTCTCTTGGCCTTTGGGGAGAATGGGCCACCCCCATTCAGAACTCCTTTGCTGACTGGATAACATCCGGCAAAGTTGATACATTACTCAAGAAAAAAAATAAGAGTGTTTTCTCAAATGCCCCAAAGCCTCCCCAGATGACTGCTGGTCTGTAATCAGGGGGCGGCATGGGGCATAGTAACTGGAGTGGAAGAGACAAAGCCCATAGTCTTTACTGGCCATCCTGGACCTCTAGTAAAATTGCTCTTGGTGGCATTGACAGATACTAAAACAGCCTCTGAGGCTGAGCAAAGGAAACAGGGCTGAGCCTTTGTTTGAAATGTATGAGAGAATTTATCTTTATTCAAATCTTCTAAAACATTATGAATATCTGATAGGGTGCAGTGGTTCACACCTGTAATCCCAGCACTTTGGACTGCTTGAGCTCAGGAGTTCAAGACCAGCCTAGGCAACATAGCGAAACCTCATCTCTACAAAAAAAATTAAAAAATTAGCCAGGTGTGGTGATGCACACCTGTGGTCACAGCTACTCTAAAGACTGAGGTGAGAGGATTGCTTGAACCCAGGAGGTGGAGGCTGCAGTGAGCTGTGTTCATGCCACTGCACTCTAGCCTGGATGACAGAGCAAGACCATGTCTCTAAATAAATAAATAGGCCAGGCGTGGTGGTTCATGCCTGTAATCCTAGCACTTCGGAAGGGTGAGGTGGGCAGATCACTTGAGGTCAGGGGTTTGAGACCAGTCTGGCCAACATGGAGAAACCCCATCTCTACTAAAAATACAAAAATTAGCTGGGCATGGTGGTGCATGCCTGTAAGCCCAGCTATTCAGGAGGCTGAGGCAGGAGAATTGCTTGAACCCAGGAGGCGGAGGTTGGAGTGAGCCAAGATTGCACCACCCCACTCCAGCCTGGGTGACAGAGTGACACTCTGTCTCAAAAAATAGATAAATAAGATATTACAAATATCTTAATTGATCCTAAAATAGAAATTAAATTACCACTTGAAAATATTTTTTCAAAATTGATAATTTCAGAAATTGTCTCATGGCATTCCATACGTCATTTGTGAAAAGAAGCCAGCTCTGAACTTGGATTAGTTTCATACCCACAATAATTTGTAGTCCATTTGCATTTTTTTCAAGTAAGAGGTAGTTTTCCAATAAAAATCAGAAGTTATATTTCATGTGTATTCACACTTTGTCTAATTAAGGAAGCAATTTTCTCCCTTTTACATGAACTGGATTTGACCAGTTAAGAAACTTACTATTGGAAGTGGCTATCTTTGCTAAGATGACTTTTGCTTAGCCAAGACAGTTTACCTGTTTAGTCCATAACTCTTTTTCTTCTTGCAGGATTTCATGTCTGTGCTGCTGGATGGATGGCTAAGGGCAGAGTTGGATACCCCATTGTGAAGCCAGGGCCCAACTGTGGATTTGGAAAAACTGGCATTATTGATTATGGAATCCGTCTCAATAGGAGTGAAAGATGGGATGCCTATTGCTACAACCCACACGGTGTGTTAAAAATAATAATTTTATGTTTTGCAAAAACAGTTCCATGCTGCTAAGAGGTTGTTAAAAAAGAAATGGCTACTTTTTCCAGAAATAATTGATTTTGGTAATAATAACTACTACTAATAACTACAATTCATAAAGTGCTTATACTATACCCGACATTGAGTTGTGTTCCTTCGTCTACACTCTAACTTAATATTCACAATAATTCTTCAAGGAGCTATTGTTATACCTATTTTAGAAATCAGGAAATTGAAACTTAGAGAATTAAGTAACCCCAAATCAGGAGTCAATAATGATTAGGCAGATGGGACTGAGAATTCAGATCTTCTCTGTGCCAGGGAACTTCCCAGCCATAAAGAAAAAGAAAATAAAAAAGCAGATTAAAAACTTGTCACAGTAAATTAGCTAAAACAATAAAGTGATGCTACCAAATGGTAACTATTCAAAATTGTCCTTTTGATACAACGGGGAAAAGGAGACAAAGTAAACAAATAAATTCTTTCCTTAATTTCTTTTTGTGTATATATGCTAGTACTTCCAAACTAAGCAACTCTAATTCTATGGTTTAACAATTATATACTGTATATACTAGCTATCATTATACCATATATTTTTATTCATATTTTTTCCATGTTTGCTTGCAACTAGGAAATAATGAGAAAATTAACTCATAATTACTATAAAGAATTATTCTTAGGTCACGTTCTTGGAGAAAAAGTAGGCTGTTCTTTTTGGGTATATTTCCACCAGGACAATGTTACAAAATATTACAGTATGTTACAAAGTCTTCCTGGCATTTAGGATCATAAACATCCTCAGATGTGTCCCATTTGGATTTACCCTATAAGAAATTCCATAACACAGTAGGAGAGTTACATAGTGAGGTTTTAGTGTATTATTATAAAATCTATTATTTAATTATATTAACATTTGGAGAATAGTTTCTCATGTCTGTAACTAACCTATATCTCAAAATTATGTGTAGTCCAAGTAGAAAGATTTTTGCCTACAGCTACAACTAGTCTTAACTGAGACAAAATAGGAATAAATACTTAACAGTGCATTTATGTAACTTTAACTTTCAAGTCACTTTGACATGCTTTAAGCTTATTTAGTCCTATACTATACAGTACTAATTTAGTCCTATATTTAGTTATGTCAACAATATGTATCTTCCTTTCCTCCCTCCCTCTCTTACATTTTCTTAAATATATTTATGCAGACCACTCTTTTTTACTCTTAAGAGTAACTCTTCTTTTCAAATGTATTCTCTGATTCTTCTTTCACTTGATAAACTTTAGGATCTCTGAGCTTCCACTGGATAATTTCCATAGATTAAACTCTAGAGTCATTGAAGAAGTGCCAATGAAATGGTCCTTTCAGTATTTCATTGCCCTTTCATAAGAATATAATCCTAAATTATAAATTATTATAAGTTGCTTTCTTTTCTCAGAGAGGCTGAATACACTCTGGGAATACAGAATCCTGGGAGATTTGTTTTTACCCAATTCTCAGTGCATTTAGCTCGCTTTTGGATTTGGTGGTATGCTGACTATTTAGGATGTGGTTAACTTGAAGGAGACTTGACCGCCTGAACTAGCACTGGGGGAACAGCTCACTGAAACATCACTGGAATAAAAAAAAAAAATAATGGCTTCACAAAAATAAAGCAATCATTATTGATTAATCAATGTCACCAAGTTAGAGCTGATATTCTAAATAATAGATGAGGCAGTAACTAGATATAACATAAAATATAGATCTAAATAAATATAGCCAAATAGGCAGCCAAATTAGTTCAATATTTGAATTTTTTCTAATCTATTAATATATACAACAAAGATTGGATGCTATGGGATGGAACAACTCGCTCCTAAAGCTGGCAATGTACATCCTTATGCAGACATACAAACTATGTGTTGTATATTTTATTATACAGTAAGAATAGCTTATGGGTTGCATAACATCCTTAAATTATTTTCTGTATTTTATCCTTAGAATAACCCTGTGTGATAGATAATGGGAAAGGTATGGCTACATTTATTTTACCAATGAAGAAAATGAAGTGTAGAGTAGTCACCAAGCTTGAACTAGATCCTTGACCTTCATTTGTTGCTCCCCAGCCTTTCTATGCTCCTGTTCTGCTTTATTTCATCAAAGCAGAACAGGAGCATAGAAAGGCTGGGGAGCATCTTTTTTCTAGACATTAGACACTTACCTGATATGGAATTAAAATTAACCAGGGCTTCTTCCTAGCTTTCCCTCTAGGTCATATTGCAAACCACTGATTCTGAGACAGCGTTTTTGTTTTGTTTTATATGTGTTTGTTTTTCTTATGACAATTTATAACATATTGAAATCTGTTAAATGATGAATGACTTGGAAAAACAAACATGAATATCTCCATCAAATCTTAAAATATTAGGATTAGGGTATTAGTTTAAAATCAGTAAAGGCAGTATACAGAATAATTATAAATTATTCCTTTTAAGTGGATTAGAGTGACTTTAAAGTCTCTTGCGATCATGAAATTGTATAATGATTTTCCAAGCAGAATTTATGGGATCCATTATTCTAAGTGCTTGTGGCCCTGAAGACATATGGTGACACCACAGGGCAAAGTCCCTACCATCTTGATAGGGCTGTTTGTAATATAAATGTGTATATATTTGTCAAAATACATAGACATAGGCCAGGTGCCATGGCTCACACCTATAATCCCAACACTTTGGGAAGCTGAGGTGGGTCGATCACCAGAGGTCAGGAGTTCAAGTCCAACCTGGCCCACATGGCAAGACCCTATCTCTACTAAAAATACAAAAATTAGCCAGACGTGGTGGCTCATGCCTGTAATCCCAGCTACTCAGAAGGCTGAGGCATAAGAATTTCTTGAACAATTGCAGAGGCTACAGTGAGCCGAGATTGTGCCACTGCACTCCAGCCTGGGCAACAGAGTGAGACTCCATTTCAAAAAACAACAACAACAAAAAATAGGCGTGTGCACAAAAGACTTGTTATGTTATGCCTTAAAAGATAAAATAAAAATATTTTTAAAAGTACAATTAATTACATTACAATTCTTTTAATTTTAAAATTTATTTTTATTTTTATTTTTTAGAGCTGGAGGTCTCACTATGTTGCCCAGGTTGGCCTCAAACTCCTAGGCTCATGAGATTCTTCTGCCTCAGCCTCCCAATTAGCTGGGACTAAGGGTGAGCATCACTACACCTAGCCATTTTTTTCTTACTATATTTACTTTTTTAAAATTCATGGCTGGGCACAGTGGCTCATGTTTATAATCTCAGCACTTTCAGAGGCAGAGGCAGGAGGCTCACTTGAGGTCAGGAGTTCAATACCAGCCTGGGCAACATTGCAAGATCCATTTCCACACAAAAAAAATAAAAATTACCAGGGCTGGGTGGCACATGCCTGTCATCCCAACTACTTAGGAGGCTGAAGTGGGAGGATTGCTTGAGCCAAGGAGTTCAAGGCTGCAATAAGCTATGATTGGGTCACCGCACTCCAGCCTAGGTGACAGAGCGAGATCTTGTCTCAAAATATAAAAATAAAAATAAATTCACAAAGAGTCCATGTTCATTTTAGAGAATTTAGTAACTATTGATGAAAAAATACATTTATTCTTTAGCTAAAAGCATACATAATATACCATAGATGCTGTATACTAAGACATTTAACATTTCATAAAAAGTAATAGATTGCTAAGAAATGTCATTTTTAACAGGGATAATGTTTTTCCTAATGCTTTGGGGTTTTTACGTTTTTTTTCTTCTCATTTCAGCAAAGGAGTGTGGTGGCGTCTTTACAGATCCAAAGCAAATTTTTAAATCTCCAGGCTTCCCAAATGAGTACGAAGATAACCAAATCTGCTACTGGCACATTAGACTCAAGTATGGTCAGCGTATTCACCTGAGTTTTTTAGATTTTGACCTTGAAGATGACCCAGGTTGCTTGGCTGATTATGTTGAAATATATGACAGTTACGATGATGTCCATGGCTTTGTGGGAAGGTACGTATGGGTCCCCATACAGGAAGTTAAATGAACGTCCAGTATTTTGTTTGATGCTTCTTTAATTTTCCCTCAACTGTCCCTATAATATTGATTTTGGAATAGTTCTACTCTCCTAAAGCACCATATCATTTTTCAACAAAGATTTTTCTTAGCTGGCTGCTACAACATACTTATTAAAGCAGTGAGAGTGCCTTTTGATTATGGCTAAGTTGTAAGAACTAGTTAGTCTATTTTATAAACACCTCAAGATCTGACTACAACATACTTATTAAAGTAGTGAGAGCTGCCTTTTGATTATGGCTAAGTTGTAAGAAATAGTTAGTCTATTTTATAAACACCTCAAGATCTGACTATAACATACTTATTAAAGTAGTGAGAGCTGCCTTTGGATTATGGCTAAGTTGTAAGAACTAGTTAGTCTATGTTATAAACACCTCAAGATCTGACTAACAATAGGAGGAAGAAAGATATGTGAGTTGCAAAAATTGTTCAGGTTTTTAAGTTCTAATTTCTTACAACCTTAAAAATGATTATAGGGCCGGGCACGGTGTCTCACGCCTGTAATCCACACCACTTTGGGAGGCCAAGGTGGGTGGATTACCTGAGGTCAGGAGTTCAAGACCAGCCTGGCCAACATGGCAAAACCCTGTTTTTACTAAAAATACAAAAATTAGCCGGGCGTGGTGGCAGGCGCCTGTAATCCCAGCTACTCAGGAGGCTGAGGCAGGAGAATCACTTGAACCCGGGAGGTGGAGGTTGCAGTGAGCCAAGACTGCACCACTGCACTCTAGCCTGGGTGACAGAGCAAGACTCTGTCTCAAAAAAAAAAAAAGATTATAAATTCAGTAATTGTTGCCTTTCTTCTTCCTACAAAGCATTGTGCTAAGTATTATGGAAGTAAGGTAAATAAGCAAAGTTTAACCCTTTCTCTCTTTAATATTTTTCCTTTGGCTTTTCAACATGCTAGAACACAACCTTTTCCTTCACACTCCAAATCTTTAATATACTTTGAATTTTGAGTGTCTTATGATATATTGCAAATTAAAGAGTGTACAATTAGGTATTTTATATATTCAGGTCCCCACCTAATAACCCATATTTTAGACTATCAATTATCAATAGACTATCAGTTTTCAATTCTCTATTATACATGATAGTAATTTAATGGGGAAAAAATTGTAATGGGGACAATTTAAAAATGACAAACTCAATCCCTTTTTATGTTGATTTTGAATGTGTAATTTAAATACAAAGAAAACCAAAGGCATTTCTTGCAAAAATGAAGAGTTTTTTAAGGGAAAATATTTTTTGTTTTGTTTTCTTCTTTCTACATCTTTTTTTCTTTTTTTTTTTCTTTTTTTTGAGACGGAGTCTCACTCTGTCACCAGGCTGGAGTGCAGTGGCACAATCTCGGCTCACTGCAACCTCTGCCTCCCATGTTCCAGCAATTCTCCTGCCCCAGCATCCCGAGTAGCTGGGATTACAGGCGCCTACCACTACACCTGGCTAATTTTTGTATTTTTAGTAGAGGTGGGGTTTCACCATGTTGGCCAGGCTGGTCTCAAACTCCTGACTTCAGGTGATCCACCCGCCTCAGCCTTCTAAAGTGCTGGGATTACAGGTGTGAGCCACCGCACCTGGCCTTGTTTTCTTCTTTAGCTGACAGACTACTGCTATAGAGAAAAGATAGTTTAT
Organism: Homo sapiens; assembly: GCF_000001405.40. Lineage (NCBI taxonomy): Eukaryota > Metazoa > Chordata > Mammalia > Primates > Hominidae > Homo > Homo sapiens. The sequence continues at coordinate 151,371,947 of NC_000002.12, forward strand.
AAAAATAGTTTGATGAAGACACAAAGTAGAGTTGGGGAATTAAGAACAAAGTACAGGCAGGCACACCTGTGGTCCCAGCTACTTTGGAAGCTGAGGCAGGATGAGCACTTGAGCCCAGTAGTTCTGGGCTACAGTGCGCTATGCTGGTGGGGTGTCCACACTAAGAGCAGCATCAATATGATGACCTCTCAGGAGTAGGGTACCACCAGGTTGCCTAAGGAGGGGTGAACCTGCCCAGGTCAGAAACAAGCAGATTAAAACTCCCGTGCTGAGAATTGGGAAGGAGCCTATGAATAAACATTGTATTTCAGCCTGGGCAATACAGCAACATCCTATCTTATATAAAATAATAAACTACTGTCTTTAGGAGGTTTGAACAGGCTAATTTGTTATTTCTTGGATTTATATTATATAATTTACCCTTTAGGTAAATTTAGACTTTTCCTCTAGAATAAATTACATATTTAGAAACCTGTAAAACCCTTACCTTTTTATATGTGTAAAAGGGTTCCTTTCAAGTCATGATTCAGATAAAAATCAAATCCTTTTACACCTATAAGGTCCAAAATAATTTTTCCAGATTTAAATCAGTCTATCCTAGAATTCAAAATATTAATATCACCAAGCATATGCCCATTCTTCTACAACTGTGAAGAAAACTTTATAAAATTAATTAGAAATAAATTTTTAAGGCTGGACACAGTGGCTTATGCCCGTAATCCTAGCACTTTGGGAGGCCGAGGCAGTTGGATCACCTGAGGTCAGGAGTTTGCGACCAGCCTGGCCAACATGGCAAAACCCTGTGTCTACTAAAAATACAAAAATTAGTAGGGTGTGGTGGCACATACCTGTAATCCCAGCTACTCGGGAGCCTGAGGCAGGAGAATCACTTGAACCCAGGAGGCAGAGGTTGCAGTGAGCTGAGATTGTGCCATTGTACTCCAGCCCGGGCTATAGACCGAGACTCCATCTGAAAAAAAAGAAAGAAAATTTTAATTTTTCCAAATAGATTCAAATTATCTGCTGCACAAAATTTTCTAGTTACACAAAGTAAAAATGCCACACATATCTTTCCTTTAAAATCTCATTGGCTGGGTGCGGTGGCTCACACCTGTAATCCCAACACTTTGAGAAGCTGAGGCGGGAGGATCACCTGAAGCCAGGAGTTCAAGACCAGCCTGGCCAACATGGTGAAACCCCATCTTTACTAAAAGTACAAAAATTAGCCAGGTGTGGTGCATGCCTGTAATCTCAGTTACTTGGGAGGCTGAGGCAGGAGAATCGCTTGAACCCAGGAGGAAGAGGTTGCGGTGAGCCGAGACTGCGCCACTGCACTCCAGCCTGAGCGACAGAGCAAGACTCCATCTAAATAAAATAAAATAAAATAAAATATCATCAATATTGTAAGAAGATTATTTCAAATAACAAACTTTGTTTTAACTCCTACTCTCTCTTACAAATCCAGGTAAAATAACAATAGAAATTTTAAAAATTATGGAACAATGAGCTATTACTTAGAGGCTTAATTATCAGTAACAGCCACTTTACTAGCTGTATAATATTCATTTGTGTGACATCTCTTTTCTAAAAATTCCTTTTCAGATACTGTGGAGATGAGCTTCCAGATGACATCATCAGTACAGGTAAGGTTTTAAATTGAGGACCAAAACTATGATTTGTTTCTTTACAGTGTCCCTGAAAGTAAAGGGACACTGTTAAATAGTAAATAGTAGTTATTATTCACTTTTTAAAGTTGAAAGAACCAACACCAGATGCAGCTTGCTAGGTTGTAAAATGCAAAAAAAAAAAAAAAATTAAAGATTTATGCCAACTGCTTGCACTAAAAAATGTATAAACTCTTCTTTGCTGAAAATGTAATGTATCTGAGAGTCTTGAATCTGCAAATCCACAAATATTGCTATAGTTTATGATTTCCATAAATGTGCTAATAAAATGGCTGAAATTTTTCATTGATAAAGGGTTGAAGTCATTTATAAAGTCATTAAAAATCTTTGTCACTAAAACAATCTTACATCATATTCATTACATTTTTATCTTAGTACAATATTCTCCAGAGAATGTTTCAAATAACAAAGTTCTGTGAGATTTAAATAGATGTTACATGAGAAGAGGGCTCTAAGGTCAAATAAATTTGGAAAACGTTGGGTTAAACAATATCAAACAGGTTTCTTCACTGGAAGACAGCAGGGATCTTTTAATATGCTAATCATGTGTAGTAAATCTGAAAAGACCAGATATAATAGGTAGTGCTTTCCAAATATTGCCCACCCCCCCATTATTTTCTGTGACTTTGTTCCAAGAAATGTACCTCAAGAAATGCCCTGTAGTCGCATAAATTTATCTCAATATGCAATATCACTCTTTAATTTATCCCATACTGCTATTTTCTGGCTAAAAACTTCCTTTCTTACATGTATTCAGTATTTTATTTTATTTCCATCACCAGCACCAGCAGCTGGCATTTTTAAGTGCTCTATTTTCTCCCAAGTCATAAAACTATCACAGTACTTCTGCAACTATAAACAACAAAACTACATTGAGTTGCAATTTCTAAGTACTCAGATACTACTAGTTAACTTACTCCCACACCCCAGCCTTTCAGTGACTCAATTCTAATTTATTCGTCATAACTGTAACAGATGGAACTTCCTGCTCTGTTATCGAATGATTAATGCTTAAACCTTGTTAGTTCATTATTCTGTTACAAACTCCCTTAAGAAAGATAACCTATTAAATTAAACCGTTTACTTATCTCTCATTCCTTTCTTGAAAATATATTTTATATTAACAGAAAGTTGAAAGAAAACATCTTATTGCTGTAGGAGGTAGTTGGGGGATGAGAATCCTATTAAACAAAGAAGTTAAAAAGAAGCCTAGGCCAGGTGCCGTGGCTCACGTCTGTAATCCCAGCACTTTGGGAGGCCAAGGCAGGCCGATCACCTGAGGTCAGGAGTTCGAGACCAGCCTGACCAACATGGAGAAACACCGTCTCTACCAGAAATACAAAATTAGCCAGGCGTGGAGGCACATGCCTGTAATCCCAGCTACTTGGGAGGCTGAGGCAGGAGAATTGCTTGAACCCGGGAGGCAGAGGTTGTGGTGAGCCAAGATAGCGCCATTGCACTCCAGCCTGAGCAACAAGAGCAAAACTCCGTCTCAAAAAAAAAAAAAAAAAAAAAGTCTGAAATTTTACATTTTCCTTTTTTCTCTAAAGTAGACAACTTACTCCAAATGTAATCAAATCAGTGGTGGGGTTTTATTGGCACAACTTCAAGAAACTGGGAAAAAAAAAACCCACACAATTTATCATTCAAAGAGAAACAAATCAAGAAACAGAAAAGAATATAGTTAAAACAAAAAAGCCAAAGATTTAGCAAAAAATCAGGAAGAGGACATTGATACAAAGTAATAGAAAAAGAAGATATAAGATACAGTTAACATAAAATCCTATCAAGCATAGGCCTGGTGTGGTGGCTTACGCCTGTAATCCCAGCACATTGGGAGGATGAGGTGGGCGGATCACCAGGTCAAGAGATCGAGACCATCCTGGCTAACACGGTGAAACTCCGTCTCTACTAAAAATACAAAAAATTGGCCAGGTGCAGTGGCACACGCCTGTAGTCCCAGCCACTTGGGAGGCTGAGGCAGGAGAATCGCTTGAACCTGGGAGGCAGAGGTTGCAGTGAGCTGAGATTGTGCCACTGCACTCCAGCCTGGGTGACAGAGCAAGACCCCATCTCAAAAAAAAAAAAAATCCTATCAAGCATAATACTATTAACATTTTGATCTGGTTTTCTTTTTAAATATACGCTTACTCAACCCAGGGTATAGATTACAAAACAAAAATAGAAAATAAAGACATTGGCCAAGCATGGTAGCTCGTGCCTATAATCCTAGCACTTTGGGAGGCCAAGGTGAGAGGCGTGAGCCTCAGGAGTTTGGGACCAGCCTGGGCAACATGATGCAACCCTGTCTCTACAAAAAAATACAGAAGTCAGCCGGGCACAGTGGCTCATACCTGTAATTCTAGCATTTTGTGAGGCCAAGGCGGGTGGATCACTTAAGATCAGGAGTTCAAGACAGCCTGGCCAATATGGTGAAACCCCATCTTTACTAAAAACACAAAAAATTAGCCCGGTGTGGTGGCACGTGCCTGTAATCCCAGTTACTCAGGAGGCTGAGGCAGGAAAATCACTTGAACCTGAGAGGCAGAGGTTGTAGTTAGCTGAGATGGCTCCACTGCACGCTAGCCTGGGCAACAAAGTAAGATTCCCTTTCAAAAAAAATTTAAAAATACAAAGTTAGCCAGGCATCCTGATGCGTACCTGTAGTCCCAGCTACTCGGGAGGCTGAGGTAGGAGGATCACCTCAGTCCAGGGAGGTCAAGGCTGTAGTGAGCCATGATCATGCCACTGCTCTCCAGCCTGGGAGACAGAGTGATATTCTGTCTCAAAAAAAAAAAAAAAAAAGAAAGAAAGAACCTGAAATTGTCCATAATCCTACCACATTAATAAGAGATATAAAAGTAAGGATGTGCCTACTCTCCTCACCTCTCCATCCCAGAAAGGCATTTGATAACTCTGTAGTGACCATCCTTCCAGATGTTTTTCTATTATACAAACATTATATATGTGGAAACTATGGACATATTTCCATGTCAGAGTATGATATTTAGATCATTCAAATTCTTTTTCATGACTGCCTAATAGGTCACTGTATGGATATACTGTAATTTGTCATGTACTAATATTTAACATTCTGAGGCATTTGATTCTGATTTTTTTCTTTTGTTATTCAACGTTTCAATGAACATTTTAAAACCTCTGTCTTTACTCAGTAATTCTACTTTAAAAAAAAATAGATTCCTACAGTGCCAATTTACATTTCTTTTTCTTTTCTTTTTTTTTTTTTTTTTTTTGTTTTTTTTGAGACAGGGTCTTGTTCTGTCACCCAGGCTGGAGTGCAAGGGCGCCATCACAGCTCACTACAGCCTCAAACTCCTAGGCTCAAGTGATTTTCCCGCACAAGGCTAATTTTTATTTTTTATTTTTAGTAGAGATGGGGTTTTGCTATGTTGCCTAGGCTGGTCCTGAAGTCCTGAATTCAAGCTGTCCTCCTGCCTCAGCCTCCCAAAGTGCTGGGATTTCAGGCATAAACCACCTTGCCTGGCTGACTCCCAATTTACATTTTCTTTTCTTTTCTTTTCTTTTCTTTTTTTTTGAGAGTGAGTCTCGCTCTGTCGCCCAGGCTGGAGTGCAGTGGCAGGATCTCGGCTCACTGCAAGCTCCGCCTCCCGGGTTCACGCCATTCTCCTGCCTCAGCCTCCCAAGTAGCTGGGACTACAGGCACCCGCCACCACGCCTGGCTAATTTTTTGTATTTTTAGTAGAGACAGGGTTTCACTGTGTTAGCCAGGATGCTCTCAATCTTCTGACCTCATGATCCACCCGCCTCGGCCTCCCAAAGTGCTAGGATTACAGGCGTGAGCCACCGTGCCCGGCCATTTTTGTGTTTGTTTGTTTGTTTGTTTGTTTGTTTTTTAATAAGGCCTGTCGACTCATACCTAACCAATTTACATTTTAACCAGCTGAATATTCTCTGAATTCTCTCACAATAGAAGAGCAAAAAAGTATCATTAATAATCTAAGTTGAATTTTTGGTAGTGTTTTTGAACACATTTTTAAATGTCTATTAGCCCTTTGAACACCTATGAATTGCCTATGAATTTATATTTCTTGCATATTCTTTGGCGCTTTTGTCTTTCTCTTTTTTATTTCTTTGTATATTAGAGATATTAACCCTATTTTCTCTCAGTCTGTCTCGTGCAAAATTTTTTTTTTATATTTAGGCAAATCTTCCAAATATGAGAAAATAGCAGTCTGAGAATCAGAGCATGAACTCGGAAACCAGACTGCCTGTGCTCAAACCTGACTCTGCCCATTTAGTTCTGTGGCTTTGGGCAAGCTACTTAGTAGTCACTCTGTGCCTCAGTTTCTTATCTGTAAAATGAATATTTAAAAAGTATCCCCCTCACCTCGCAGTGTTGTTGTGGGGGTTAAATGAGTTAATAGATAAAAGCAAGCATTAGGAATGTATATACTCTGCTTTTGTTTATATATATTTGCAGCTCATGCCTGTGACCCCAACATTTTGGGAAGCTGGGGTAGAAGGATCACTTGAGCACAGGAGCTTGAGACCAGCCTGGGCAACATAGTGAGATCCTGTCTCCAAAAACAAACAAAAAGAAGGCCTTTGCCTCCTTTTTGAAAAAGATATAAATATTCCTATATTTTATGTTATATAATAAAGTTTTTCCTTTTTATTTAGCACATTTTGGTCTTTATATTACGGTAAAATGTGTTTAGGTACTCTGTGTAAAGTAGGAATCTAGCTTCATTTCTAATAAATGTGAAACTTGTTGCTCTGACATCATTTAGTAAATAACTCATCCACCCATCGCTGGTTTGACCTGCCCTGCCATTCTCCTGTAATTCTGTGGATGTTCCTTCTACAAAGAGTATCTTCTTTTTTTTTTTTTTGAGACGGAGTTTTGCTCTTGTTGCCCAGGCTGGAGTGCAATGGCAGAATCTTGGCTCACTGCAACCTCCGCCTCCCGGGTTCAAGGATTCTCCTGCCTCAGCCTCCCGAGGAGCTGGGATTACAGGCACACGCCACCAAGCCCGGCTGATTTTTTGTATTTTTAATAGAGACGGGGATTCACCATGTTGGTCAGGCTGGTATGGAACTCTCGACCTCAGGTGATCTGCCCACCTCGACCTCCCAAAGTGCTGGGATTACAGGCGTGACCCACCAGGCCCAGCCCAAGAGTACCTTTTAAATACAAGAGAGAGGCCAACTCGGTGGCTCACGCCTGTAATCCCAACACTTGGGAAGGCCGAGGTGCGTGGACCACCTGAGGTCGGGAGTTTGAGACCAGCCTGGCCAACATGGTGAAACCCCGTCTCTAGTAAAAATACAAAAAAATCTGCCAGGTGTGGTGGTGCGTGCCTTTAATCCCAGCTACTCGGGAGGCTGAGGCAGGAGAATCGCTTGAGCCCGGGAGGCGGAGGTTGCGGTGAGCCGAGATCGCGCCACAGCACTCCAGCCTGGGCAACAGAGTGAGTGAGACTCCATCTCAAAAATAAATAAATAAATACAATAGACAAAATTTCCTGTAGGATAGATTGGAGGACCAAAGGAAAAAATACAAACGTCTCTCACCCTGTTCCATGCGGCAATGAAACCACAGACTCTTCAGCTTGAGAATCGACCTCTGAATTCTGGGAATCTTGTTCATGAATTCTTATATTCTCCTATGAGAATGAAGAGTCTTTGAATTGTCAGCCAAATCAAAGGAGAGTAACATCTTTGTTCTTTTGCCTCCTTCCCCGCAACAGGAAATGTCATGACCTTGAAGTTTCTAAGTGATGCTTCAGTGACAGCTGGAGGTTTCCAAATCAAATATGTTGCAATGGATCCTGTATCCAAATCCAGTCAAGGAAAAAATACAAGTACTACTTCTACTGGAAATAAAAACTTTTTAGCTGGAAGATTTAGCCACTTATAAAAAAAAAAAAAAGGATGATCAAAACACACAGTGTTTATGTTGGAATCTTTTGGAACTCCTTTGATCTCACTGTTATTATTAACATTTATTTATTATTTTTCTAAATGTGAAAGCAATACATAATTTAGGGAAAATTGGAAAATATAGGAAACTTTAAACGAGAAAATGAAACCTCTCATAATCCCACTGCATAGAAATAACAAGCGTTAACATTTTCATATTTTTTTCTTTCAGTCATTTTTCTATTTGTGGTATATGTATATATGTACCTATATGTATTTGCATTTGAAATTTTGGAATCCTGCTCTATGTACAGTTTTGTATTATACTTTTTAAATCTTGAACTTTATAAACATTTTCTGAAATCATTGATTATTCTACAAAAACATGATTTTAAACAGCTGTAAAATATTCTATGATATGAATGTTTTATGCATTATTTAAGCCTGTCTCTATTGTTGGAATTTCAGGTCATTTTCATAAATATTGTTGCAATAAATATCCTTGAACACACATATTTGTGCACCTCTCTAATTATTTAAGACAAGGACCTGGAAATAGAATTACTGAATCAAAGGTTAATTAAAATAAAATTTTCTGTTTTGATAGGCAAAAATGAGGCCTCACTGTAGTTTGAATTTGCATTTCTTTATTCATGAGATTGATGGTTATATAATTTTTTGTTAATTTTTTTTGTGAATTATTTTTCCATGCCTTTTTTTCACTATTTTTAAAAACTGATATAATCTTCTCTATTGATTTGTTAGAAATTATTATATATGTCCATGTTTGTCATATATGCTGTAATTTAATTTTTAGTTTATATTTTGTCTTTTACTTTAATGGTTCTTTAAAATATATCAAATGTTAAAATTTATTTGCAATTATACTTGATTTTGCTGAGGTCTCTTTTCTCATATTTATGTTTAGGACTGTCAAAAGACAAAATGACAACAAATTTAGTTTAAAGATCTTAATTGGCTTTTATTTGCAATTCTAGAATCAGGCACCTCATTTTTAAAATAGAATGAGTGTTCTGATGAGCTGAGCAGAGGACGTTGGTTTTATTGATATAAAAGGGCTGAGGAGAGCAGAAACAGAAAACAAAAAGCAGACTGGTTGTTTCAAAGTTACTTTTCTTATAAAGGTTAAAGCAGAGGCAACTTCCTTATCATGCCAGCTAAAACTGGTCTGTTTGAGGGTTTGGCTATTATCTCTCTGTGGCTCTTGGTTTCTTGGAAGGTCAGATAAACAACTAATTTCGGGTTGGTGGTGTGAAACTTTAGCATGAGTGACTCCATTTTGGTTTGGTCTCTTTGGCCTGGTGCAGAAGCTAAGTCCAAACCAATGACCTCCTATAACTTTTATTTAAGAGAATAAAAATTCCCATTATAAGATATGACATGTATTCATCTATATTTTATTTTTGTTTTGTCACTTCACCTTTTTAGGGAGAAAAAAACACAGTTGTTACTCGGTAATGAGGGATGTTGGGACTCAGACGATACCCTAAAGTATGACACTTTGGGATACTGAGTACTTTGAGCTAAAGGAGACTGGAAGGCCTCAGAAGCAAGATCTCTGTGACCTTCTCCTTCCATCTTCCCTCTTGCCCCAAGTCTTCCTCTTCCAAAGCAAGTCATAAAAACCAGAATTCACCGGGCGCAGTGGCTCACTCCTGTAATCCCATCACTTTGGAAGGCCGAGGCAGAGGATCTCTTGAGCTCAGGAGTTCAAAACCAGGCTGGGCAACATAGCAAGACCTCATCTCTATGAAAAAAATTTTAAATTAAAAAATTAAAAATTATCTGGGCATAGTGCCACATGTCTGTAGTCCCAGCTACTTGGGGGGCAGAGGCGGGAGGATCACTTGAGCCCAGGAGTTTGAGGCTGCACTGGAGCTATGATTGCATCACTGCATTCCAGTCTGGGAGACAGAGTGAGATCCTGTCTTTAAAAAAAAAAAAAAGCAACCAGAACCAAAATTCCTCTTCCTCAAGTCTAGTTACAGACTCCTCTCCCAAAAAGCACGCTATAAAACCTAGAAAGGTCTCTCTGTCCTCCTTCTCCCTTGCAGACCCTCATTCCAGAAGAGTCCTGCCCCACACCCAGAAGGAAGGAGTGTTACACAGAGAGGCCAAGAAGAATCTAGACAGACAGGCCTTACTGGGCCTCCCCACTTGGTCTATTGCCATGAGATCACATGATTTGTCCAATCACATTTCTACATGGCCGTCTATTCTTCATCAAACCTAAACATAAAAATACAATTTTCCTTGGGTCTTTGAGTCTTCATTTCTGTAGGCTCCCATGTCACATAAAATTTTGATTAAATAAATTTATAATGCTTTTCTTTTGTTAGCCTGCCTTTGTTATAGGAGTGTTGGCCTTATGATGGTAAGGAAAGGTATCACGCCTTTCCATCCCTAAACAAGCAATGATTACCATCTAATTAAATTAAACAAAAATGCACGTGCCGGCCGGGCACAGTGGCTCACACCTGTAATCCCAGCGCTTTGGGAGGCCAAGGCAGGCAGATCACCTGAGGTCAGGAGTTCAAGACCAGCCTGGCCAAAATGGTGAAACCCCGTCTCTACTAAAATATACAAAAATTAGCCGGGCATGGTGGCAAGCGACTTAATCCCAGCTACTTGGGAGGCAGAGGCAGGAGAATCGTTTGAACCCGGGAGGCGGAGGTTGCAGTGAGCTGAGATTGAGCCATTGCACTCAAACCTGGGGGTAAGAGTGAGACTTCGCTAAAAAAAAAAAAAAAAAGCATGTGCCAAGCACTGTTCTAGGCACTTAGGGAATACCAGAGAACCAAAGGAACAAAAATCCCCACGTTTGAGGAGCTTATGTTCTGGTGGAGGGAGAGAGATAATAATTAATATACATAATAAATAGACTACATATTAAACATAGGTTAGGGTGCTGCATTATAAACTACTGACACTGTGAGATCATCAGTGACCTGGATGGGCAGTTTCAGTGGGGAGGAGGCAAAGGCCCAACTGAAGTGTGTGAAAAGTGAACTAGAGGAGAAAGGAGAGGTATTGGAGACAGTGGGTCTGGCTAACAAGGAAGTGGTAGCTGTAAGGACAAGTGGGCTGAAAGGAGACTTTCTTGATGAGAATGAATGAACTCAGCTGGGAGAGCTGCTGGGGCCATTTCTTTGAGCCCATGCAGTTGTGAGGCCCCTGGCAAAAATCATATGACACTCTCCAAAGAGGGAGCCTGGAGAGATTATAATAGAGGAATGGGCTGACTTAAGAGAAGGAATGGTGAATCACAGGGTGCTCACAAAGCAGGAGGGCCATGAAGGAGCAAAATCAGGGGCAGTTATATGAAATCAAGACAGGGAGCTTTAGCCACAGGAAAGGGTTGCCCAACCAAAGCCGGAAAAGAGCTTCTGCCCACCTAAGGCCATGGGGAGGGATTGAGGATAAATACCCCAAAGTCTCCCTCCTCCACCCTTCTCTGTACTACTTGTACCTCCCATTGTCTCATCCCAACAGAAGTCAGAATGCAACGAGATCTGGTTGATACTGCACAGAGATCAGCTCCAGGGCCCAGTGCAAGGAGAAGGTGGAGAACAGATCCAGAAGGGCAAAAGGAGGACACTTAGCACAGTGAGAGGAGATAGTATCTAGTGCACAAATAGAGGGACTGGATTTAGAGAGGGACATGGATAATTCACCTGCAGGAGGGACTCTTAGCCTTTATATATACCATAAATTCTTTGATGGGTGAAATTTCTGGATGGTCAGAATAATGTTTTCAAATGCATAAAATATAAAGGAATACAAAGAAAACTAATTATATTAAAACACAGTTATCAAATCATTGAAAAAAAAAAAAATCAAAGCCAGGTGTGGTGGCACATGCCTATAGTTCCAGCTACTCAGGAGGCTGGGGCAGGAGGGTGGCTTGAGCCCAGGAGTTTGAGGTTGCAGTGAGCTATGATTATGCCTGTGAATAGCCCTACTGCACTCCAGCCTAAGCAATATAGTGAGACCCCCATATCTAAAAACAAACAAAAAAAACTGTGATACATTAAAGCATGTGTTTATTAATGCTGTATATAAGATCTAGCAGTGGGTCGAGTAACTACCATAATTTCAAAGTAGACTGAGTACCGTGGCTCATACCTGTAATCTCATAACTTTGGAAGGCCGAGGTAGGCACATGGCTTGAGCCCAAGAGTTTGAGACCAGCCCGGGCAACATGGAGAAACCCTGTCTCTAAAAAAATTAGCTGGGTGTGGTGGCATGTGCCCATAGTCCCAGCTACTTGGGAGGCTAAGGTGGGAGGATCATTTGAGCCTGGGAGGTCAAGGCTGCAGTGAGCTGTGATAGTGCCACTGCCACTGTACTCTAGCCTGAGTGACAGAGCGAGACCCTGTCTCAAAAATAATAATAATAATAATTTCAAAGTGGTAATACACGTATACAATATTTTATGAGTTCTACAAAAACTGTTTCATATATCTGTAGTGTCTTTCGGGGCTAAAAGCACAGGTACTGCTAATGCTACATTTATTAACTACATTCATAGTTGAAAGACATGCTAGATTTCAGATAAAAGTCATTGGAAATAAACTTTCAATCCCACATGCAAGATCACGACCCTGTGGATTCTGCCCCCAGACCCTTTAGGAGGAAGGCAGAGTGTGAGGCCACAGAAGTCGACAGGTGGGGAAGATAGATGGTAGGAATCTGCAGGAACTTCTTCTTGCTTTGCATTTCTCAGTGAAGAAAGAGTCAAGTCATGAGCCAACAGTGAGGATGGAAAGGTAGATGTGAGAGGTTGAGAAGAGAGAAGGCATGAAAGAGTCTTCTAGGAAAGTGGGAAAGTGAATGAACTAGGAAATAGCATGTGATTACCAGGCAGCACAAAGGGCCCATCTGAAGTTCATGGTCATGGAATTTAACGGGAGACTGGTCAGCAAGGGTGTTTTCTTCTAGCCACGTTCAGCTTCACGAGAAAAAGACAGGCTAGAGGGAGAATTGCGTTAACCGCTGCTGGGTTTTTGCCGTGTGAGTATAACAAGAAAGGGGCAAGGGAGGAAGAAGTGTGCATGCTTAAAGGAGGGATTGTAAAAACCCATGGAATGCAGATTTTTTTGATTTTTATTTCTTATTTCACTTATTTATGTATTTATTTTTTTGAGACAGCGTCTCACTCCATCACCCAGACTGGAATGTAGTGGCTCAATTTCGGCCCATTGCAACCTCTGCCCCCCAGGTTCAAGCGATTCTCCCGCCTCAGCCTCCTAAGTAGCTGGAATTACAGACACACGCCACCATGCCCAGCTAATTTTTTGTATTTTTAGTAGAGACAGGTTTTCACCATGTTGGTCAGGCTGGTCTCAATCTCCTGACCTCAAGTGATCCGCCTGCTTTGGCCTCCCAAAGTGGTGGGATTTCAGGCATGGGCCATCATGCCCGGCCAGAATGTAGTTTAATTAGAAGGGAAGAGAGGACATCAGTAAATAAGGCACACTGAAAAAGTGGTAGACTTGATGAAGTGAAGCTCCCACAAAGGCTCAAAGACTGTAGAATCAGAGTATAAGAGAGAATGAATGGAGAGATAGGAGGTAGTTGTCAGACAATGGGATTTTAAACATAACCTTTTGTGGTAGGCAGAAATCCTCCATCCTTCTAAAATGTCTAAGTCCTAATCCTTGAAACTTGTGACTATATTATCTTACATGGCAAAAGCAATTTTGCAGATGTAATTAAGTGCCTTAAAATAGGGAGCTTATCCTGGATTATACACATAGGTCCAATGTAATTGCAAGGGTCCTTAAAAGTGGATGAAGGAAGCATAAAAAGAGAGTCAGAGAAAAAAAAGGTGACAACAAAGCAGGGTCACAGTGATGCTATGTTGCTAGCTTTGAATATGGAGGAAGGAAGCCATGAACCAAAGAACGTGGGTTGCAGCTGGGAACTAGAAACGGTATAGGAACAGATTCTCCCCTGAGCCTCCAGAAAGAAACACAGCCCTGACAACACCTTGGTTTTAGACCAGTGAGACCCGCGTTGGACTTCTGAGCTACAGAACTGTAAGATAATAAATGTGGCCGGGCGCAGTGGCTCACGCCTGTAATCCCAGCAATTTGGGAGGCAGAGGCGGGTGGATCACTTGAGGTCAGGAGTTCAAGACCAGTCTGGCCAACATGGTGAAAACCTGTCTCTACTAAAAATACAAAAATTACCTGGGCATGGTGGCGCATGCCTATAATCCCAGCTACTTGGGAGGCTGAGGCAGGAGAATCATTTGAACCCAGGAGGCAGAGGATGCAGTGAGCTGAGATCGTGCCACTGCACTCCAGCCTGGGCGATAGAGCAAGACTCTATCTCAAAAATAAATAAATAAATAAATAAGTGTTGTTTTAAGCCACTAAGTGTGTTGTAATGTTTTACAGCAGTGATAGAAAGGTAATGCATCTCTTAATAATCAGTTTCATGCAGACTTAAACTTTGAGGAATTAAAGTATAATTCTAGATAACAAAGCATAAACAAGAAGCCATGAACAGAAGACTGTTATTTTTTTAAACTTGGAGAAATTAACTTAATGTTAAAGGTGAATATTAAATAAGGCCTGTATAACATTTCTCTGTTTATATGTTTTCTTACTACATTTAATACTTTTTCACTTTCTTGATTATGGATTTTTTTTACTTTGTTTTCCTCACCTCCATAGGTTTTTTGTTCTTTATCAGAATTCTCATTTTTTTGGTTCTCTTTGGGAGTAATATTTATAGAAAATTGAAGAATGTGTGCAAATTTAAAAAGTACAATGCACTCTTATTATTATTATTTGTTTGAGACAGAGTCTCACTCTGTCACCACGCCCAGCCACTCTTATTATTGATATGGATGATAAATGTAAGTCCTTTAGGGTTTCCCGAGAATATTCAAATGTGTGGAAATGTGCGGTGGCTCACGCCTGTAATCCCAGCACTTTGGGAGGATGAGGCGGGCAGATCACGAGGTCAGGAGATCGAGACCATCCTGGCTAACACGGTGAAACCCCGTCTCTACTAAAAACACAAAAAATTAGCCGGGTGTGCTGGCGGGTGCCTGTAGTCCCAGCTACTCGGGAGGCTGAGGCAGGAGAATGGTGTGAACCCGGGAGGCAGAGCTTGCAGTGAGCCGAGATCGTGCCACTGCACTCCAGCCTGGGTGACAGAGCGAGACTCCGTCTCAAAAAAACAAAAATAAAAATAAAAAACAAATGTGTGGAAATATTTCAAATGATGTTAAATACCATCTACTACTGCTGACCTAGGTTCCCCCATATCTCAATAGTGTAGTAGGCGTAGGGTTAGAGATAGGTTACAATGACTTCTGCAGATTTGGCTGAATCACTTATAAACCTTACTAGCAAGATTTAAGATACATTATAATTATATATCCTAAGACCTATAAAAATAGGTTATACAACTGATTTAAAGAAATCCTTATAATATATATAGATGATTCTTTCAGTAAATTGCTCTTACCTTCACATTTTTTTTTCTTTGAGATGGAGTCCCACTCTGTCGCCCAGTTTGGAGTGCAGTGGTGCAATCTTGGCTCACTACAACCCCCGCCTCCCAGGTTCAAGTGATTCTCCTGCCTAAGCCACCCGAGTAGCTGAGATTACAGGCACCCACCACCACGCCCAGCTAATTTTTTGTATTTTTAGTAGAGACGGGGTTTCACCATGTTGGCCAGGGTGGTCTCAAACTCCCGACCTCAGGTGATCCACCCATCTTGGCCTCCCAAAGTGCTGGGATTACAGGTATGAGCCACTGCGCCTGGCCCAAAAATATTTTTAAAACTTAATTTTTTTTTCTTTTTTGTTGAGACAAGGTCTTGCTCTGTCCCTCAGGCTGGAGTGCAGTGGCACAGTCACAGCTCACTGCAGCTTCAACCTCCTGGGCTCAAGCAATCCTTCTGTCTCAGGCCCCCAAGTAGCTGGGACTTATAGGCACGGCCACCACACCTGGCTAATTTTTGTATTTTTTGGTAGAGATGGGGTTTCGCCATGTTGCCCTGGCTGGTCTTGAACTCCTACGCTCAAGTGATCCACCCGGTTTGGCCTCCCAAAGTGGTAGGATTACAGGTATGAGCCACTGCGCCTGGTCTAAAACTTAATTTTCTTTATTCAACTTAGCATCCTCTTGCATGTCTGCTTTATTATTCTTGGTGTCTAGTAATTCTACTTTATTTGAATGTTTTTAATTTAATATCAGCTCAGATTTATTTGTAGACTTTTCTCTATTACTCTTTTCTTTGCTGTGCTTATGTGTGGGTTTGGAGGTGGTTTTTTTTTTTAAGTAATGCTTACTTTTAATTTAATATGTTCTTTATATTAAAATCATTCTCTGAAAATAAAACAAATGTACCGATGTTGGTATATGTATATATTCAGTATTTTGTTTAATATAACATTTGAGTTCAGGTTTTGGACTGAATATTTTTTAAAAGGAAGTTTTTCAGGAATTTGTTTTTCAACTCTTCCTCCTCAAAAAAACTTTTTTCTTCCTCTGTTATTGTGAAAGCAAGTTGTTTTCATGTCTCGTGTTGTTTTTTAGATTTCTAAAGCATATATCCATAGCTATTTTGTTTCCTTCTAAACAAATGCCCAACAAAGCAAACCACTAGAAGAAATCAGATCCCACAAAGCGTAAGTGCAGAAAAGTAAACTCCCTAAAGACACAGGCTCTTGGGATTCCACTGGAAGAGCCAAATCCTTAACAGTGTTTGTAAAATACAAATCATCATTTTTGAGCATTTACTTTACGGTCAATTATAAATAAGATCACTACGTACCTAAGTTTTTTATTTTTACTTTTTAAATTTTGTCTAAGTTTTAATAACCTCACAGTGAGTCTCATGATGCCAAAGGCAAAGTTTCGTGGTATTAGCTTTAATTGAGTCAATATGTTCATTTAAAATAAATATACGTGTATAATTCAGTACACAGCTCATTTTCACATTGCCTTCTGAAATTCTATCCCTGCGAAAGTGAATGGGGATCACTTACAAAATAATCTTAATAGAATTATTTTTATTTTTCCCTTCTAAAACACCAAGTATTTTAGTTTTTAGTATTTTTCAAGCACAAACAAGAGCATTTATAATAACAGTATATTATTTCTCTGTAATGGTGACAGCCTCTCGTCTCACTCAGAAGAAAGTCAGTGTGACCTAGGAGGCCCATCCTGTAACCTAGAAGGCCCATCATGATCTGGCCCCCTCTTACCTCTGTCATCTCATCTCCCGTCACCCCTCGTCCCACCTCCCACCATTATCTCCACCCCAGACACACTGGTGTTTGTACTGTGCCGTATTAGCACACTCTCAACTCTGGGCCTTGATCCCTGCTGTTCCCTCTGCCTGGAGTACTCTTCCCAGATAGCCACATGACTCACTCCCTTGTTGCCTTCAGCTCTTTACTCAAAAGCCATATTCTTAGTAAAGTCTTCCTGGCCCTTTATTTCAACCACCTTTTCCCTAAAATTTTATATCCTCTTTCCTACTTTTTAAAAAAATCCCTAGAACTGATCAACTACTTAGCATACTACATACTACATATTTTATTTATTTATTTATTTATGGAGACAGGGTTTTTGTTGTTGTTGTTGTTGTTGTTGTTGTTGTTTCCCCAGGCTGGAGTGTAGTGGCACGATCTCAGCTCACTGCAACCTCTACCTCCCAGGTTCAAGCAATTTTCCTGCCTCAGTCTCCCAAGTAGCTGGGATTACAGGCACCTGCCACGACGGCTGGCTAATTTTTTGTTTTGTTAGTTGAGACGGGGTGTCACCATGTTGGCCAGGCCCGTCTTGAACTCCTAACCTCAGGTGATCCACCTGCCTCAGCCTCCCAAAGTGCTGGGATTACAGGCATGAGCCACCATGCCCTGCCTCTTCTTTTAATTTTTTTTTTAAGAGATAGGGTCTCACTATGTTGCATAGGTTGGCCTCAAACTCCTGGGCTGAAGGGATCCCCCTACCTGAGCCTCCTAAGTAGCTAGGACTATAGGCGGTGCCACCTTCCCACCTTGTCTGGCTCAGGATAAACATTCTTATTATCTGCCAAGAGTTGGGTGATAGAGTATACATGTTTCATATCTGTATCAGTATGGTCCAATCAGGAGACAGAATCCACATGGAAATTTGAACAGGGAAACATTTAATATAAAGCATTATTTTTGGCTGGGCGTGGTGGCTCAAGCCTATAATCCCAGCACTTTGGGAGGCTGAAGTGGGCAGATCACAAGGTTAGGAGTTCGAGACCAGCCTGGCCAATATGGTGAAACCCCATCTCTACTAAAAATACAAAAAAAAATTAGCCGGGCACAGTGGCTCATGCCTGTAGTCCCAGCTACTCAGGAGGCTGTGGCAGATAAATCGCTTGAACCCAGGAGGCGGAGGTTGTAGTGAGCTGAGATCCCGCCACTGCACTCCAGCCTGGGTGACAGAGCAAGACTCCGTCTCAAAAAAATATATATATTTTTTAGAAAAATAATTACTATGCTAGTACTGTTACGTTGGAATGGAGTAATGAGAGATTGGCTAGTGAAAAGTAAACACATAAGGAGATATAAGCAGATATACAGAGCAGCTATGAGAAAGAGCACTCAAGGAGGAGCCTCCAGCCCCCAGGACTGAGATCCAGAACTTGCTGGAGAGGGTGACTCTAGCTCACTAGATGGAGAGAAGTTGCTGTGGTACAGCACTGGTGGAACTCGCTGGAAAGCACGCTTCTGGGGAATGCTGTTCAAAGAGAGGTGTCTTAGGGAAGACCCTCCATTACAAAAGTATCTGAGGCAGGTGCCAGGGGAAGCTGCTGGCTGCTGGGTGCTCCTGACCCCGTGACACTGCAGGAGCTAGGTGCTGAAGGAGCCACATGAACCACATACACTGCAGGAACTTGCTAAGCAGGAACCCTGAAACTAGGAAGGAAAGTCCCTTCCCCATCTCTCCAGCAGCCTCTTTTTTTTTTTTTTTTTTTTTTTTTTTTTTTGAGACAGAGTCTCACTCTGTTGCCCAGGCTGGAGTGCAGTGGCACAATGTTGGCTTACTACAACCTCCACCTCCCGGGTTCAAGCAATTCTCCTGCCTTAGCCACCTGAGTAGCTGGGACTACAAGCATTTGCCACCTAATTTTTGTATTTTTAGTAGAGGCGGGGTTTCACCATGTTGGCCAGGCTGGTCTTGAACTCCTGACCTCAAGTGATCCACCCGCCTCGGCCTCCCAAAGTGTTGGGATTACAGGCGTGAGCCACCGCATCCCCAGCCATCACCCTCTATTGACAAAGCTTAACAGAGTGTGCAGGCTGGTAAAGAGTAAATTTTAAAGGGCTCACCTCCATTTTCACAGGGCAGGCAATGAAGGGAGGATTTGAAGTGGAGAGGCATGAAACAGAATACATACAGGCACAATATCTATGTCCAAAAATTATCATAGTAGATACCGTACTATGTTACATATCATTGAGTATTTGGAAAAATTTGTTTCCTATTCTAAAGCTGTATTCTTAGAGGACTATATGGCATATTTCAATACTTTATTCCACAAACGTACCATCTGAAATAATGTAGGCAGAGTATTTGGACTTTCTAAAATGAAAATGCCATCTGTTGCCAGAGTCTACTGGACAAATTTGTTATAAGTCGTAGCTATATTAATAATGAACTGTTCAGGAATGGTAAATTCAAGAATATAAGGAAACAATTGATCAAAGGGAGGCTATTTAAGGCTAGAAACATTTAATGTTAACTGCAGCAATTACAAATATGTCTTACACACTCATTTATGGAGGAAAGTATCCGTATTTGAATTAGAGTAATAAAGATTTGCTTAAAATATTAAATGGTACACTTTGGACAGAAGCCTAAGGTATGTCAGTTCTAAGAAAACATTGTCTGTTAGAAAATTGCCTTTTCTCCTAACTTAAATTTTGTTTGGTATGTTTCTTTTTAATCCAAAATGACCACAATGTTCTTGGACAATGCTGCTAAATATTCTCTCTCAAGGGCTCCAATCAATGTCTCAAAACATTTCCCAATAGATTCCCACAAAGCTTCCCCTTTGTAAGGGTTTATTCAAGATGTAGAAGACAGCACCTACCCCAAAGGCAATTGGAAAACGTAAGACAGCATAGTCCTTTTAAATATTACAGAGAATCAGATGTTGGCAAGGTACACAGGCAGCAGTTACTGGCAAACCTCAGAAGGCTGGGTCTAGGCGGCCAGTTGCATTTGAAAGCAGCTCTTTCCACATCACTAATATATTGAAATACAGTAGTCCTTCCATGGTTTCTGCTGCCCATAGCACAATACAATATTTTGAGAGAGAAAAAGAGAGAGACACAGAGAGAGAGAGAGAGAGACCACATTTACATAGCTTTTATTAGAGTATATTGGTCTATTACATTATTAGTTATTGCTATCAATCTCTCACTGTGCCTAAATATAAATTTTATCATAGGTATGTATGTACAGGACAAAAACATAGTATATACAGAGCTCTGTACCATTTGCAGTTTCAGGCATCCACTGGGGGTCTTGAAACATCCCCTCAGAGAAGGGGAGGGACTACCGTACTTGATAATTATGTCGAATCAACAGCTCATTCACATATTGTAGGCAGAAGAGGGAAAAACTGCTCTAGTATATGAGATGTTTCTTACAAAACCAGAAATGCAAGGTAGAAGGTAAAAGTGATTGAAGTTGTAATAAGTATTTTTTTTCAATGTTTATATTTTTTAGTAGAGACAGGATTTCACTATGTTGGCCAGGCTGGTCTCGAATTCCTGACCTCAGGTGATCCGCCCTCCTTGGCCTCTCAAAGTGCTGGGATTACAGGCGTGAGCCACCGCGCCTGTCCAGATGTTTGGGTTAGAGGTCCTCAAAACCACTCCCACGTATGATGATTCACTAGGAGGATTCACAGGACTCAGCATATAGTTATACTCATGGCTAAGGCATATAGATGATATCTATATATGTCTTTACTGACCTATTGCACAATCAGGAAAGGGAAAAGTCACCTGGGCACAGTCTAGGGGAAACCAGGCACAAACTTCCAAGGTGCTTCTCTCAGTGAATTCACATAGGACTTGCTTAATCTCCACAGCAATGAGTTGTGTCAATACATGTGAAATGTTGCCAACCAGGACAGCTCACTAGAGACACTGTGCCCAAAGCTTCTATTGGGGGGTAAGCATGTAGGCATCCCCTGCCTGGCATGTACACAAATTCCAAACTCTCAGAAAGAAAAGCAAGTATTCAGAAAAAAACACATTGTTTGTACAGTTTTAGGTACAATGAGCCACTCTTATCAGTTAAATGTTGAAAACCCTCCCCAGATCTAAGTTTCTAGATGCCAGCTAAGGGACAATCGTGTAATTGGGCTATTCCGAGGATAGCAGTTCAGGGGTCCTATGTTGTTTTCTGCACAATTTCTATCACAGAGAATAAAGAATATTCTTCTGATAATGATCTCAAAATATCAGTTATAGTTGAGACATTAAATTGTTAGATTTTTACTACTTGGGTGGTTCTATTAAACCAAGGTAAATAATGTTTATTTTTCCTTAAGTCTTTCACAATTTACTATGTATGTTCAAATCTGTCTTATCTTTTTTTTGGTAAAGCAATCTGGCACTGTCATTTTTAATAGAAATTTTCTTTTTCTGGCTGGGAGCAGTGGTTCACGGCTATAATCCCGGCCACTTTGGGAGGCCGAAGGGGCAGATCACCTGAGGTCAGGAGTTCCAGAGCAGCCTGGCCAACATGGCAAAACCCTGTCTCTACTAAAAATACAAAAATTAGCTGAGCGTGGTGGCACATGCCTGTAATCCCAGTTACTTGGGAGGCTGAAGCAGGAAAATCACTTGAACCCGAGAGGTGGAGGTTGCAGTGAACTGAGATGGGCCACCACACTCAAGCCGGGGCAACAGAGCAAGACTCTCTCAGAGGAAAAAAAAAACTTTTTTTTAAGCAGAAAAGTTGTTTTATTTCCCTTGGGAATTAGAAAAAGGACTCGGAATTGTTGGGTGCTCATGTCTACCTTGGAGCCACATGACTAGATGGATTTTTGGATAATTGTCCTGTTTTTTAGCTACCCAGTGTGATACATTGTTTCTTTTTTTTTCTTTTTTCTTTTGAGACGGAGTCTTGCTCTGTCACCAGGCTGGAGTACAGTGGCACGATCTCGGCTCACTGAAACCTCCACCTCCCAGGTTCAAGTGATTCTCCTGCCTCAGCCTCCTGAGTAACTGGGATGACAGGCACATGCCACCACGCCCAGCTAATTTTTTTTGTATTTTTAGTAAAGACGGGGTTTCACTATGTTGGTCAGGCTGGTCTTGAACTCTTGACCTCGTGATCTGCCCACCTTGGCCTCCCAAAGTGCTGGGATTACAGGCGTGAGCCACCATGCCCGGCCACGTTAGTTTCTTTAATGGCCCTTCTGCTCACGATATTTACAAATGTCCTTATCTACAGGCTTCAACATCTTAAAGAACAGAGACACTATGGGTTATTTAATACAATGTGCCGTAACAAGTATTGATTTCCAGTTTGTTTATATTTTAAAGATGTCTGAAAATGTTGACCATATAGTTGATATTTTTCTAAGCTTGCAATTATATATTTTTAATTCATTAAAAAAATTAAATCCCCTAAATTAGGTTTAAGCCCATTTACAAAAAGAGAAGGTAAGTCCCCTTTTACTTCAGATACTAGATCTAACCCAGAATACTGAAAGTTTCCCAAAGTTTATTTTTTATTTTTATCTAATTTATAATCTTTAATCTTTGTCTATTATATCCTTAAAATAAAGGCTTCTATAACTGCTTTATTTAGTGTATATTTTTATATTTAAAACATTTTACAGTTGCATTATTTAAATCTCCTTCATGATTTGCTGCTTTTAGACATTTTTCTTTTTGGTAGGTCTTACAATTAATTGACTTACTTCGTACAGGTCTATAGTTTAGAACAACACTCATCTTTTACAAACCTGGATTCTATAGCACATTTTTGGCTATTTCTCTGAAGACTATAATTTCTTAATTATGGTCCTTAATTTGGCTCTAGACTAGGATTTTAATTCAACTTCAAATATCCATCAACTGATAAATGGATAAACAAAATGGGGTATACCTATTCAATGGAATATTATTCAGCCATCAAAAAGAATGAAGTACCGATAATGCTGCAATGTAGATAAACCTAGAAAACAAAATACTAAGTGCCAGAAGCCAGTCACAAAAGGTCATATGTTATATGATTCAATTTACATAAAATGTTCCGAATAGGCATATCTATAGAGACAGAAAGTAGTTTAGGCTGGGCACAGTGGCTCACGCCTGTAATACCAGAACTTTGGGAAGCTGAGGCGGGCAGATCACTTGAAGTCAGGAGTTCGAGACAGCCTGGTCAACATGGTGAAACCATGTCTGCCAAAAAATACAAAAATTTGCCAGGCGTGGTGGTGCATACCTGTAGACCCAGATACTCGGGAGGCTGAGGTAGGAGAATCGCTTGTACTTGAGAGACAGAGGTTGCAATGAGTTGATATTGTGCCACTGCACTCCAGCCTGGGTGACAGAGCGAGACTCTGTCTCAGAAAAAAAAAAAAAAAAAAGAAAAAAGCAAGCAGCAGGAGAATAAGTGGATTAATGGCAAACATTTTCAAATGGTACACCTCCAGAGTAAAAGGAATAATTACCTTATTAAATACCTGGGTCTGATTAGTAAATGGTGCTTCTCCGAACCAAAAGTTGTCTAATTACTTGGTACAAACACCTAGTCCTAATGGATCTCCTTAGTTATAAATCCTAGAATAGAAGAATAAATGCAGTAATAGGGATTCAATGGAAACAGAGCTCAAATGGTTATTGATACTGATTTCATATGGCAGCTGATCTGGTAGACCAACGAAACTTAGATAGAAGGAGCCCAGTAAGTGCACCCGTTGGTCTGAAGATTGCCTGGAATACTGCCAACCAAGAGTCTTCAAAATGATCTTGGTGGAACCTCCAGAATTACTAAAGGATGAGACTGCTACCGAGCAATTAATGGGCTCACTTCCCAGTGCTCTTAGAAGGCAATACCACAGCAGCAGCTTTTGAGAAAAGAAAAGCTTTAGTGCCAGTCAACTGGCAAGGTAACAGAAGGAAGTGCTCAAGTCTGTCTCTTCAAGCTGAGGGCTGGCTCAGGTTTTATAAGCATAGGGTAATGAAGGGTGATCTGATTGGCTCTTGCAATGAGGTGATGCTGGGAGGCATGATCCAACTGGATACTGCTATGGGGTGACCCCAGGGCTCAATCTGATTGGATCCTGGATCCTGCCATGTGGCGTCCACTTGATTCAGTCCCCACTCCTCAGGCAAGCAAGTTCTGACAGTGGTTGTAGGCTTGGTTCATCTGTGCATGTTCAGGTTACATGACCTTCAACCTGGAGGTCTTTGGCAACTGAAAAAGAACTCACAACTTTGTTACCTAAGTTGAGCCTGACTGGTCTGGTGGAGTTAGAAGACCACCACTCAGTATCTAAACAAAAAGACAAAGCTGGATTTGCATGCTACAGTAATGGAAAGCTATACTGGTCAGGTAGAGTCTGAGCAGGGCAGACTGCTGGACTCTATAGGGTTTGGGGGAAGCATGGAGTTCAGGGATGGGTAGATTCTCAGAGGTATAAATGGGATGGCAGGATCCTTAAAAGCTTGGTTACTCGGATGCTACTATAGTTGGTTGGCTGGTACTCAGACATCTTTTTTTGGAGTGAGTTCATCTCTGGTTGGTTGACTTTCAGACATGAGAGGCTGATGCTGATTGGTTAGCTTGCAAAAGTAGTTCACGGAGGTGAGTTGTGTTTATCAAATGAACGAGTTTAAAACTCATTCTGAGCTGGCCTGGTGGCTCACGCCTGTAATTCCAAAACTTTGGAGGCCGAGGCAGGTGGATCACTTGAGGTCAGGAGTTTGAGATCAGCCTGGTCAACATGGTGAAACCCCATCTCTACCAAAAAAATACAAAAGTTAGCCAGGCGTAGTGGTGCATGCCTATAGTCCTAGCTACTTGGGAGGCTGAGGTGAGAGAATCTCTTGAGCCCAGGAGGTGGAGGCTACAGTGAGCCGAGATTGCACCACTGAACTCCAGCCTGGGTAACAGAGGGAGATTCTGTCTCCAAAAAAAGAGCAAAACAAAATTCATTCTGGTTGCTACTTGGTTCTATGGCTCACAGAACAATCTTTTCCTGTTTGTGAGTTCTTATTCTGATTTTCTTACATAACCACAGCACAATTATCAAATGTAGAAAATTTAGTCTTTTTTTAAATTTCACGACTCCTTTAAACAAAACGTGTTGTTTCCAATCCATAATCACGCATTGAATTTGGTTATCATGACTGTTGAGTCTTCTTTATTCTGAAACAGTTCTGTTTTCCTTTGTCTTTTGTCTTTTATGACATTGTCATTTGAAGAGTACAGGCCACTTTTGTGTTGGACTTGTTTTTTTGTTTTCTGTTTACAGAACATCCTTCAATATGAATTTTTCTGATTCTTCATGGATAGATTTAGGTTATGAAGGTAGAAGTGATGTTGTTTCCTCAGTGAATCATATCAGGGAATCTCAGTGATATCAGCTTTTACCAGTTTTGGTGATATTCATTAGGTGTCTCCACTGTGAAGTTACCGTTTCTTCTTCTTAAAAAATATATCATGGAGGGATATTTTGAAACTGCTCTTCATTAAACTTTTACTCAATGGTTTTAACACCTACTGATTATTGCCTGAATCAATTATTACTAATGTCATTGTTGCAAAATGGTGATTTCCTAGCTGTGACATTCCTTCTCCTTCTTTTATTTCTTTATCTGCACATTTTTAGTATCTGTATGGGCTCTTTTTTCAATCAATGGGTTATAATTCATTGTTCCAGATTCAGCCAGTGGGAGTCCTTCTGGCTGGCCCGAGTCATTTTAACACGTTCCCATCATTTTCTAAGCACTTTTTACTTTCTCAGCCTCAGCCCTGGAATTGGCCAGTTCTCCCTGAATCTGGTTCCTTTTAGTGAACCTTTTTTTCATTAAATATATTTTGGATATTGGTGTATATTAGTACTGGACATTAATAGCTGCAAAGTATTATATAGTGTAGATGTTCCCTAATCTACTTAACATGTCCTCATTGGTTGTTTCTAATCTTTTAATATTACAGACAATTCTGCAATGAACAAATATCTGCATACTTTATTTTGCACATGAATGTGTATATCTGTAGGATTATCATCTAGTAGTGAAATTTTTGCATCAAAGACTTAGGGAATTTTTAATTTAGATAAATACTGAAAAATGTCCTTCAACAGTAGAGGCTATACTAATTTACACTTCTTTCTTTTTTTTTTTTTTTTTTTTCTGAGACGGAGTCTCGCTCTGTCGCCCAGGCTGGAGTGCAATGGCGCGATCTCGGCTCACTGCAACCTCCAACTCCCAGGTTCAAGCGATTCTCCTGCCTCAGCCTCCTGAGTAGCTGGAATTACAGGCATGTGCCAACATGTCTGGCTAATTTTGTATTTTTAGTAGAGATGGGGTTTCACCATGTTGGTCAGGCTCGTCTTGAACTCCTGGCCTCAAGTCATCCACTTGCCTCGGCCTCCCAAAGTGTTGGGATTACAGACATGAGCCACCACACCCGGCCACTAATTTATATTTCTACCAATATCCTATGACTGCAGATTATCAGGCTTACAAATTTAGGTCAAAATTCTGTTTTTTCCACAGTACAGTTAGAGGATTTTAATTTTTCAATTATATTAGTCTACTAGAATAGGCAGTTTAAGAAATATTTTCTTCAACCAGTGATCAAGAGAGAGTGATTAATCCTGCCTATGAGTAGCCCTGATGATGAAGTCAAATTGGATTTGCTTTCTTTTCTTGTTTTATTTTGTTTCATTTTTTCAAAGAGATTAGGTCTTTTTATGTTGTCCAGGCTGACCTCAAACTCCTGGGGTCAAGGGACCCTCCAACCTCAGTCTCCTGAGTAGCTGGGACTACAGGTGCATGTCACCGCACCCAGCTTCAAACTGGATCATTTTTCTAAAGTGCGTGATTATGTTCTTTCTCCAGAAGGCCTGAGCATAACAATGAGTTAGGCTTCCCTTTTGGCTCCTCAAGGTTCAGTTTTCATAGTTTTGTAGCTCTTGAACTTCTGAAAATTTTTGTTTTCTCTCCATGAATATATTTTAGATGGAGACAAAGAATTTGTGCCATACATAGTTGGGTTCTTTTGGAAACTGATATTTGTATTCCAATTACAATAAATTTAATAGTTGAACTATTTTATCAAAGTTATAGAAAACGTGTGCCTTGAACATAGCAGGAATCTCAAACTTTGGTGCTGCCAAGAATAATTTAGACTGCATATCAAAAATGTAGGTTAGTAGGCTTATCCTGAGAGGTATGGTCCAGATATTTACATATAAAGAAGCTAACCTGGGATTTTCTGACGCAATGATCCCAGAACCACACTTTCAGAAATATAACATTAAATTATTACTGATAGATTGTAGTCCCTTTTTTTAAGAGACAGGGAAGTCCAGGCATGGTGGCTCACACCTGTAATCCCGGCACTTTGGGAGGCCAAGGCAGGCCTATCATCTGAGGTCAGGAATTAAAGACCAGCCTGGCCAACATGGTGAAACCCCGTCTCTACTAAAAATACAAAAATTATCCGGGCATGGTGGCGCATGCCTGTAATCCCAGATACTTGGGAGGTTGAGGCAGAAGAATCGCTTGAAACCAGGAGGCGGAGGTCGCAGTGAGCTGAGATCATGCCACTGCACTCTATCCTGGGCGACAGAGCGAGACTTCGTCTCAAAAAAAAAAAAAAGAGAGAGACAGGGTATTGTTATGTTGTCCAGGCTGGTCTCAAACTCCTGGGCTCGAGCAATCCTTCCGACTCGGCCTCCCAAAGTGCTGGGATTACAGGCATGAGTGTCCCATATTTTTAATGTGGTCTAGGAAACCCATTTCAATGGAAAAGTGCTTCTTTATTTTTATTTTTATTTTTATTTTTAGATGGAGTCCTGCTCTGTTGCCCAGGGTGGAGTGCAGTGGTGCGATCTCAGCTCACTGCAACCTCCACCTCCTGGGTTCAAGCGATTCTCCCGTCTCAGCCTCCGGAGTAGCTGGGATCACAGGTGCCTGCCACCATGCCTGGCTAATTTTTGTATTTTTAGTAGATACAGAGTTTCACCATGTTGGCCAGGCTGGTCTCAAACTCCTGAGATTCTGATCCGCCTGCCTCAGCCTCCCAAAGTGCTGGGATTACAGGCGTAAGCCACTGCGCCCGGCCTGAAAAATGCTTCTTTATTTAGAAGGATTCATGGTTTTGAAATGTGTTGTTCTATTTAAACCCAAGAAATAATGTTTGAATGGCTAACATTTTCCTGAAGATTTATAGCACATGCCCACACACTGTTCTTAGCAAATTCCATGTATGTATTAACTTACATACTCTTCAGAAGCCTATGAGGTTAGTGCAACTACCCCCATTTTACAGATAAGGAAACAGGGGCATAAGAGGTCAAGTAACTTGCCACAGTCACACATTAGTCCCATAGCTAATAAGTGGTAGAGCCAGGATTCAAACCTTCTCAATCAAGCTCCAGGTTTAGTCATTACACTATGAACTCAAGAGGACTCAATTTTCGCACCTAAAAAGTAGTTTGGCCATAAATGATAGGAACTCTCTGCCCAACTCAATGGAGAGAGTGAAACTGTTTGTCTAGATAAGGCCTTTGGTCTGTTAAAGGACTAAAGCTCTGCTTGGTTAATACAATTTATTTTATTTTATTTTATTTTATTTTCAGACAATCTCACTCTGTTGCCCAGGCTGGAGTGCAATGGCATGATCTCAGCTCACTGCATCCTTCGCCTCCCAGGTTCAAGCAATTCTCTGCCTCAGCCTCCCAGGTAGCCGGAATTACAGGCGCTGGCCACCACACTCGGCTAACTTTTGTATTTTTAGTAGAGATGAGACAGGGTTTCACCATATTGGCCAGTCTGGTCTCGAACTCCTGAACTCAAGCAATCTGCCCACCTCAGCCTCTCAAAGTGGTGGGATTACAGGCGTGAGCCACTGTGCCTAAGTAATACAATTTATTTTTATCTTTTATTTTCTTATTTTATGAGATGGTCTCTCATTCTGTTGCCCAGGCTGGAGTGCAGTGGCACCATCTCAGCTCTGCAACCTCTGCCTCCTGGGTTCAAGCGATTCTCCTGCCTCAGCCTCCTGAGTAGCTGGGACTACAGGTGTGCACCACCATGCTCAGATAATTTTTGTTTATTTATTTATTTATTGAGATGGAGTCTCGCTCTGTCACTCGCCCAGGCTGGAGTGTGATGGCGCGATCTCAGCTCACTGCAACCTCCACCTCCTGGGTTCAAGCCATTCTCCCACCTCAGCCTCCTGAGTAGCTGGGATTACAGGTGTGCACCACCATGCCCAGCTAATTTTTGTATTTTTGTAGAAATGGGGTTTCACCATGTTGGCCAGGCTGGTCTTGAGCTCTTGACCTCAGGTGATCCACCCACCTCGGCCTCCCAAAGTGCTGGGATTATAGGCATGAGCCACTGTGCCCAGCATATTTTTGTGTTTTTAGTAGAGACGGGGTTTCACCATGTTGGACAAGTTGATCTGGAACTCCTGACCTCAAATCATTCGGTTGCCTCGGCCTCCCAAAGTGCTGAGATTACAGGCGCCAACCACCATGCCTGGCCAGTTAATACAATTTGATGACACTGTGAAATTTGAAAGTAAGGATAGACAATTTCATGCTAGTCATAAGGCATGTTATTAGCTATGTATATTCATTATATATGAACTAGTGATAGGATGAAATAATTATAAAAAAGTTTTTTCGTCTATTATCTGTTTTGTTGTTGTTGTTGTTGTTGTTGTTGTTTGTTTTAGACAGAGTCTCACTTTGTTGCCCAGGCTGGAGTGCAGTTGCACTATCTCAGCTCACTGCAACCTCTGCCTCCCAGGTTCAAGTGATTCTCCTGCCTCAGCCTCCCGAGTAGCTGGGGTTACAGGTGCGTGCCACCATGCCCGGCTAATCTTTGTATTTTTAGTAGAGATTAGAGATGGGGTTTCGCCATGTTGACCAGGCTGGTCTCAAACTCCTGACCTCAAGTGATCTGCCTGCCTCAGCCTCTCAAAGTGCTGGGATTATAGGCATTAGCCACCACACCTGGCCATGTATTAATTCTTGAAAAGTCGATCAGGGGATCAGTTAAAATTAAAATGCCAAAATAGACCTCAAAGTGTGACTTTCTTTAAAAAGAAAAAAAAAAGGGTGACTTTCTTTAAATAAAGCCAATAAAATAGTTATCATCTTGGGCAGTATTTCAGATGTCTCTCAGAACCCTTATAACTTCACATTTTCAAGGGTATTTATTGAAGTTTTTTTTATTTTTTTTATTTTTTATTTTTATTTTATTTTATTTTATTTTTTAGACAGAGCCTTGCTCTCTGGCCCAGGCTGGAGTACAGTGGTGTGATTTCAGCTCACTGCAACCTCCGCCTCCTGGGCTCAAGCAATTCTCCTGCCTCAGCCTCCCGAGTAGCTAGGACTACAGGTGCACACCACCATGCCCGGCTAATTTTTGTATTTTTAGTAGAGATAGGGTTTCACCATGTTGGCCAGGCTGGTCTGAAACTCCTGACCGCCAGTTTTCCACCCACCTCGGGTGGAAAAAAGTGCTAGGATTACAGGCATGAGCCACTGGGCCCGGCCGTGAAGCAAAGATTATTCTTGGACAACATTGCATCTATGAGTACTACAGTGAATAACAAATTATTTATGGCTCATAATTTCTCATAAAACACTTCACCTACAGTGAGTAACATATAAATATTGTTCATGGATTGTCAAGTAGAAAAAAAATGAACAGAACACAAATTTATATCATGCCATGGGATTAAAAAGATATTTTTCCCATTATACATAAATCATAACATAGAAAATAAAGTTCTTTCAAACTTCATAGTGCAGCATTTGTCAGTAGTGTGCTATTTGTGTATGTGTGGCTTAAAAAATATTTTTCTAGGCCAGGCGTGGTGGCTCACGCCTGTAATCCCAGCACTTCGGGAGGCTGAGGCGGACAAATTACGAGGTCAGGAGTTCGAGACCAGCCTGGCCAACATGGGGAAACCCCATCTCTACTAAAAATACAAAAATTAGCCAGGCATGAGGGCAGGCCTGTAATCCCACCTATTCAGGAGGCTGAAGCAGGAGAATCGCTTGAATCTGGGAGGCAGAGGTTGCAGTGAGCCAAGATGGCACCACTGCACTCCAACCTGGGCAACAGTGCGAGACTGTGTCTCAAAAAAAGAAAAAAAAAATTTTTTTTTTTTTTTTCGAAACTGACAAATTATAATTGTATATATTTACGGGGTACAAAGTGATGTTATAATTTATGAATGCAATGTGAAATAACTGAATAAAGATAATTAACATACCCATCACCTCAAATACTTATTGTTTTTTGTGGTGGGAACATTTAAAGTTTACTCTCTTAGCAATTTTTAAATGTACAATACATTATTATTAACTATATTCCTTCATAGTTCTCAAAAGCAAACTTATTACTCCTATATGAGACTTTGTACACTTTGACCTATCTTCTCCTATCCCCCAACCCCCAGTCTCAGATAACCACCACTCTACTCTCTGCTGAGTTCGATGGTTTTAGATTCCACATATAAACGAGAAAATGTGGTTCTTTTTTTTTTTTTTGAGACAGAGTCTTACTTTGTTGCCCAGGCCGGAGTGCAATGGTGCAATCTCAGCTCACTCCAACCTCCATCTCCTGGGTTTAAGCAGTTCTCTTGCCTCAGCCTCGTGAGTAGCTGGGAATACAGGTGCATGCCACCACACCTGGCTAATTTTTGTATTTGTAGTACAGATGGGTTTTCACCACATCGGCCAGGCTGGTCTCAAACTCCTGACCTCAGGTGATCCGCCCACCTCAGCCTCCCAAAGCGCTGGGATTACAGGCATGAGCCACTGTCCCTGACTGAAAATGTGGTATTTTCCATGCCTGACTTATTTCACTTAGCATAGCGTTCACCAGCTCCATTCAAGTTGTCACAAATCAAACAGTTTCCTGCTTTTTAAAGACTGAATAATATTTCATTGTGTAGAATAAATAATATTCCATTTTCTTTATCCATTCATCTATTGATGGACACTGGTTGATTTCATAATTTAGCTATTGTGAATAGTGCTGCAACACACAGAGGAGTGCAGACATCTCTTCAACATACTGATGAAGAGACATACTGATGATTTCAAGCCTTTTGGGTAAATACCCAGCAATGGGGTTGCTAGATCATATGGTAATTCTATTTTTAGTTTTTTGAGGACCCTTTAGTTTCCCATAATGGCCGTATTAATTTACATTCTCACCAACAGTGTTCAACATTTCCCTTTTCTCCACATCCTCGCCAACATTTGTTATCTCCTGTCTTTTTGATAGTACTCATTCTGACAGGTGTGAGGTGATATCTCATTGTGGTTTTGATATGCTTTTCCCGAATGATTATCAATGTTGAAAATGTTTTCATATAACTGTTGAACACTTGTATGTTGTGTTTTGATAAATGTCTATTCAGGTCCTTTGCCCATTTTAAAATCACGTTATGTTTTCTTGCTATTGAGTTGAGTTTCTTAAATGTTTTGGATATTGACCCTTACCAGATGTGTGGTTTGCAATACATTCTCCCATTCCATAGGTTGTCTCTTTACTCTGCTGACTGTTTCCTTTGCTGAGCAGAAGCTTTATAGTTTGATGTAATCCCATTTGTCTATTTTTGCTTTTGTTGTCTAGGCTTTTGGAGTGAAATCCAAAAAATCATTGCCCAGACCCAGACCAATGTCAAGAAGTTTTTCCATTTTTTTTTTCTAGTAGTTTTACAGTTTCAGGTCTTATGTTTAAGTCTTTAATCCATATTGAGTTGATTTTTTTTTTTTTTTTTTGAGACGGAGTCTCGCTCTGTCGACCAGGCTGGAGTGCAGTGGTGTGATCTCAGATCACTACAACCTCCACCTCCCGGGTTCAAGCAATTCTTGTGCCTCAGCCTCCCAAGTAGCTGGGATTACAGGCATGTGCCACTATACCCAGCTAATTTTTGTATTTTTAGTAGAGACGGGGTTTCACCATGTTGGCCAGGATGGTCTCGATCTCCTGACCTCGTGATCCGCCCGCCTCGGCCTCCCAAAGTGCTGGGATTACAAGCGTGAGCCACTGTGCCCAGCCTTGAGTTGATTTTTATATAATTCCGCACAATTTTTAAATGATAAGAATTAAACTAATTCTATTTTAGAAAAGAATTAAGAAATTTTAAATTAATACAATCACTTAATAAATGCTTATTAAATACCTATTATGTGCCAAGATTTGTGCTAGGCACTGAACTTTGATGTAAGTATATTCTTCTAATTTTATTGATGAAGATGTGGTAACTTTAAGCATTTCTCTGGAGGATCTCAAGTCACACAGTGGCACAGCAAGTATTTAAACACTCATTTCTTTGATCCAAAGCTGAGCTCATTGCATTTACTATAATAATTTGGATTACAGATGAATACTTGATTTTACTAAACGAATTACTATATGAGCCCTTTACATAATGGGCTCCCATAGGACTTTACACTTTATTTTTCTTACAAGATTCAGTAATAAATCTATCATGAAAGCCATTTTACCACCGTGCCTTGTGCAGGGTAGAGCTCATTACATGTTGATGAATGAAAGTAGTTCAAGTAGACTTGTTGTTACACATGGCTAGATTAAAGTTCTCTGTTTTAATTTACTCTTTAAGCTTTACATGGCCTATGTGTAAATCCAGGAAAGTAATTCATCTTAGAATTATTGTGAGAAATAAATGAGATAATGCTTGCATGGGCTGGGCGTGTTGGCTCTCTCCTGTAATCCCAGCAGTTTGGGAGGCCAACGAAGGTGGATCACTTGAAGTCAAGCATTCCAGACGAGCCTGGTCAACATGGTGAAATCCCGTCTCTGACAAAAATACAAACATTAGCTGGGCATGGTGGTACACACCTGAAATCCCAGCTATTTGGGTGGCTGAGGCATGAGAATCACTTGAACACTGCAACATTTGAGGTTGCAGTGAGCTGAGATTGTGCCACTGCACTCCAGTCTGGGCAACAGAACAAGACTCTGTCTCGAAAAGAAAAAAAAAAAAGATAAGGCATGTATGGCACCAGGCACTCAATAAAAACTTTTTTTGTTTTTTTTTTTTAAGAAATAATATGTTTAGGTGTATTTAGGCTATAAATTGAGATTTTAGATACACATTGGTGGGTAGATCTAAGAATTATTGAGAAGGGAGAATCATTAGGACCACTGGGGACAAGTAAGAGAAAGGAGTCATTGATAGATATAGATTATAGGCTTGACGTTTGCTGAGTAATGTGTGCTTAATGTGGCTGGGCATGGTGGTTCAAGACTATAATCTCAGCACTTTGGGAGGTTAAGGTGGGAGAATTGCTTGAGCCCAGGAGTTTGAGACCAGTCTGAGCAACATAGCAAGACTCCATCTCTACAAAAAATAAAAATTAGCCAGGCATGGTGGTGCATTCTTGTAGTCCCAACTACTCAGGAGGCTGAGGTGAGAGGATCACCTGAGCCCAGGAGGTAGAGGCTGCATTGAGCCATGTTTGCACCACTGCACTCCAGCCTGGGTGACAGAGCAAGTCCCTGTCTCAAAACAAAACAAAACAAAACAAAACAAAAAAACATAAATGAGGAAGTTAGAAAGGAATATTGGATTGCAGATATAAGGCATCTAGAAAGGGAAGATGATCTGGGGAGAAGAGATATAGGATTTAGAGAGGGAAAGATAGAAATCGTGTATTAGTTAGATGATAGATGGATGAATTAATATATGAACAAATTATTTCAAATTATATTTATTGAGTGCTAGGTACTATGAATTTATTGCCCAAAGGTAGCAGATCCATGAGGGTGGCTATAAATATTTCTATATAAATTTATATGGAATTTCTATAAAAGAGAAGTTTTGGGGTAGCAACCAAGTTGTAAAGGTGTGTGAAGAGGGGTCTGGGTGGGGAAGGGTATTTGTTTTCATTCTGTAATCCCTTAGCACTCTAGATCAGATTGAGAAAATGTCAAATAGGAGGGAGGGGCACTGATGAGATGAGATTACAGATGGAATTAATCCCCATCAGGATAACTCTCAACTCTGCCACTGCACTCAAACACCTATAACCAAACAATAATAAATTAATGAGATACTCATTTTATCAGATCTATAGCATGATAGGAGGGAGGCAGGAGCATTTAATTCTCCATGAAGAGAATGTGTGTGGTTGGAGAGTAGATGAGGGAAAGATTTCACAAAAAGGTGTGATTTTAGTTGATTTTTTTTTTTTAAGATGGAGTCTTGCTCTGTTGCCCAGGCTGCGATGCAGTGGCACAATCTTGGCTTGAATCCGCCTCCTGGGTTCAAGCGATTCTCCTGCCTCAGCCTCCTGAGTAGCTGGGATTACAGGCATGCACCACCACGCCTGGCTAATTTTTGTATTTTTAGTAGAGAAGGGGTTTCACCATATTAGCCAGGCTGGTCTTGAACTGACCTCAGGTGATCCACTTGCCTCAGCCTTGCAAAGTGTTGGGATTATAGGTGTGAGCCACCTGACTCTTATTTATTACTCTTGAAGAAGGTAATTAATATTCTAAATACATGCTCTGAATAAAAGTCTTCAAAGACACAGAGAAGCTGGAGATCTTAGCAGACTGTTCAGAATCTGATGAAGTGGGAGTAATCTGGAGATGAAGGACAAGCAGTGGCCCAATCATGATAGGCTTGCATGTTATGTCAAAAGTTTTGAAATCCATCCTGTTACTGATGGGAATGGCTGGAGAACTTTAGGCACAGGAATGACAATGATAAAATCTTACATAACATTTTTGAGCTACTTATAAGGCTGAGGCAGGAGGATCATTTGAGCCCAAGAAGTTCAGGGCTGCAGTAAGTCACAATCACACCACTGCACTCCAACCCAGGTGACAGAGCAAGGCCTTGTCTTTAAAAATAATAAAATTTAAAACATAACATTTTTGGAAGATCAAAGAACCATACATATGAAAGAAATACAAGCAACATGACCACCGTAGTCCTTTCATTACAAATGGGAAATTATGAAAAAAATAAAGCAAAATCCCTGTTCTCACAGAATTTATGTTCTAATGAATGGGTAGAGGCAGGCGTGGTGGCTCAAGTCTGTAATCCCAGCACTTTGGGAGGCCGAGGCGGGCTGATCACGAGGTCAGGAGATCAAGACCATCTTGGCCAACATGGTGAAACCTGTCTATACTAAAATACAAAAAATTAGCTGGGCGTGGTGGCGCATGCCTGTAATCCCAGCTACTCGGGAGGCTGAGGCAGGGGAATCGCTTGAACCCAGGAGGCGGAGGATGCAGTGAGCTGAGATCAGGTCAGTGCACTCCAGCCTGGGTGATAGAGCGAGACTCCGTCTCAAAAAAAAAAAAAAAAAAAAAAAAAAAAAAAATATATATATATATATATATATGTATATGTATATATGTATGTGTGTGTGTGTATATATATAAATATATGTAAATAAATATAAATATATATAAATACATATAAATAAATAAATATATATATAAGCATACTATGTATGTACTGCGTCGTTTGGCAGTCATTTTGCTAAGTGCAGATGACACAAAGAAGAGCAAAAAGCAACATCCCACTTCTAGAGCTGAGAGTTGCAGCACATGTGAGTGAGGGCTCAAATCCTGGGCCAGGAACCCATGATGGAGAGTTCCATTGCTGCTGGGCTTCATGTGTCTGATTTAGAGTTAATGCAATCCTGTCTGTTGTGGAGAGTGCACGAAGGCATATGAAAAGGGGAGAAGCAGACCGGGCGCGGTGGCTCACGCCTGTAATCCCAGCACTTTGGGTGTCCGAGGCGGGTGGATCACGAGGTCAGGGGTTCGAGACCAGCACGGCCAAGATGGTGAAACCCCGTCTCTACTAAAAGTACAAAAATTAGCCAGGTGTGGTGGCGGGCGCCTGTAATCCCAGCTGCTCGGGAGGCTGAGTCAGAGACTCGCTTGAACCCGGGAGGCAGAGGTTGCAGTGAGCCGAGATCGCACCACTGCACTCCAGCCTGGGCGAAAGAACGAGGCTCCGTCTTAAAAAAAAAAAAAGGCGGGGGAGGAGCAGCATATTCACAGTAAGGAGAAATGACTGTCATTGTGTTTACTGACGTTTCTCTAGGGAAGAAGCCCTGGCCAAATCCCACCCTTCAACCCCCCAGGGGCCTAACAGAAGAATGCACATCCTCGGGAGCTACCTAAATCTACTGAATTACAATGCATATGGGCGGGGCCCAGGAATCTGCAGTTTAATAACGAATATCCCCAGGCCATTGTTATGTACGCTTAAGACCTGAGAACCATTGGCCTCTCCAACCTTTTCTCACTTCACCTATTAAAAGCCCTATTTTATAGAGGAGGAAATTGAGGCATAGGTTAATTAACTTGCTAAAGTCACATGGAACCTAGACCAGCTGGAATCTAGACCAGCTTGAGATACAGTTCTTTTCTTTTTCTTTCTTTCTTTTTTTTTTTTTTTGAGAGACGGAGTCTTACTCTTACTCTGTCGCTCAGGCTGGAGTGCAGTGGCGTGATCTCGGCCCACTGCAACCTCCGCTTCCCGGGTTTAAGCGATTCTCCTGCCTCAGCTTCCCAAGTGGCTGGGACTACAGGCGTGCGCCACCACACCCAACTAATTTTTGTATTTTTGTTTTTTTTAAGTAGAGACGGGGTTTCACCATGTGTTGGCCAGGCTGGTCTCGAACTCCTGACCTCAGACTCGGCCTCCCAAAGTGCTTGGATTACAAGGTGTGAGTCACCGCGCCCGGCCAGCTCTTAGTCTTAAACCCAACAGTACGTTATCTCCTTTTGCTAACTGATTTGTTGCTAAAACTTCAACAAGCACTGGACTTGGAGTTTGAACACTTAGTCTGAGGGCCCACTATGTTCAGTCTAGTGAGTCTGAGCAATTAACTCACATTTTGAATTTCAAGTCTCTCGCCTTAGGCAAAACACCACCACCTGATGCTCACCAGAGGGGCGTGACGCGGCAGCTGGGCAGGGAAGGGATGGGAAGGGATGGGAAGGGAGGCGATCGATAACTCCGGTGTGCCGCTGACTGTTGGATTGGCTCGAACTTCTCCCGCCAGGCCTAACCTACTCCCGCGCACTCCTGGGCCCGCCCAGCCGCCATCTTGGTCTAGGAGGGAGCGCGCCGCACGCGTGAGTAAACAGCCGGAGCTGGGAAAGTCGAGCTCTGGCAGCGTCTGGGTGCTGAGGGGCAGAGGCGGAGAGAACCCTGTCCTGATCTTCCTAGGTGGGATAAATATCGGGGTGACAGTGGTAGGCCGCGGGGAACCCTCAGTCTGCCCACCCTCCGCCCCCTCGCGGCGAGATGCCTCGTTCCCCGGGCTTCTCCCGCCCTCCGCCGATCTCCTCCCTCTGTTGAAAGCTGCCCGGGAAAGTGGTGGCGGGAGCGGGCCCAGGCCCGAATGTGGCGTGGGCTCAGGTGTCTGGTGTCGGGCGCCGGAGGAGGTTCGCGCTGGGGTTTGGTGATTCGGAGGCCTGGGGTGCAGACGCGGCGTGGCTGTGAGGCCCGGGCGGGCGTGCGGGTGTGAGGGCCGGACTCACACTGGGCCGCCGCGGGGCTGTTTCCATCGGTCACTGGATTTTCTCCTCTTCCGGTTCGGGCCTCAGGGTGGCCGACATGACGGCCAGGGGTCAGAGCCCCCTCGCGCCGCTGTTGGAGACTTTGGAAGACCCTTCTGCCTCCCATGGAGGGCAGACTGACGCTTACCTGACTCTGACCAGGTGAGGTCCGCCACGGGGCGTAGCGGAGAGTGGGGCGCTCTATAGTGGGGAGAAAGAAGGTGGTTGGGAGGGGCGCGTAGAATGAATGTGAGTTCTAGAAGTCTAGCAAATGTGAGGACGCCCGAGTCGCGGACGCCTTGGGGGGCGGGGGAGATGTATTCTAGGTGACGTTCCCGGGTACTGCTGCTGCTGCGCTTGAGGTGTGTGTTTGGAACGAGGGAGCATGCACGTGTGTTTTGCAAGCGAGGGATTTTTAAAAGTTTCGGTTGGAAGTAGTTGTTGGAGGAGGGGTCTTCAGTGTAAACCTCCGATGTGTTGGGAAAATGTGGCTACCCAGAGTTTTTTTAACAGAGCAATACACTGATTTTTATTAATTGCAAAATGCTTCAAAGTAATTTTCATAGAAATGTACTAAAGTTTTGTAAAACCCTTTGGAAAGGCTTAGCAAATCGTTAGTAACTAGGAATAGGGATCCCTGTTCTGTCTTTTTGGAGTCAGGTTGTCACAACTTGCATGTACTCGATGTAAAAACTTATTCTGAGGGTTTTTCTACTTTCATTTCTGATATATATTGCATTATATATTCTGTATACCCTTAAGGACCTTACCTACTGGGTCAATTCATTTGCAGGAGTTAGAAAGTAATTTTTAAAAAGATTGTACATGTATTTTTGAGAGTATTTTTTTTTTTCCTGTCAACTACTTAAACTTGTGTTCTTCCTGCTTTTTAAGTCGTATGACTGGAGAAGAAGGAAAAGAAGTAATTACAGAAATTGAGAAAAAACTTCCTCGGCTGTACAAAGTTTTAAAGGTATGTATCTGTTTGTTAAACAGTTTTTCACTTTTGGTAGTTTGGTTTTTTTTTTTGGTTTTGTTTTTTTGTTTTGAGGTGTAGTTTTGCTCTTGTTGCCCAGGCGAGAGTGCAATGGCTCAGGCTCGGGCTCGGCTCACTGAAACCTCCGCCTCTCGGGTTCAAGCGATTCTCTTGCCTCAGCCTCCTGAATAGCTGGGATTATAGGCATCCGCCACCGCCCCGGCTAATTTTGTATTTTTAGTAGAGAAGGGGTTTCTCCATGTTGGTCAGGCTGGTCTCGAACTCCCGACCTCAGGTGATCCGCCTGCCTCAGCCTCCCAAAGTGTTGGGATTACAGGAGTGAGCCACTGTGTCCAGCCACTTTTGGTGGTTTTTAAAAGTTTTGCCAGTTGACTCAAAAGCTTTGAATCTAAAATAACAGCAATAATACTGATTATAATACTCTTTATTGTTACTTAAAGCTTCTCAGGTACTTTCTTAATTACCTTACACGCTTTATCACTTAACTCTCCATGGTTCCATGAGATTATTTCTTAATGATCACTTTGCAGGTGAAGAAATTAATTTAATTTGCCTAAAGTTGCCTAGGGGCACTTGAATCTGAGTTTGTGCTCTTGAAAGCAGAGATCAGAGATTAATCTGTTTTCTTTCCTTTTGGGAATCTACATCTAAGTAAGTGCTTCTAAAATTACAATTGTCTTTGGTCTAATCTAGGTAGCATTAATTTCTTTTTCCTCATTCACCCTCAGTTTTTGCTACAACCGTTATCATTTTTGCTTTAGGGAAATGATGTTTGACATCATACTGTGGACCTGTGTTCCTGTCTTCACTTGCCTACTTAATGGCTTCCTGACTATCCTTAACATCTTTTAAATTTCCTTGTTTTTAGAATGAAAAAGTTGAACTTTTATCTCCAAAGTTTGAGTTCTCATTTTTATGACCTTGTTCTCTTTTTTTAATTTTTTTTGTTTGTTTTTATTATGACCTTGTTCTTGTGCTTTTATTTTTGTTTTTAATTTTTAAAATTGAGGTGGGGGTCTTGATAGGTTGCCTAAGCCAGTCTTGAACTCCTGGGTCCAAGCGATCCTCCCACCTCAGCCTCCTTAGTAGCTGAGATTACAAGTAGGTGCCACCATGCCCAGCTTTTGTGCTTTTTGTTTGTTTGAGACAGAGTCTTGCTGTGTCGCCCGTGCTGGAGTGCAGTGGCACAATCTCAGCTCACTGCAACCTCTGCCTCCCAGGTTCAAGTGATTCTCCCGCCTCAGCCTCCTGAGTAGCTGGGATTACAGGCATGCCCCCACCACACCCAGCTAATATTTTTAGTAGAGACGGGCTTTCACCATGTTGACCAGGCTGATCTTGAACTCTTGACCTCAGGTGATCCACCCGCCTTGGCCTCTCAGAGGGCTAGGATTATAGGTGTGAGCCACCGTGCCCAGCCGTGTGCCTTTAAACAAGTGTTTCATCCAGACATGTACATTTTAACGTGATTTTTGGCGAAGTATTAACAGAGATACTGCCTACTCTTGGTGGTGTCACAGTCATCAACATTTTTTGTGTAAGCAGAAACTTTATTGTGTGCTAGTTACTTAATATCAGTGTTTATTCCATTTTCTTCATTATCATATTCCATATTATAATAATTAGATGTGAAGACATGCACTTTCGTGTATTGAGTATTTATAGGATCAGGAATTCTATTGCATACTTTTTTTTTTTTTGAGACGGAGTTTTGCTCTTGTTGCCCAGGCTGGAGTGCAATGGCTTGAACACCTCCTGGGTTCAAGCCGTTCTCCTGCCTCAGCCTCTCAAGTAGCTGGGGTTACAGGCATGTGCCACTACGCCCAGCTACTTTTTTTTTTGTATTTTTAGTAGAGACGGGGGTTTCTCCATGTTGATCAGGCTGGTCTCGAACTGCCGACCTCAGGTGATCCGCCCACCTTGGCCTCCCAAAGTAAGCCTGGGCCATTGTGCCCAGCCTTACTGCATACATTTTGAGTCAAGTTGCATTGTTCGTAAATAGGATTTGTACCTGAAATTATTTGGATGCACATGGAAGGTTGATAATAGGACAATAAGCAATTTTAAGCAATGAAAGGATAATTGAATTCTTTCAGAGTAGGAACCATACCAGGTAAAATAGAACATGTTTATATGTCGTGTTCAGAGTTCAGCTAGGATTGTGTCTAGGAATCTACAACATTCTTGAAAATGAGACACATCATCGTTAAGGAACACTTTCAAGTAAGTTTAATGAAGATTAATCACAAACATTTACTAGCTGTTATCCAGGAGATACACTAGTAGCTCTCAAAGTATTAAGCCTTACTTAGTTGCTTACAACTGGTTGCTGTGCTATATCCCTTACATTCTGTACTCTAGGATTTGCATTTTTTGGCTTCGTTTTGTAAATATAGAAGACACTGCAGGGAAGTATCTGCTCATATATTTAACCATTTACATTTGCTATTCTTCCTGCTCAAGAATAACAATTGAAGATTCCTTGGATATTTGATTCAAATAGATATGGGGGTTTTGAAGATAAATCCCTTTGGAGTAGGAAATGGTACAAGGGAAATGGGGTACAGGGTAAAAGTAAACTTTCATATTGAGATACTCTTTGACAGATTTGGCCTTTTATAGCTTTTACATAAATGGTATGAGTTGGGCTTTAAATTCTAGATTGACAGCCAGGCACGGTGGCTCACGCCTGTAATCCCAGCACTTTGGGAGGCCTGAGGCGGGTGGATCACCTGAGGTCAGGAGTTTGAGACCAGCCTGGCCAACATGGTGAAACCCCATCTCTACAAAAAATACAAAAATATAGGCATGGTGGCGCGCGCCTGTCATCCCAGCTGCTCTTGAACCTGGGAAGCAGAGGTTGCAGGGAACTGAGATTACACCATTGCACTCCAGCCTGGGCAACAAGAGCGAAACTCTGTCTCAAAAAAAAAAAAAATTTCTAGATTGACATGGATTGAAATTCTCTTATGTATAAGGTTTAAAAAATTGTTTTATTTTACTATTAATTGAGATAATAATAGATACTTTATAAACGTTACATTCTAACCCCTTCCTTCTCCCAGTCTTAGAGGAAGAGATGTCACTCCACTCTAAAGCTAGGATGTTAGCTTTTGGATTTGAGTCTCTTGTTTACTCAGTGGAAGGGCCTTGCTCCCTTTTCCCTGTCATGTCTTTAGCATCTTTCATCTGTTGACCTCTTTGCTTTCATAGGTGTAGAGATATCCTTTATCTTCATTCAGGTGATCTCGATCCAGTTTCCTCTCCTTTCTTTACCAAGCTGTACACATGGCCTTTGGATTTTATTCCTTGTTTATTTTTATTTTTATTTTTTATGCGTATTCTCAAGGATTTGTTGGAGTAACATGATGAATATGCTTGTTCTGTAATCAACTTCTGCTTTCTAAAAATTGATTTACAGTTGTGCTTGTTTGTAATAAATGTGATTTTGTTTTTGTAGACTCACATTTCCAGTCAAAACTCGGAGCTGAGTAGTGCTGCTCTACAAGCCCTGGGGTTTTGCTTATATAATCCCAAAATTACCTCAGAATTATCAGGTAGATAAATTTCTTATGACTTAATATTTTTAGAGTATAAAGTATAAGTTTTAAGTATAAGTAGTTTGATGCTGTTAAAAGTACTGTTATGTCTGGATTAGTTTCAGAACCTGTAGTTTAAGGTTTGCTTTTAAGAAAGAAAGAATGGCTGGGTGTGGTGGCTCACGCCTGTAATCCTAGCACTTTGGGAGGCCGAGGCGGGTGGATCATGAGGTCAGGAGATCGAGACCATCCTGGCTAACATGGTGAAACCCCGTCTGTACTAAAAATACAAAAAATTAGCCGGGCACCGTGGCGGGCGCCTGTAGTTCCAGCTACTCGGGAGGCTGAGGCAGGAGAATGACGTGAACCCGGGAGGCGGAGTTTGCAGTGAGTCGAGATCGTGCCATTGTACTCTAACCTGGGTGATAAGTGAGACCCCATCTCAAAAAAAAAAAAGAATGTTTAGATTATCATTACCTACACATAGCTCTAACTTCGATACTACAAAATTTGCTCTTAAAAATAATGGTATTTGACAAAAGATTAGCCGGGCGTGGTGGCAGGTGCCTGTAGTCCCATCTGCTGGGGAGGCTGAGGCAGGAGAATGGCGTGAACCTGGCAGGCAGAGCTTGCCACTGCACTCCAGACTGGGACTCTGTCTCAAAAAAAAAAAAAAAAAAAAAAGGATATTGCTGGGTGCAGTGTCTCATGCCTGTAATCCCAGCACTTTGGGAGGCCGAGGCGGGTGGATCACCTAAGGTCGGGAGTTCGAGACCAGCCTGGCCAACCTGGAGAAACCCCGTCTCTACTAAAAATACAAAAAAAATTAGCTGGGTGTGGTGGCGCATTCCTGTAATCCCAGCTACTCGGGAGGCTGAGGCAGGAGAATCGCTTGAACCTGGGAGATGGAGGTTGCAGTGAGCCAAGGTGTTGCCATTGCACTCCAGCCTGGGCAAGAGTGAAACTCCGTCTCAAAAAAAATCAAATGAAAAGGGTATTTAAACATGATTGCTGTAAAAAGGGAAACTTTTATTCAGGCATATGCACTAAGGAATATGCTGAATTGAAAAGTTCTTTGACATGATAAATGTGGGATAATTTGGAACTAAAAGTGGTAATGAAAGCACAGAACCTAATGCTTTCCAAGTTTTCAAGTAGTCTGCACTGTTGCTCCATAGTTAGATGATTTCCATTGTAAAGGAAACCCTTATCTTTAGAGAAGGGAAGTTAGGAATAAAGATGTCAAAGTTGTTACCATCTGTTTTTGAGGGAAAAGCTGCTGCCTGCTCTTTTTTATACATGGAAGTGTTAGCAACCTAAAGCAGGAGTTGTTCATTTTGGAGCAGAGATGCAGGATTGAAAACATCTTACCAAAAATTGTCTTGTATGTTCAAACCTACAGTGATATCTAGTTATTTCAGTTGCACAAGATATCTGATTTGGTGTCTGTTGTTTTATTTTCTCTCAGTATATCCTCCCCTCTAATCTGAATTTTGTGTTTTTGGGAGAAGTTTGGTATCAGCATTGGTTCTCTGATCTGTTCTCTGGATATACATTTAATTTTATGATTGATGAGTATATTGTTTTCTCTAGTTTTATATTTGAGACTTTAAAGAGTATCACCTATTCTATACAAAATTAAAACTGCTTGTTTTTCAGAGGCAAATGCTCTAGAATTGCTTTCAAAATTGAATGATACCATTAAGAATTCAGACAAAAATGTACGTACTAGAGCACTTTGGGTGATATCTAAGCAGACATTTCCCTCTGAAGTGGTTGGCAAAATGGTGAGTATAGTTTTTGGGTATGCCATCTTAACTATATGCCAATTAAAAGAAAAAACTATAATGCCAATAAAAACAGTTCAGGCTTATTTCATTTGTATTTATTTGGTTCGTTTTTTAGGTATCCAGTATAATTGATTCATTAGAAATACTGTTTAACAAAGGAGAGACGCATTCTGCTGTTGTTGATTTTGAAGCATTAAATGTTATCGTAAGGTATGCATTTGGATGTTGTGCAAATTGAAGAATAGT
Source organism: Homo sapiens (assembly GCF_000001405.40). Lineage (NCBI taxonomy): Eukaryota > Metazoa > Chordata > Mammalia > Primates > Hominidae > Homo > Homo sapiens. The sequence goes on from NC_000002.12 coordinate 151,416,938, forward strand.
TTTCATAAATTTAGCTGAAGGAGAGGGTTTTTGGGATTTAAATGAGAGACAGACATTAAAAGGGGGGAATGTCATTTACACCAAACGACTCAAGGACAAAAAGTAATAGAAAAAAGATGGAAGTAGATATGTGTGGGTTACTAGGTTTTTTGTTTATTTTTACTGGGACCATGTTCAAGGTGAAGTCTTGGTTATGTTCCTGCTAGTAACATACACAGTTCAGGTTTGAAAAATATCTTAAAGTTTGTGTAAGGATTTAAAAAATAATGTAAACTCATAAGTGGGCTTGGGTTGTTTAGGAAGGCAGTCAGTGTTTAGCAGGGAATAGAGTACCTTCTTCATTTTTGTTGTAACAGGCATGCCAACGCATAAACTCTTTTAAGTGTAAACTCTTTGATGACATTTCTGTCTTCCCTGTTTTTTGTTCTTTAAAATTTTCTTGTTGAGTTACTTGCTTTAACTTCCCCACTGTTGAATGCTCTGATTGATGCTAAGATTATGTCATGGTTCTCTGGCTATCCTTTTCTATAACAATGATGAATTTAGTAATATAACAATAAGTAATACAGTTGGCCCTTTGTAGGTTCTGCATCCTTGGATTCAACCAATTGAGGGTTGAAAGTCTCAGAAAAATTGCATCTGTATTGAACATGTACAGACTCTGATTTTCTTGTCATTATTTCCTAAACAGTACAGTATAACAACTACTTACTTAGCACTTACATTGTATTAGCTATTATCAGTAACCTAGAAATGATTTAAAGTATATGGGAGGATGTGCGTAGGTTATATGCAAATACAGTCATGTGTCACATAATGATGGGAATACATTCTGAGGAATGCATCATGTAATTTCATCATTGTGCAAACATTATTAAGAGGACTTACACAAACCTAGGTGGAATAGCCTACTATATACCCAGGCTGCATGGTACAACCTGTTGCTCCTAGGCTACAGACCTGTACAGTATATTACTGTACTGGATATTGTAGGCACTTCTAACACGATACTATTTGTGTACCTAAACATAGAAAAGGTACACTAAAAATATGATAAAAAAGATTAAAAAATGGTACACCTGTATCTCACACTTACCACGAATGGAGGTTTTAGGACTGAAGGTTCTTTGGGTGAGTCAGTGAAGGAGTGATGAGGGAATGTGAAGGTCTAGGACATTACTGTGCACTATTGCAGATTTCATAAAGACTGTACACTTAGGCTATACTAAATCTATAAAAACATTTTTAAAATAAATTAACCTCTACTTTCTGTAACTTTATTTTTTTGAGACAGTCTCACTCTGTTGTTCAGGCTGGAGTGTAGTGGTGTGATATCAGCTCTCTGCAATCTCTACCTCCCAGGTTCAAGTAATTCTTGTGCCTCAGCTTCCCGAGTAGCTGGGATTATAGGCGTCAGCCACCACACCTGGCAAATTTTTGTATTTTTAGCAGAGACAGGGTTTTGCCACGTTGGCCAGTCTGGAGTTGAACTCCTGACCTCAGGTGGTGCACCCACCTCAGCCTCCCAATGTACCAGGATCACAGGCCTGAACCACTGTGCCTGGGCAGCTTACTGTAACTTTAAAATTTTTAAACTTTTTGACTTTTGTAAGAATAATTAGCTTTGGCCAGGCACAGTGGTTCAGGCCTGTAAGAATAATTAGCTTTGGCTCACACCTGTAATCCCAGAACTTTGGGAGGCCCAGGTGGGTGGATTACCTGAGGTCAGGAGTTTGAGAGCAGCCTGGCCAACATGGTGAAACCCCATCTCTACTGAAAATACAAAATCAGCCGGGCGTGGTGACGCGTGCCTGTAATCTCAGCTATATGGGAGACTGAGGCATTGAGAATCACTTGCACCCGGGAGGCAGAGGTTGCAGTGAGCTGAGATTGCACCACTGCACTCCAGCTTGGGTGACAGAGTGAGACTTGGTCTCAAAAAAAAAAAGAATACTTAGCTTAAAACACAAACATACAATTGTGCAAACATATTTTCCCTCGTTAGATCCTTATTCTAGGAGCCTTAAATTCTTTTTTTTTTTTTTTTTTTTTTTAACTTTCATAACTTTTTGGTTAGCAACATAACACATCAGCCTAGGGCCTCTGCAGGGTCAGGATCATTCTACTGTCTCCCACCTCCACATCTTGTCATACTGAAATGTGTTCAGGGGCAGTAACATGCATGGAGCTGTCATCTTCTGTGATTGATGCTACCTTCTGGAGTATCTGCTGAAGGACCCTCAAGGCTACTTTGCAGTTAACTTTTTTTAAATACAAGTAGGAGTAAACTCTAATGATAAAAATTATAGTGTAGGAGTAAACTCTAATGATAAAAATTATAGTGTAGTATATACATAAACCAGTAACTTAGTCATTTATTTTTTGTTTTTTTATTACTATTTTTTTTGAGACGGAATCTTGCTCTGTCACCAGGCTGGAGCGCAGTGGTGAGGTCTTGGCTCACTGCAACCTCCGCCTCCCGGGTTCAAGCAATTCTCCTGCCTCAGCCTCCCAAGTAGCTAGGATTACAAGCATGTGCCACCACACCCAGCTAATTGTTGTATTTTTAGAAGAGACAGGGTTTCACCATGTTGGTCAGGATGGTCTCGATCTCCTGACCTCATGATCCACCCGCCTCGGCCTCCCAAAGTGCTGAGATTACAGGTGTGAGCCACTGCACCCGGCCGGTCATTTATTATCATTATCATATAGTACAGTATTATGTTCTATATGTAAATGCGCCGTACTTTTATATGAATGAGAGCGCAGTAGATTTGTTTACACCAGTGTCATCAGAAACATGAATAATGTATTGCACTGCAGTGTTACAACAGCTATGATGTCACTAGGTGATAGGAACTTGTCAGGTCCCTCATAATCTTATGGGACCACCATTGTGAATGTGCTGCATCTTTGACCAAAACGTTGCTCTGTGGTGAATGACAATACTGTCCTTTTCATATTGGACTTGAGCATTATTGTGAGGTCCTGGAACCAATCCCCCAGGGATACTGAGGGATGACTGAAATGTTTCAATCTAAAGACAAGATTGGTTCTTTAAAAAAAATTTACAAAAGCAATAATGTGCAAATTCGTAAAAATAAGATCTATTTCTTGTGTGTATATGCATATTTGTATATATTCTAAAACAAATGGGCCGTACTGTGTATATTTCTGTTTCACCTATTTTACTGCTTGTTTAGACTTAAAACATGAGGTCACGCTAATTATTCATTGATTTCTCTATTATAGGCTAATTGAACAAGCCCCAATTCAAATGGGAGAAGAGGCAGTGAGGTGGGCAAAACTGGTCATACCTTTAGTGGTTCATTCAGCACAAAAGGTACATTTGCGGGGAGCAACTGCTCTGGAGATGGGAATGCCATTATTGCTTCAGAAACAGCAAGAAATAGCATCTATTACGGAGCAGCTTATGACTACTGTGAGTGTTCTTTTATGTAAGAATTTTCTGGATACTGCATCGGAAGGTTCTGCACTAAGCTTAAAATTCAGTCTGGTGGCCAGGTACGGTGGCTCTCACCTGTAGTCCCAAAGCGGGAGGCTGAGGTGGGAGGATTGCTTGAGGCCAGGAGTTCCAGACCCATCTGGGCAACATAGTGAAGACCCATCTCTACAAAATATCTTAAAAATTAGCTGGGCGTGGTGGCATGCGCCTGTAGTCTCAGATGCTTGGGAGACTAAGGCGGGAGGGTTGCTTGACCAGAAATTTGAGGCTGCAGTGAGCTATGATCTCACCACTGCATTCTAGCCTGGGTGACAGAATGAGACCCTGTCTCAAAAAAAAAAAAAAAAAAAAATCTGTCTGGGCATATTGGTATAGTTGCACTATGATATAGGATTTTAGCTTTGAATCAAAACCTTAAGAGTTGCATAAGTTAGCAAAGGCACATTGCTCATTACATAGTAGTAAGGAAGGGAGCTATCTATTGTTGCTAAAATCCAGACATTTTACTTCATTCCCAATAAATAGGAAATAGGAATTGTATTTCTGAAAGAGGGAGAGCATTAACTGATTGACTCATGTTTGGGTTGTTACTGTATAATCCCAGTAGATACAAATTTAATGTACATAAACTTACCTAGTCTCTATAGTTTTCTAGTTATTACTTGCCACAGGTTTTAGGTTTTCTAACCATTGTTGTTCTAACATATTTACTGGGCATCTGATATGTGCAGTGCATTGTTGCAGGCGCTGTGAATATAGCAGTGAACAAAAGAGGCTTGATGGAGCTTATTTTCTTGTGGGAGAGATAATTAAGTACATAGTGTAGTAAGTGAAGACCACTAAGGAGAAGAGCAAGGACCGGAGAGTGCTGTGAGAAAGGAATGTAAGGTGGTCAGAGAAGGCAAAGGAAAGGACATTTGAACAGTGATTTGAAGGCAGAGTAGGAGTTACCCATGTAGATAAAGAACCAGACAAGAGAACTATGAGGGCAAAAGGCCCTGCTCTAATGGTTGTGTACCTGGTTGGTGTTCTGGGAACTCTGGGCAGTATGACAGTAGTGGAGTGAATGAGAGTGAGAGGAAAAGAGGGCCCAATCACATAGGACTATGGCAGGGACCATTGTAAGGATGGATTTTTACTCTAGATTACATGGAAAGCCATATTTGAAGGTCTTGTTTTGTTTTTTGTTTGAGACAAGGTCTCACTATATTACCCAAGCTGGTCTCGAACTCCTGGGCTCAAGCAATCCTCCCACTTCACTCTCCCAAAGTGTTGGGATGACAGGCGTGAGCCACCACACCCAGCCCCTAAAACCTGGGATTTTACTTGCTTAAAATGCAGAAGACTTCGTGGTAATGTTCAGTATGACACAGTAACTCGAGTGTCTCATAAATAGCTTTATTCTGATGAATTCAATTTTAGTGACATATATAATTTTTTTTTTTTTTTCGAGACAGTTTCGCAATTGTTGCCCAGGCTGGAGTGCAGTGGCGCAGTCTCAGCTCACTGCAGCTTCCACCTCCTGGGTTCAAGCGATTCTCCTGCCTCAGCAGGAGTAGCTGGGATTACAGGCACCTGCAACCATGCCCGACCGATATTTGTATTTTTAGTAGAGATGGGGTTTCACCATATTGGCCAGGCTGGTCTCGAACTCCTGACCTTGTGATCCGCCCGCCTCGGCCTCCCAAAGTGCTGAGATTGCAGGCATGAGCCACTGCGCCTGACCATAAAATTCTTTCTTTAACCCATTTATCAAGCTTGCAACAAAGCATATATGAAATTCTTTATATAAATTTGAGCTAAAAATTATTTCACGTGTCTGTTGATTATGAAGCTATTAATGTATTTTTTCATTATTGTGAAAAAATACAGTGTCATTTAAACTAGTTAATGATATGCATGCTGACATTTTTAGGGTAAAGTATATTGGTAGAAAAAAAAAGTTGGATTGATGGATGGTAGGATGGCCAGATAGGTGATAAGACCAACATAGTAAAGTGTTAATGGTAGAATCTGAGTGTTTGTATTAGAGCATTTACTGTAAAAACTCACTCGGATTTGCTATATGCTTCAGTTTTCCTTTTGGAGTCTTTTGGGAAAATTTTTTTTTTTTTTTGAGACAGTCTTGCTCTGTCGCCCAGGCTGGAGGACAGTGGCACGATTTCTGCTCTCTGCAACCTCCACCTCCCAGGTTCAAGCAATTCTCATGCCTCAGCCTCCCGAGTAGCAGGAATTATGGGCGTCTGCCACCATGCCCAGCTAATTTTTGTGTTTTTAGTAGAGACAGGGTTTCACCATATTGGCCAGGCCAGTCTTGAACTCCTGACTTCAAGAGTGAGGCCGAGGCAGGTGATTCTCCTGCCTCAGCCTCCCAAAGTGCTGGGATTACAGGCTTGACCCACCGCACCTGGCCTTGGGTGGGGTAATATTTTTATTATGGAGAAAACTATTTGGTTGAATCAGTTTTTGAAAATTATTCCTAGACTTTGGTATTGGATTTTTTTTTCTAAGAGTCTGTTTGGTAAATTAATTGCTTTTGTTTGCAGAAATTAATCTCAGAACTTCAGAAGCTATTTATGAGTAAAAATGAGACTTACGTGTTAAAATTATGGCCTTTGTTTGTCAAACTACTTGGAAGGGTAAGTGCCCAGTTAATGAACAGTCAACAGTTTTTACATGCTGGACTCTTTATTTTCTTACCTTTTCTTTGTACAGTTGATGCTCATTATTTCCTTTGTACAGCTGATGCTCATTATTTCATGCCTACTCACTAAAATTTATTTGTAAATCTGAAACCAGTACTTGCATTGCTTTTGCTTTCATTTGTAGACACCCAAAGTGGCAAAGAATTGGAGTCACACAACGTGCATGTTTCCAGCTGAGGTCAAGCAAGGTTACGCTCTGCCTTTTTGTTTTAGTTCTCATACCTTAAACAGGTGTCCTTTTTATAATCCATGTAATGCCACATTTTTCACTTTTCTGTGCTTTTCCTGGTGGTTTCACTGTTTAAATTTGGAACCTAAAGCTTGGGTCCAGGTGCTTTCTAGTTTGTGTTCCTAAGCAAAGGAAGGCTGTGATATACCCAATGGTGAAAATAAACTTTGTTCAGGCATGATTTATAGAGCTACTGGCTGTGAGTTTGATGTTAGTGATTCATTTGTATAAAATATCTTCTAATAGACGTTAAGCAGGTTATATATTGAACAGCTGACAAAAGTGTTGTGTCCAGAGAACCTAACCCTGTATTTCCCATGGGAGTGATCACTCAGTATTTGCCAATTTAGTGTTCAAGGCTACTTTATATAATAGAAAACCATAACTACTATGAATAATGAGAGAGAATCAACTGTATGTTCAATGATTAAGCCAGGTTTTGGGTGGTAGGGGGTGTGCTGCTTTTATTGTGGTAAATATACATGTTCTAACCATTTGTAAATGAACAAGTCAGTGGCATTAAATCTATTCATAATGTTGTAAGCATCACCACTATCTATACCCAAAACCTGTGCATCATCCCTAACAAAAACTGTACCCATTAAAGAGTAAACTTCCTCTGCCCTCCTCCTGCACCCAGACATCACCCTTTGGTAATGTCTGTTCTACTTCCTGTCTCTGAATTTGCTTATTCTAGGTACCTCATAAAAGTGAAATTATAACATATATGCCCTTCCGTGTCTGGCTTATTTCACTAAGCATAAAGTTTTTTTATTTTTCTCTGAGACGGAGTTTCGCTCTTGTCACCCAGGCTGGAGTACAATGGCGTGATCTTGGTTCACTGCAACCTCTGCCTCCCGGGTTCATGCAATTCTCCTGCCTCAGCCTCCTGAGTAGCTGGGACTACAGGCATGTGCCAGTATGTCCGGCTAATTTTTGTGTTTTTAGTAGAGATAGGATTTCACCATGTTGACCAGGATGGTCTCGATCTCCTGACCTTGTTATCTGCCCACCTCGGCCTCCCAAAGTGGTGGGATTATAGGCGTGAGCCACCGTGCCTGGAAGCATAAAGTTTTTAAGATTTATCCATGTCATAACATATATTAAAGTTGGATTCTTATGGCTGAGTAATTGTATGTATATAACACATTTTGTTTATCTGTTGAGAGACATTTAGGTTGTTTCTACCTTTTGGCTATTGTGAATAATGTTGCTGTAAACACCAGTGTACAAATCTGTTGGAGTTCCTGCTTTCAGTTTTTTGGGTATATGCTTAAGAGTGGAATTGCTGGGTTATGTAGTAGTTCTATGCTTAACTTTTTGAGAAAGCTCCAAACTCTTTTTTTGAGACAAGGTCTGGCTCTATCTATCACCCAGGCTGGAGTGCAGTGGCACAACCTCGCTCACTGCAACCTCTGTCTCCCAGTCTCAAACCATCCTTCCATCTCAGCCTCCCAATTACCTGGGACTACCACCCAGCCCGGCTGATTTTTTTTTTTTTTTTTTTTTTTTTTTTTTTCCATATTTTTTGTAGAGACTGGGTTTTGCCGTGCTGCTCAGGCTGGTCTCTAACTCAAGTGATCCGCCTGCCTCAGCCTCCAAAATTGTTGGATTACAGGCATGAGCCACTTGAACCAGCCAGCACCAAACTCTTCTGTAGCAGCTGCCCCATTTTACATTCCCACCAGTAATGCACTGGGGTTCCGCTTCCATAATATCCTCACCAACACTTTTTATTTTCCTTTTTTTGATAGCCATCCTAGTGAATGTGAAGTGGGATTGATTTGGTATAGATTTGCATTTCTCTGATTACTAGTGATGTTGAACATCTTTTCACTTGGTTCTTGGCTGTTTGTTTCATTGTCTGTGGAGAAATGTCTAAGTCCTTGGCCCATTTTTGAGTAGGTTTGAATTTTTGTTGTTGAGTTGTAGTTCTTTATATGTTTTGGATATGCATCCCTTAGTTTTGTGATTTGCAAATATTTAATTCCGTTCTGTAGGTTCTCTTTTGCTTTCTTGGTAATATCCATTGCAGAGTTTTTAATTTTGGTGAAGTATAATATATATATTTTTTGTTATTGCTAGTACTTGACATCATATTCATGAAGTTGTTGCCAAATCCAGTGTCATTTTTGTTTCCCAATGCTTTCGTCTAAGAATTTTCCAGTTTTAGATCTTGAATGTAGATCTTTGAACCATTTTGAGTGAATATTTGGATATGGTGTAAGGTGAGAGTCCACGTTCATCCTTTTGCATGCAGATGTTCAGATTCCTCAATATCTTTTACTGAAGAGGTTGTTTTTATTAAATCCTTGTGGTACCCTTTTTTTTTTTTTTTTTTTTTTGTGAGACAGAGTCTTACTCTGTTGCCTAGGCTGGAGTGCAGTGGCATGATCTCGGCTCACTGCAACCTCTGTCTCCTGGGTTCAAGCAATTCTCCTGCCTCAGTCTCCCAAGTAGCTGGGATTACAGGCGCGCACTACCATGCTCGGCACATTTTTTTTTTCTTTTCTGTATTTTTATTAGAGAAGGGGTTTTACCACGTTGGCCAGGCTGGTCTCGAACTTCTGAGCTCTAGAGATCCACCCGCCTCGACCTCCCAAAGTGCTGGGATTGCAGGCGTGAGCCACCGCGCCTGGCCTGTGGTACCCTTTTGAAAATCAATTGAACATAGGTGTAAAGATTTATATCCAAGCTCAGTATTCTATTCTTGTGGTCTGTATGGCTGTCCTTATGCCATTATCATATGTATTAATTACTATAGCTTTATGCTAAGTTTGGCAGTCAGTTTGTCTGGTTTTATTATTTTTCAGGATTGTTTTGGCTTTTAATTTTTTTTTTTTTTTTTTTTTTTTGAGCTGGAGACTGTCCGTGTCGCCCAGGCTGGAGTGCAGTGGCGTGATCTCAGCTCACTGCAACCTCTGCCTCCTGGGTCCAAGCGATTCTCCTGCCTCAGCCTCCCGAGTAGCTGAGACTGCAGGCGCACGCCACCACGCCCAGCTAAATTTTTGTATTTTTAGTAGAGACAGTGTTTCACCATATTGGCCAGGCTGGTCTCGAACTCCTGACCTTGTAATCCTCCCGCCTTGGCCTCCCAAAGTGCTGGCATTACACGTGTGAGCCACCACGCCTGGCTGTTTTGGCTTTTTGAGACTGCAATTCCGTGTGAATTTGACGATCGACTTCTTTATCTGTGAAAAAGACAGTTGGAATCATGGTAGGGATTGTGATGAATCTGCATATAATGCCTTGAGTAGTTAGCATTTCATTGATGTTAAGTCTTTCTACCCATGAACACAGATGTCTTTCCATTTATTTAGGGTTTTTTTTTTGTTTTTTTTTTAAGACAGAGTCTCGCTCTGTTGTCCTGGCTATATTGGCTCACTGCAACCTCAGCCTCCCGGGTTCAAGTGATTCTCCTGCCTCGGCCTCCCGAGTAGCTGGGATTATAGGTGCCTGCCACCATGCCTAGCTGATTTTTGTATTTTTAGTAGAGATGGGGTTTTACCATGTTGGCCAGGCTGGTCTCAAACTCATGACCTAAAGCAATCCATCTGCCTCGGCCTCCCAAAGTGCTGGGATTACAGGTGTTAGCCACTGTGCCAGGCCTAGGTCTTTAATTTCTTTCAGCAGTGCTTCATAATTTTCATCTTGTGTCTTTAACTTCTTGGGCTAGATCTATTACGAAGTATTTCCTTTAGCTCTTATAGCTAACTTGTGTGTTTTTTATTTTCTAAACCTTTTTTTTTTGTTACCGGTTTATAGCCTGTTAAGATTATATGTGGTTTATAGCCTGTTAGGAGCATTCGTGTTGATGTAATTTTTTATTTGTGATGCATTACTTGTCATTTTTCCATTTTGTACTTTATTTTCCTTTTTTTCTTTTTTTTTTGAGACAGAGTTTCACTCTTGTTGCCCAGGCTGGAGTGCAAACATGATCTCGGCTCACTGCAGCCTCGGCCTCTCAGGTTCAAGTGATTCTCCTGTCTCAGCCTCCCGAGTAGCTGGGATTACAGGCATGTGCCACCACGCCTGGCTGATTTTTGTATTTTTAGTAGAGAAGGGGTTTCTCCATATTGGTCAGGCTGGTCTCGAACTCCTGACCTTAGGTGATTCGCCTGCCTTGGCCTCCCAGAGTGCTGGGATTGCAGGTGTGAGCCACCGTGCCTGGCCTATTTTTTTTTTTAATTTTTTTTTTTGTTTTTTTTTCTCCTGAGCTCATATTTTTCTTTTTGTTTGATAGTATTCCCATTTAAATCTTACATAATATTTGGAAGTAATTCAGAAGTTATCCGGTTTTCTACCAGCTGTGGTTGCTCATGTCTGTAATCCCAGCACTTTGGGAGGCTGAGGCGGGTGGGTCACTTGAGGTCAGTAGTTAGTCACCAGCCTGGCCAGCATGGCCAGCATGGCAAAACCTTGTCTCTACTAAAAATACAAAAATTAGGCCGGCATGGTGGCTCACGCCTGTAATCCCAGCACTTTGGGAGGCCGAGGTGGACTGAGTTCAGGAGTTCGAGACCAGCCTGGCCAACATGGTGAAACCCTGCCTCAACCAAAAATAAAATAAGTAGCCAGGCATGGTGGCACGCACCTATAATCCCAGCTACTTGGGAGGCTGAGGCAGGAGAGTCGCTTAAACCTGGGAGGCAGAGGTTGCAGTGAGCTGAGATCCAGCCATTGCACTCCAGCCGGGTGACAGAGCAAGACTCCATCTCAAACAAAACAAAACAAAACAAAAATTAGCTGGGCGTGGTAGTATTAGCCAGTAATCCCAGCTACTTGGAAGGCTGAGGCAGGAGAATCACTTGAACCCAGGAGCTGGAGGCTGCAGTGAGCCAAAATGGCACCACTGCACTGTAGCCTGGGCGACAGAGCGAGATTCCCTCTCAAAAAAAAGAAAAGTTATTCAGTTTTCTTGATTTTTATCTCACTTTTACTATTTTTTATTAGCAGATAATACTGTTTTTAAAAAATATTTCTTTTACAGCCATGAAATAAGATGTTTCCTTAATTTTCCATTCAGTTTGTTTGAAAGGTTATTTTTATTATTTTCAGGGTTCAATGCCTTTTTTCTCTAATATAATTTTTTAATGTATATTTTGTTTGGTATTGATTTGATAAAGTTTGGGATTTATCTGCTCTCCTAATTTTCTGTTTTAGAAATGTTCTGTGTTGTACATTGTCTGCTTCTTCAAACTTTATATATTTTGTGATCTTGAGTTTAGAATGTGTGTTTAAAGTTTATTTTCTTATATTCCTAAGACTTTTAACATATCTAACATTTAACACATCTCTTTATGTTTTGTGAATAATTTGTCTTTTGTCTCCCCATTAGATTATGAAGTCCTAAGAGCATCTGTTAAGTGAATGAATAAAGGAATGATAGCAATTATTCTGTTTCATGCAGATAAATAACTTCTTAATGATTTTTTCCCCTTTTTAGACCTTGCATCGAAGTGGGAGTTTCATCAATTCTCTCTTGCAACTAGAAGAACTTGGATTTCGTAGTGGAGCACCCATGATTAAAAAGATAGCTTTTATTGCTTGGAAGAGTTTAATAGATAATTTTGCTTTAAATCCAGGTAAGTAATATTTTAACAATTTTGATTTTCTGTGAATTTGTTTTGCTTAAAGCAAGATAAATGAAGTTTTTCTGGTTTTTTGGATTTTA